>NC_000018.10:74537528-74838883 GCF_000001405.40 Homo sapiens
TCTTTTACTGTGACACAGATCAAATGCCCATCAACAGCTAGGGTGGATCCCTGGCTGTGGCCCAGGGGGACTGGATGAGGTTTGGGGAGCTGGACCACAGGATGCAGAGGGGGCTCTGTGCTGTGGGCACTCACCCTTTGGATGGGGCACATGCAGTGAGCATGTGTGATGTGCCTCCTCTGTGCTCTAGTGCCCAGGCCCAGTCACTCCGGGCAAAGAGTGGTACCTGGGATATGGACTCTGGGACCAGGAAGCTCCTCTGGGGGGAATGAACCAGGTCATATATCACTACACTTTGTCCACACTCCTTGTTTCTTTCCACATAAAGCGGCATTCTTGTTAAAACCATAGAGTAGAACTTCTAGCTGCTGAAGACAAAAGACAAAGTACAATTTAGACGAAGGTGAGAAGTTACCCATCCATGTACAATTTACTGCCTTTTTCACTAAATCCCATACTCAGGTTTTTGTTTTGTTTTGTTTTCTCTCAAACTTTAGTGTGAGCAGTTTTAGGGTAGAGGCCCAGGAATCTGCACTTTCAAGCCATCATTCAGTGGCTTTTAGTATATTCACTGACATGTGCAACCATCACCACCATCAATTTTAGAACATTTTCCTCACCTCAGAAAGAAACCCATACCCTTTAGCTATGACCCTCCTATTCGCCCCTCCCTCACCTTATCCTTAAACAACTACTAACCTGTTTTCTGTCTCTGTAGATTTCCCTATTCTGGACTTTCATATGAATGGTATACAATATGCAGCCTCTTGTGACTGGCTTCTTTCACTTAATGTAATGTTTTCAAGGTCCATTCATGTCATAGCATATATCAGGACTGCATTCCTTTTCATGGCCAAATAATACTCCATTGTGTGAATATGCCACATTTTGTATTTATCCATTTGTTTGTTGGTGGACATGTGGGTTGTTTCCACCATTCGGCTGTTATGAATAATGCTGCTATAAACATTTGTGTCCCAGTTTTTGTGTGGACATGTATTTTCATTCCTCCAGGGTGTGTACCTGGGAGTGGAATTGCCGGTTGATACAGTAGCTCCGTGGATCAGTGTCTGAGGAACTGCCAGACTGCTTTCCATGCTGGCTGCACCATTTTGCATCCTCACTAGCAGTGTGTGAGGGCTCCAATTTCTCCACATCCTCAAAACACTTGTTATCTGACTTTGTGATTCCCGGCATCCTCTGGGTGGGAAGTGGTGTCTGGTTGTGGTTTGATCTGCATTTCCCAATGCCTAATGATACTGAACATTTTTTCATTCACTTCTTGGCCAAAAGATCTACCATTTTAACCATGACCCTCCACCTCATCCCCGTCAAGGGATTCTGACAGAGAACCTGTCGCCTTTGACAACATTTTCAACTTCGAGTATAAAAAGTCTCCCTAGATTTTTCTTGGCTCTTCCAGGGTGTATCTCTTGCTCCAAGGTTCTGAACCTAAGCCCAGTTCTTATTGAATCTAGGGTTCAGCTTATTTCTAATTAATCAATTCTGCTGTTGGTTTGCACAAGATAGGAGCTGGCATTCTCTCTCAAGCAGCCTGTTAAAGCTAAACAGGGAGAGATTATGGCCGGAAAATACATGGACATTCGCTGCAAACACTGTCTTCCTACAACAAGGTTTCTCCCTCATCTCAAAAAAAAAAAAGCCTTCCCTATCAGCAGGGATTTGACTAAGGAGATCTACACCTGTTTGTTCCCACCAGCTTTTAGTTCTTTATATTAATAGACTCCCAACTTACGACGGAAGGATGCAGGCTTTTCCCAGAGCCTGGATTTCTAAGTAGGCACGTGCTAATTTTCCGCCATCCACTTCTCCTGCACACTGTCTCACGAAGGGTCTGAGGATGCAGGACTGCCAGGTGGGCTCTTTCCCAGCTCCCGGAGGCTTCCTCATCTCTCATCCCCAGTGCCAGCAAATGCCGGAGGGAGCTATCCTGCGCATGAGGCATTCGGATCCTTCCTTGGCCAGCACTGCTCATCCACAGCCAGGGAGTTTCCCCACCTGCAGGATTCCTCCGACCAAACTCCTTGTTAGTGTTGTTGGTGCACATGGGCCCCCAAGCACCACCACCTGCTCCTGAGCAGCAAGTGGTTCCTGGGATCAGTGGCGTTATTGCAAGCGCGGTGGCCATGAGCTCAGGTTGGCCCAGGACACTGCCTGCTTGCCAAGGCTCAGCCTGCCCCTAACCCTGCTCTCTCGTTTTAATGGAAAGTTTCAAACATGCACAAACATAGACAGAAGAGGATAGTGAGTCCCCATGTGCCTATCAGCCAGTTCCAACAATTACCAACATGTGGCCCATCTTGTTTCAAGAGAGCCCCTCCCAGGACCCCCACTCTCAGCATCCAGATAATCCTACAGCAAATTCCAGACATTGCATTATTGCATCTGTAGGTTGTTCAGCACATATCTTGAAGGTGAGCACATGTGTGTATATCAACAATACCATTAACACACTATAAAATAGCAATAATTCCTTTAGATCAACAAATATACAACCTACAACCTGTGGTCAACTTTATCATATTGTCCCATAAAAATAGTTTTACCACTGGTCTTTCGAATCAGAATCTAAATAGGATCTACACTTTACATTTGTGTGGTATAAATCTTTTTTTTTTTTTTTTTTGAGACGGAGTCTGGCTCTGTTGCCCAGGCTAGAGTGCAATGGCGCGATCTCAGCTCACTGCAACCTCCGCTTCCTGGGTTCAAGCGATTCTTCTGCCTCAGACTCCCTTTTAGCTGGGATTGCAGGTGCCCACTGCCACACCCAACTAATTTTTGTATATTTTAATAGAGGCAGGGGTTTCACCATGTTGGCCAGGCTGGTCTCAAACTCCTGACCTCAGGTGATCCACCCGCCTCATCCTCCCAAGGTGTTGGGATTACAGGTGTGAGCCACCACGTCTGAACTCTGCCCTGAATTTCTGATCTGACCTTGAGTGCCTGGAATGGGCACCCTGCCTCAGCCTGGCCCCCTGTATGTGACATAAGAGGGAATGGCAACAGCTCTCTTGGGGAACCTCAGTGAGGATTGGAGGGCAAGTCCAGAAAGGAGAGCCGTGTTTAGATGTGTGGGGGTGTAACCTACTCATCCTGGCTGTGTGATCCCAGGCAGTCTCTTGACCCCTCTAGTGCTTCAGGTCACTTGTCTGTGAAATGCAGCTACAGTAGCTCTGCCTTACTGGATTTTCAGGGTGATTGGCGACGTTGTGGCCATGAGTGCTCGGCTCAGTGCCTGCCCTCCATGCATGTGAAGACGCAATAAAAATGTAAACGTGAACTTACTGCAGATGGTCACCACTTCTGTTAATCAACAAATCACATGATGTGTGGAATCCCTAACTCACTCCAGCACTAGAATCTGAGGAATGCTGCAAACATCAAATTTCAGATCTGGCTTCTAATGAAGTGATGCCGATTTTCTTGTATCACGGGTGGTTTAGCACAGACTGCTATAGACATTAAATGCTAGTTCCAGACACCCACTAGCGGCGTTCTGGGAGAGGCCTGCGAGTTGTTGGGCACTGGAACACACTTTTCTGTGGTTCACACCGGAAACTTGTAGGTTCTGAAAGTGGAGGGGGAAATGGGGCTGCAGTTGGGAGCCATCACCCGCTGGGGGCTCACAGTGAGTGCAGCCTCGGTCATGGGCTCTGCTGACGCACCTGGGGAAGGAGACGGCAGGTGTGCAGAGGCACCGTTTAGCTGCCACAGGAGCTGCCAGGAAAGGCACAGTGATCGGATCCTCCCCTGAGCGTGCACTGTCTAGGGCAGCTGTCCTAGCTTCTCAGCAGGTTGTCATCTGCGGCTCACCAGAGAGAGATGCTGCCCTGGTGACTGCCACTCTGCTGGCTCGGGACCCTGGCAGGTTCAGGAGCTGATGGTATCTGGAGGGTGGGTGGCATTTGTTGGCTGGAGCTGAGAGCCAGCTCCTGGAGGAGTCACAGAAGGAGAAGGGGTGGGTGGGTCCAGCCACCATCCTACTGATCCCAGTGCAGAGCTCCTGCCCAGGAGGAAATATGCACATGCGGTTGGTTTATGGGAGGGAGCCTGGGTGGTCTGTTGCATTGTTGGTCTCACCATCACAGGGCAGGCAGCAGCAAGGCTGGAGCAGGGGACCTGAGCCCTGAGGTCCTCCCCAGCCCCTTCGTCCCAGCCCTAATCAGGAGGTAGGGGCTTTCTGTCCCCAGAGCACCTCTCCTCAGGCCCCACAATGCCCCAGTGTTCCAATTCTCAATTGCTCTTTCAAGCGGTTACAATCCCCCACTTCTTCAGAAGCACTGTGGTTGGGACAAAGGTACCTTTCATGGTACACGTGGCTCAGCTTCCGGCGCCACAGGACATAAAGTTGGGGTGCTGTCCCCTGCTGACCTCAGAAGGAATGGGGCGCATTGTGAAAGGGAGAGAAACAGTGCTAAGACAAGGCACGCACAGATGGAACTCCCCAAAGACTGCAGATGAGGAGGGGTCCCCTGTGCCTTCTAGGACTAGCTCCAGTGCCCTGGGATCCCAGAGTGCATGGCGCTCAGGGAGAAACGCGTTTGCATGTTTCAGTTTCACAGTTTGCCTGGGGCGGTCTTGTTACCCAACTCTGTACCTTGTACTGCAGGCCAGAGGTGTGCGCAGGAGCACTGCCCTGGGGCCATCCCAGAAGCCTTGTCCCTGCTGACAGGGTGAGGTTTGCTTGTTGAGCTCCTGGTGTCAAGGCCTAATTTATTAGTCATTATTAGCCAATTCCTGGAGGTTGAGGTTATCCAGGATACAAACATTTATGCCTTTTAAGGTGCACTGAACAGAGCTTGTGGGCTTTTAAGTGGACCCTTTTTATCTTCACCCGAATCTTGCTCTCCTCCAGTTTGGGAAAGTTTGCACCAGGTAGCGTTCCCAGCACTGAGCCTGGCACTGGGCCAGGCTGTAGGGACATTACGTCCCAGGAAGTGAAATCATTGTAGGGCAGTCCCGATCAAGACACAGTATGAGTTCACCCTTAAAACTCCCCATCCACTTCAAGCAAAGCAATTGCATATACTTCAGGATTTTGTTTGTTTTTTTGTTTTTGAGACAAGATCTCACTCTGTGATCCTCCCACCTCAAACCTCCTGAGTTGCTGGGACTATAGGTATGCACCACCTGGCCTGGCTAAGTTTTAAAATCTGATTTCGCTTATGTAGAGACAGAGTTTCTGTGTTGCCCAGGCTGGTCTTGAACTCCTGGGCTCAAGTGGGCCTCCTACCTTGGCTTCCCAAAATGCTGGGATTACAGGTGTGTGCCACTAGAACACTGTTTGAGAACTGTAAGCCACCAGTTTAAGACCTCGACCTGGAATGGGCATCTTAAAGCACCAGGTGGAGGCAACCATTGCATTTTAGGCAGAACTCATAACAGAGAAGGAGAATAAAATGACTGTCATTCAAGTTGAGGCTGCAAGCCAAAGTTCTGAAGTATGTAAGAAAGACATGCCTTAAGAAAAATAGCTTTTGCAATGTGTTAGGAAATGGGTTTACCAAGACTGACATACAAAGAGTAGAACATGTTTAAAATGGATGCAAACGAAGTATGTTTAAATTCTTCAAGAGACAAATGAAAGACTAACACCCATATTAAAGAATGAGAAAATACAAAACGTAAGCAGGTATCTATGAATCAGGAGCAGACAGGGGCCGGGTGTGGTGGCTCATGCCTGTAATCCCATCACTTTGGGAGGACGAGGCAGGCAGATCACTTGAACCCAGGAGTTTGAGACCAGCCTGGGCAATATGGTGAGACCCCCCTGTTTCTACAAAAAATACAAAAAGTAGCTGGATGTGGTGGCATGCACCTGTAGTCCCAGCTACTTAAGAGGCTGAGGTGGGACAATCACTTGAACCCAGGAGGTTGAGGCAGCAGTGAACGATGATCACACCACTGTACTCCAGCCTGGGCAACAGAGTGAGATCCTGTCTCAAAAAATAAAACAAAACAAAATAAAATAAAATAAAATAAAATAAAATAAAAACAGATGGGTATTAAAATCAACCAATTAGACATCCTGAAAATGTAACTAGTTATTGAAATAACTGAACAGTAAAAATTCTAGACTGGGCACAGTCAAAGTGAGAATTAATGAACTGAAAAATATTACAGAGAATATGCCCAGGAATCAGAGCAGAGAGATAACAAGAAAAAAAGGGAAAAACTAAGAGATCTGGAGGATATATGATAGATCGAAAGACTCCAATGTAGTAGGAGTTCTAGAAGAAAACAGAGGAAATGAGGCCAGGCACTATGGCTCACACCTGTAATACTAGCATTTTGGGAGGCCAAAGAAAGAGGATCAGTTGAGCTCAGGAGTTCCAGACCAGCCTGGGCAACATAGTGGGTCCCCATCTCTAAAAAAAATTTAAAAATCAGTCCACGTATGGTGGCTTGTACCTTTAGTCCCAGCTTCTCAGGAGGCTGAGGCAGGAGGGTGGCTTGAGCCTGGGAGATCCAGGCTGCAGTGAGCTATGATCACCCCACTGCACTCTAGCCTGGGCAACATAGCAAGACCCTGTCTCTACAAAAAGCTTAAAAAATAAGCCGGCTTGGTGTTGCACACCTGTAGTCCCAGCCACTCAGGAGGCACAGACAGAAGAATCACTTGACACTAAGAGTTTGAGTTTGCAGTGAGCAGTGATTATGCCACTACACTCCAGCCTGGGCAACAGAGGGAGACTCTGTCTCAAAAAATAAATACGTAAAAATAAATGTGCATTGGCATCTTATTCTATGATAGACAGTACATAGGCTCTTGGGGCTATGGAAAGAAGAGAAACAAAGTCCTGGCCCCCATGGAGCTTATGTCATGAGAGCCAGACAGATAATTAATAAGTAAACAAATAATAGAATGTTATATAGTGATAAGAAGGCCGGGCACGGTGACTCATGCCTGTAATCCCAGCACTTTGGGAGGCCGAAGCAGGTGGATCACCTGAGGTCAGGAGTTCGAGACCAGCCAGGCCAACATGGTGAAACCCCATCTCTACTAAAAATTCAAAAACTTAGCTGGGCATGCTGGCAGATGCCTGTAATCCCAGCTACTTGGGAGGCTGAGGCAAGAAAAATCACTTGAACCCGGGAGGTGGAGGTTGCAGTGAACCAAGATCATGTCACTGCACTCCAGCTTGGCAGCAGAGCGAGGTTCTGTCTCAAAAAAAAAAAAAAAAAAAAAAAGGATATTATATAGTGGTAAGAAAATAATAACAGGGTGTACTGGGTTAAATAACATTCCTTCAAAAATGCCTGTCCACCTGGAACCTCAGAACGTGGCCTTATTTGGAAACAGGGTTTTTACAGATGTAATTAGTTAAAAAGAGGTCACTCTGGAGTAGAGTGGGCCCTAAATCCAAAACTCAGTGTCCTCCTAAGATGAGAGTACACAGAGAGACACAGAAAGAGGCTGGCTGTGCACACACGGAGGCAGAGACTGGAAGGACACAGTCACAGCAAAGGACTGCTGCCAACACCAGAAGCTGGAGGGGCAGGAAGGACCCTCCCCTAGAGCCTGCAGACGGAGCCCAGCCCTGCCAACACGTGATTTAGGTTTCTGGCCTCTAAAACTGTGGGAGAATAAAGTCCTGGTGTTTGGCCCCCGGTTTGGGATGCTTTGTTCCAGCAGCCTGAGGAAGCTAGTGGAGACCGATGGGAAAGCCCCGCCCTCTCCTCGAATCTGCCTTGTTCTCGACTTTACATTTGTTGGACTTTTGTTCAAAGCCAAAAGGTGGCCTGAGATGCCATCGCCAGAGGTGGCCAAGCCCTGGAGTCCACCCCCGCCTTTAACCGGGGACCTTGGTTCACAGGCACCAAGGACGCCTAAAGCCTGGCACTTTGAAGTCAAAGTAATTTTGCTGTGAGCTGAATGTGTAAGATGACACTTTAAAGGCTGTGTACGTAATTACAGGTTTCTAGAAAAGAAACGTGTTATTTGGTGCTGTCTGCATTTTGGTGTCTCCACCTTGGCCCACGGTCCCACCAAAACCCTGCCAGGCTCTCCTCTCCTGACTCCGTGAGAAATCTCTGCTCTCCTCCTCGCCACCCCTCCTCTGTCCCCAGTCCACGTCTCTCTCAACTCCCCACTCCCTCCGACCCTCCTCCTCCTCTCTGCTGTTCTGCGGCCGGAACATCTTAATTTCACGTGCTGCCCCCTGAGATTGTACAGTCTCCCCTGCAGGTATTCTGTAAATATCCTATCGACACTTTTACACAAAAATCACTCAAATGAGATTTAAAGGAAGAAGAGCCAGTGGCTCTGGTGTGGCCACAGCTACGATATCTCCAAAGGAGAATGTTCGCCTTGGGTTTTGGCTCCAGCGTCAGGCACAGCCTCATGGATCCCTTAGGATTTACACCTCTCACCCCTCAAAACCGAGAGCCATGCCCTGTTTCCCCATTGGAAACACGCTTTTGCCTCCGAGGAACTCAAAGCCCAGCCTTGTCTGATGACACCACTGTCCCTGGTAGAGTATACTTCAATGTATCGATTTAACTGTCACGAGATTCTGGCCTGTTGGAGAAATAACTGAAATCACTGGTTATTTCATTCACTCTTTTTGGTCATTGTTGTTTGACTGGCTCTGTCATTGTGCTACAAGCCACTGTTACGTTTCTAGATGATGGAAGGTTCCGGAAGTAGTGCAAAGTGGTGCTGTGCTGTCTCTCTGGCTGATGTCTGGCGAGGCTCAGATCCCTGTCCAGACTGTGGGGAGTAAAAGTGTCTGAAGGCGCATTGTTCCCGTTACCATCACACCAGCCTCATACCCTGACACTGCGAGCTTTCTCTTCCCCACCGCCTACCCACGAGGACCCCAGACACAGGTGGGAGCACCGAGGGCCCACCCTAGCGGCTTGGTTGCTGGACTAGCTGTCTTCTGCCCAGGAGAGAAGACGCTGTACAGTGCCTTGGGCTGTGACGTGCCAGATGCGGTACTGTCTCGTGCCACCCCCCTTAAGGTGCTTGGTAGGTGCCACATGCCGTATTCTCTCGTGCCACCCCCCTGAGGGCACATAGTAGGTCCCACTGTCCCTGCTTCAGAGCCTGTGTCCTGAGCCAGCCAGTTCCTAAGTGCTAGTGCCTGAGCTCTAGGCCAGCTCTCCCTGCAAACCACGGAAACACCCACCCCGTGACTGGCACTCAATTCCTCAATTCCTCCTCCATCCCCTGGCTTCGGCAGTCTCTGACTTCTTGCAGCTCTGCTCAGCGTTCAAGGAGCAGCTCTGTTAGGATCCTAGCGAACTGGGTAAACTTTGTTAGTATTTCCAGCCATTTCACGTGGTGTGTGGCCTCACATTCTGGGAATGAGTCTAAGCTGAACTTGGCCTCAGGCATTGTTCTTCTCCAGGGTCAAGCTCACAGGTTAGGCTGGACTAGAGGATGATGGAGGGACTCACAGTTCTTGAGACTTTCTGGGGAATTTTGCTCCCTGGAGTTTCTCCAGGATGCTGGCTGAAGGAAACCACGCCCTTGCTGACTCCTCCATGGGGACTTGCCGCCACAGTGAGTTAATCAATCTGCAGGAGCCACGTTGGCTCAGCTCCGTGCCTACAGGAAATCAACAGAATCCAGAAAAACCCATTTTTGTTGTTTGTTTAAAATCCTGTGATGGTGAGATAAGCTAGGCTAATAAAACATTCTTTTCTGTGTTATAACAAATTCATCAGAGCAGACCCAGCACAGAGCAACCTCTATAAAACAATCCCACAAGGACTCTAGACTAGGAGGGCAATAGAATTCTCGGCTTCCAGGATGACTGACGGTCACTGAGGTTTCTTCCCCTGAACAAGGGTCTGGCTGATTGGCCATTGTATGGACACCAAGGACCCACCCTTGGCCTGAGGCTTTGTGGGGGGTGGAGGCAAGAGTGCTTTCTTTCATTTTCTATTCTTTCTTCTGTTCAACACCCAAAATAAACAAAAACAACCAGTGCAGAAGTGGGGTTTTCCCACAGCACCCCTGCTCCATCCTCCTTTAGGGATGCCTGCTCCTTTCCTGGCAGGAGACAGAAGTGTCCTTCATTAAAGTATCCCAGGCCACTGTCAAGACCTCCATCAGCTAAGCCCACAGGGCATGCAACTCTCCAGTTGTTAGCAAGAGCTAGGAGGGAGGTGGAGGCGAAGCCAGTGCCAGTGTCTGCTGGAAGCTCAGGCAGCTGTGGGAGGAGAAAGAGGAGAACAAGATGTCAAGACACTAAGAAGACTCAGGAAGTGCCCCAGGACCTCTCGCTTCGGGGGAAGGACAGGTTGTGATGGTAACACAGCAGAGGATGTAAACCTCCCGCTAAGAGTTACAGTATTTAGAGAAAAGACTCAGCACAGGGGCACTTGGAACTTTTGTTCCAAATCTAAAAATCTAAGAATAACCACCTGGAATAAACACAGGCCTATGCAGCAAGTGGGGTTCCCCTCAGGGTCCCATAGCCAGTGGGAGCTTACCACCCTCAGCTGGGCAACCGCCTACCCCCGCCGAAAAGACTCTCTCAGTCCAGGACTCACCCTGCGCATCCCTAACCCCAGCCCCCGCAAGCGCAACTTCCTGTTCTTCAGCTCCTCTTTCTTCTTTTTGCAAGGTCAAAAGCCAGGAATAACCTTTCGACATCCCTAGATTTTCAATGGGTGATGAGAGTTTGGATCTGTGTCCCTGCCAAATCTCATGTTGAGATGTGATCCCCAATGTTGGAGTTGGGGCTTGGTGGGAGGTGTTTGGGTCATGGGAGTGGGTCCCTCCTGGCTTGGTGCTGTCCTCACAATAGTGAGTGAATTCTTGCAAGATCTGGTTGTTTAAAAGTGTGTGGTGCTTCCTGCTCTTGCTCACATTCTTGCCATGTGAGGAGCCTGCTCTCTCTTCACCTTACACCATGGGTAAAAGCTCCTTGAGGCCTCCCCAGAAGCTGAGCAGATGCCGGCACCATGCTTATACAGCCTTCAGAACCATGAGCCAATTACACCTCTTTTCTTTATAAACTACTCAGCCTCAGGTATTCCTTTATAGCACTGCAAGAACAGCCTAACACAGAAAAGTGGTACTGAGGAGTGGGGCATCGCTATAAAGATACCTGAAAATGTGGAGGCAACTTCGGAACTCAGTAACAGACAGAGGTTGGAAGAGTTTGGAGAGCTCAGAAGAAAACAGGAAGATGAGGGAAAGTTTGCAACTTCTTAGAGACTGGTTAATGGTTGTGACCAAACTGCTGATAGTGATGTGTGCAGTGAAGTCCAGGCTGATGTGGTCTCAGATGGAAAAACTGATTGGGAACTGGAGCAAAGCTCACCCATGTTATGCCTTAGCAAAGAGCTTGGCTGCATTGTGTTCATGCCCTAAGGATCTGTGGAATTTGAACTTAAGAGTGATGACTTAGGGTATCTGGCAGAAGAAATTTCTAAGTAGCAGTGTTCAAGATGTGACCTGGCTGCTTCTAACAACTTATGTTCAGGTGTGGAAGTAAAGAAATGACTTAAAGTTGGAATTTATATTTAACCCTTTTCCTGGTTGCCCCAAGAATACTCACCAGTGGCACTTGTGGCTGCAGCATTTACCCTGAGATAACTTTGCCATGAACTATCTTGCTTTTATTATTATTTTCACATCACTCTAGTATATTGACTTTGGAAACAACAGACATCATTCTATTTATGGCATTCTGGTTTTAGTTAGTGGTATTTCCATTAACAAAATGTAGTAATTTTCAACTGCTGAAAATGTCAAATCCTAGAAAACGTAGCATTCCTACACGTGATGTTAACATTGTTCTTGAACAATTGTGGGTCAAAGATTCATTTAATGAATCTGAAATAGATGTTCTGATGATTCTGATGTTAGTTCTGTTTAGAAAGAACTCCCCGAACAGTTTTTATATTTTATTTTCACATTGAAAATCAGTCAGATTTGCTTCAGCCTCAAAGAGTGAGTTTATATAAAATTAAATGAGCACTGGCAGTGAGCTGCACTTTTTTTTTTTCTAAATGGGAAAAAGATTAAAAGGAAAGCAGAGCATAAAGTTTGGGAAATTTTCAGCCTGGCCATGTGGCAGAGAAAGAAAAATCATTACCAGGAGAGGAATTTGAACAGGTTGCAGAGCAACCACTTGCTAGAGAGACTTGCGTGACTAAAAGGTAGCCAAGTGTTAAAAGCCAAAAAAAATGAGAACAAGGTCTTGATGGCATTTCAGAGACCTTTGAGGAAGCCCCTCTCACCACAGGCCCAGAGGCCTAGGAGGACTAAATGGTTCCATGGGCCAGACCTGGGACAGCACTGCTCTGTACAGCCTCAGAAGGCTCCAGTTGTGGCTCAAAGGGCCCCAGATACAGCTCAGGCCACTGCTTCAGAACATGCAAGCTGTAAGCCTTGGCAGCTTCCACATGGTGTTAAGCCTACAGACACACAGAGTGCAAGAGTAAGGGAGGCTTGCCAGCCTCTACCTAGATTTCAGAGAATGTATGAGAAAGCCTCAGTGCCTAGAAAGAACCTAGAGGTGGAGGGGTGGAGCCCTCACAGAGAGCCTCTACTAGGACAGGTCAAAAGGAAACTATGGGGTTGGAGTCCCCACATAGGGTCCCCACTGGGGCACTACCTAATGAAGCTGTGAGAAGGGGGCCATCATTCTCCAGACCCCAGAATGGTAGATCCACTGGCAGCTTACATCCTAACCTTGGAAAAGCCATAGCGGTGGAGCTTCCCAAGGCCTTGGGAGCCCACCCCTTGCAGCAAAGTGCCCTGGATGTGGGACATGGAGTCAAAGGAGATTATTTTGGAGCTTTAAGATTTAATGACACTCTGCTGGGTTTTACACTTGCATGGGGACTGGAGCCCCTTTCTTTTGACTGATTTCTCCCTTTTGGAGTGGGAACATTTACCCAATGCCTCTACCCTGATTGTATCTTGGAAGTAAATAACTTGTTTTGATTTTACAGGCTCATAGGTGAGAGGAACTCATCTCCAGATGAGATTTTGGACTTGGGAGTTTGGAGCTAATGCTGGAATGAGTGAAGGCTGGGGGACTATTGGAAAGGCATTATTGAATTTTTTTTTTTTTTTTTGAGACAGTCTTGCTCTGTCACCCAGGCTGGAGTGCAGTGGTGTGATCTCGGCTCACTACAAGCTCTGCCTCCTGGGTTCATGCCATTCTCTTGCCTCAGCCTCTCAAGTAGCTGGGACTACAGGCACCTGCCACCACGCCCGACTATTTTTTTTTTTTGTTTTTTGTTTTTTGTTTTGTATTTTTAGTAGAGACGGGGTTTCACCATGTTAGCCAGGATGGTCTCGATCTCCTGACCTCATGATCCTCCTGCTTCAGCCTCCCAAAGTGCTGGGATTACAGACGTGAGCCACCATGCCCAGCCCATTATTGTATTTTGCAATGTGAGAAAGACATGAGATTTGAGGGGCCAGTGACAGAATGATACAGTTTGGATACGTGTCCCCGCCTAACTCTCATGTCGAAATGTAATCCTCAATGTTGGAGGTGGAGTCTGGCGGGAGGTATTTAGGTGCTGTCCTTGCAATAGTGAGTTTATGCAAGACTGGTTGTTTAAAGTGTGTGGCACCTCCCCGATCCCTCTTGCGCCTGCTCTGGCCACATGACCTG
The DNA here is from genome assembly GCF_000001405.40 of Homo sapiens. Taxonomy (NCBI): domain Eukaryota; kingdom Metazoa; phylum Chordata; class Mammalia; order Primates; family Hominidae; genus Homo; species Homo sapiens. The sequence continues at coordinate 74,551,145 of NC_000018.10, forward strand.
CCTGTTCCTGCTTCACCTTCTGCCATGAGTAAAAGTTCCTTGAGACCTCCTCACAAGGTGAGCTGATGCTGGCACCATGCTTCCTGTACAGCCTGCAGAACTGTGAGCCAATTAACCCTATTTTTTTTTAATAAATTACCCCACCACAGGCATTTCTTTATAGCAATACAAGAATAGCCTAATACAGATAACTAGTTCAAGGTCAAGCACAACTGTAACACACACACACACACACACACACACACACACAAACAAAAACAGAGGCATGGAGGAACAGGAGAAAAATGGATGGAGTCTCAGATCCCACTCAGATGGTGAAGGCGGGATTCATGTCCAAAGTCAATGTCCATGAACCTGGACAGCAAATTGACTATAGCAGGCTGCCCTGCTCTGTGGGGAAAAGGGAGGGAGAGGAGGAAATTCATTAAGGGAGGGAAGATGAAGTCGTGCACTTCCCCTTGTCAGACCCCTGCTGTCAGGGCCACTGTCAGGTCAGGGCATCAGGTCAGTCTTTTATTCGAGACCAGGGCTAAGCTGCTCTCCCCAGGCCAGAGGAGGAGGAGATTCCTGCTGAATCTGAACTATTCTCTCCTAACAACAATCATTGTTTTCATATTTTTTTCCTGCAGCTTATTTCCTTCTTCCAACTGTCCTTTTTTATTTTTCACTGTAGAGGAACACCAAATAATTTTTTTAATGGAACTTGTCTGAAGGAAAAATAAAAGCTCAAATGTTAATGTAGATGGATCAATTGGATCGATTGCGAAAAAAAAAAACAAAAAAAAAACCAGTAGCCACTGTTGTCTCCAAGAGCCTTTATTGAAGCCTTCCTCACACCTGAGCTCCCTCTCCGGCTACTGGAGGGCCAGAGGAGTCTCTCCCACTGGCTTCATCTGCCGCCCCTGGCTCCTGGCTAAGTCCCACAGAGCTGGGCTGGATCTGGCTTCAGCCTTCTGAGTGCAGGGTAGCCAGGGAGTTCATGAGTGGCTCATCAGCACCACCTACTGGACGCAGTTCTTACCTTGACCTTGCTTTTAACCACTGTATAGCTTCCTCTATCTACAGTTCTCATATTCAATAATATATTTGTATTGTCAAATGAGTAGTTATAGCTATGATTATTTTTAAAATGACTGTATTGTGATATAATTCTTATACCTTACAACTGGCCCATTTAAAGTGTGTAATTTTAATGGCTTTTAGTTTATTCAGAATTGTACAACCATTGCCACAATTGGTTTTATAACATTTTCATCACCCCAAATTCATTAGCACTCCCTTCCTATTTTCCCACTGGGTAACCACCAATCTACTTTCTGTCTCTATGAAGTTACCTACTCTAGACTGTTACGTAAATGGAATCACAATACATGGCCGTTGTGTCTGGTTTATTTCACTTAGCACAATGTGTTCAAAGTTTGTCTACACTGTAGCATGTACCAGTACTTCATTCCTTTTTATGTAAGATAAAAATCATTTTGTATAGCCAAATAATATTTCAGTGAAATATACCACATTTTATTTATCCATTCATTCATTAATGAACATTTGTCTTGTTTCTGCCTTTTGGCTACTATGAATAATGCCGCTATAAACATCCACTTACCAGTTTTTGTGTGAACATATGTTTTCACTTGTCTTGGATATGTACTCAGGAATAGAATTGCTGGGTCATATGGTGACTCTATGTTTAATTGATCAAGGAACTTTCCGACTGTTTTCCACAGTGGCTGTAGGCTTTTGCGTTCCCATCAGCAGTACATGAAGTTTCCAATTTCTCTACATCTTTGTCAAAACTCATTAGTGTCTGGCTTTTTAATTCTAGCCATCATAGAGGGTAGGAAGTTGTGTCTCATGTAGTTTGATTTGTGTTTTCCTGATGGCTAATCATGCTGAGCCTAAACTTTCCATGTGTTTATTGGCCATTTGCATATTTTCTTTGAGGAAATGTTTATTCAAATCCTTTGCACATTTTTAATTGGGCTGTCTTTTATTATTGAACTGTAATTGTCATTTATAGTCTCAACATAAGTCCTTTATCAGATATATGATTTGCAATCCCTCCCCCCACATTCTACGTGTTGTCTTTTCATTTTCTTGATGGTGTTCTTTGGTGCACAAATGTTTTTATTTTTGATGAAGTCCAATTTATCGATCCTGTCTTTTGGTGTCATATCTAAGAAACCATCACCTCATCCAAAGGTAGGAAGATTTACAGCTATTTTTTTTTAAGAGTTGTATGGTTTTAGTACTTTCATTTAGGTCTTTGATCATTTTGGGTTAGTTCTTATATATGGTGTGAGGAAGGGGGTGAAACTTTATCATTTGCTTGTGGATATCCTATTCTGCCAGCACTATTTATTGAAAAGACTGTTTTCCCCCATTGAATGATCTCCGCACCCTCGATGAAAATCAGTTGATCATAAATGTGAGGATTTATTTCTGGATTTTCGGTTCTATCCAATTGATATGTATGTGTGTCCTTAAGCCAGTTCACTCTCCAGAATATTTATAACTATTCTTAAACTTCACAATTTCCTCTCGATTATTATCCAGCAAAATTCAGACCCTTATTAGAACGTTTTGATACATTCTCCTACTTCAAAATGAGGAAACTTCCAGAGGTTAAAACTTCTGCCCTGAATGCCTGCCCTTCTCCAAGCTTACCCTTCCTTCCCATCAGTGTTCAGCACCAGTTTCCTCCAAGATGCTGCTGTTGACCATCCCCACCCCATGATGGGACATGGTCTGCGTTTCATGGCACATCTTACTGCTTTCCTGACAGCTGGTGAGCTCTCTGTCCTCTCAGAGCCACACATTTTTCTATAGCTCTTTGGTTGGGTCCTCGGCCACTGTGAGGCTCCCAGTCCCTGATGACAGCTGAGGAAATTCAGGCTCAGAGAGGTACCCGAAGGAGTACAGCTGGGATCTGGCAGGGCTGAACTTGGTGTTGGCCCTCCTGACTATTAGGCCTGTGGTCTCCCCGTGATGCCACCCCGACTGCACTGCTTTATCCACATGCCCTCTTCCAGCATTGACTCTCACTCTGCCACTTTGTTTTGTGAACACAGGTTCTCTGTGGTCACTCAGATTTTATGCCAGCTGAATCCTAGCTGAAAAGTTCTTGAAGCCTGAACATCCCTGTAGCATTTCAGTGCTGATCTGACAGAAGGTAGAACAGCCTGGGAGTGGCTTTCCTTTTGGGCATGGGATGGATTGACCCCAGGTGCTGAGTGACACTCTGGTTAGGGAGATGCACTCTTTATTGCCGTCTGGGACATTTTCAGTAGGACCAGATGTTTTGTTGGAAGTGAATTCCTAGAAGAGACAGAACACAGCTCCCTGTGCACAAATTCATTTCAGATGCACTGTGCAATGTGTTGGGGGGCTCGTCAGTTTGGATGCTCCCCAGCTCACCTTCACTCTATGGGGGCTTGAGGCCAAGGGATGGGCAGGAGCATGGAGGAAGATTCAGCAATGCATTTGGGAACACATGGGAAGTGATGGAGGGGCCCTGCATGGTACCCCAACAAGGGAGGAGGTCTGGTGGGAGAAGCAGGTGGGCTCCACCATGTAAGACCTGGGAGCCATGGGGATATTTGCTTTACCCCAAGGGCAATGGGACCTCTTGGAAGAGTTAAAACAGGGAGTCTTGCGATCTGCCCCACCTTTAAAAAGATCACCCAGGCTGCTTTGTGGAGGGTGGATTAGAGGAAGCCATGAAAATGACAGAATGAAAAGTGAAATATTCAACCAACTGCTTTTCAAACAGCCTTGCAGATGCTCCATTGTAAAATAAGCAACATCGGCGGGGCCACACCCATGATGAGCGTCCTCTCAAGGATGCTCTTGAGCACATCTCTCTCTCAAGGTCTCGGGGATGGCACTGAGACTTCACCAGCCTAGTTCCCCTTGTTCTCCCCGCAACCCCTGCTCACCTCCACCTACGGAAAGGTGGGCATTTGAAGAATCATAGATTAAACAAGTCAGAATTTGATAACGTAAAACATCTCAAACATTTAAAACAATAAAAGATGGGATTCCAGAGACAAAAATAACAGAGACAGGCTGGGTTAAACTCTCCCCTCCTTCCTCCTGCTGCAGGAGGGTGGGTTTGGCTTCTAAAGTGGAGCCCAGCTGGTCTCCTGGGGATAGCTGGTGGCTTTCCTAGCCAAGAACCTGACGTAGGCGGTCTGACCAAGGGCTGCAGCCCCCTTGGCCCTTCCCAGCCCTCGCTCCCTCCCTCCTCTTCTCCAGCCCGCCTCTGATGGCTCGGGCTGCACTGGGGGAGATGTTGCTGATGGCCCCTCCAGATGTGCAGGTGGCCCCTGGGTCTGATGCTGGCAGCTCCCACTCCAGACAGGGCTCTGGGGGGCCTCTGTGAAGGGGTGACCTTGCCCACTTTGCCACAGGACCTTCCTGTCAGGGGTCAAGGAGGAATGCTGGCTCTTAGGCTCCCAAGGACACCCAGGTGGAGTCATCCCAGAGGTGGACGGGCTGGGGAGACTGAGAAGGGGTCAGGGAGGGGAGAGGAGGGAGGAGACAGGGTTGTGGTTGGGTCTCTCAGAGATGGGGTTGCACCATGTTGGCCAGGCTGGTCTTCAACTCCTGACCTCAAGTGATCCGCCCACCTCGACCTCCCAAAGTACTGGGATTACAGGCATGAACCACCACCTCAGACGTTTTTCTTCCTTTCCTGTTAAAGTACTGTGATTTCAGGAGCCAGTGGAAAGAAACCCCACAACACTGGATTTTAGGCATTGCTCAGAAATTCTTTTGTCTAATAGAGCAGTTCATCACACATGGAAGATTTTTGCGTGTTTGTTTTTGGTTCTACCTTACTCTTTTCTCTCTTGTAAAGATCACCCTTCACTCCTGGGCAGCAGAACTGGGCCTCCCCAAGGGGCCAGGAGGAAACACCTTATCCTAGGAATAAACGGAATGATGTTATTTAAAGATGAGCTTGTTAACTTGGTTTTTGTCTTATTAAAATTCTTTAGCATTGGAAATAAAGTGTTTGGGGAAGGACGTAGCAAAAAATACATGTTTGGTTCTACCGCCTTGTGTTATTTTATTCCGACTGACTGGAGGCAGCTGTGTGAGGTAACAGACCTTCTTGAGGAATTTGGAAGGTCCGAAGTCCAGCAACTGGCATTGATTTTCATTCGTTCCTCCCATGTCAAACCCTTCCAGGCTGCGTCCCTGCTGGCTGTGCTGCTGCTGCTGCTGGAGCGCGGCATGTTCTCCTCACCCTCCCCGCCCCCGGCGCTGTTAGAGAAAGTCTTCCAGTACATTGACCTCCATCAGGATGAATTTGTGCAGGTAGGAGAAAGAAACTACACAACTACACACAGAATGCTTGGATTATATCCTTTGGTATTTGGGTGAGACAATTATTTGCTTGGAGATGTGGATTTTTTTGCCTAATTCCATTTAAAATGCCTATGACTGCTCATTGGGTTAAAAATCTTCAGTATTCATTAGACAGATGGACGAGATCCCTCCTAGCCATTCCTCCTGTAAAGGGCACTGGGTCTTCATATCCAGCACACTTGGTCCAGGGATGTCCACACAGAGATGACCAGCACCTCCGCTGAGCTCAAGTCTGCCCTGGTCCATCAGGTCGCCCATTCCTAATGCCACCTGACGTTATTGTAAGGCCTGGGCAGAGCTGGGGAGCCAGGGAGCTCTGCAAAGTTCAACAGCAGCGTTGTTTGTTTTGTAGCATGTGTGCAACAGGCACTTTATCTCCTTCATTCATTCATTCATTCAATTTATTTATTTGTTTTGAGACAGAGTCTCGCTCTGTCACCCAGGCTTGAGTGCAGTGGTGAGACCTCGGCTAACCTCAACTTCCCAGGTTCAGGTGATTCTCCTGCCTCAGCCTCAGCCTCCCAAGTAGCTGGGATTACAGGCACCTGCCAACACACCTGGCTAATTTTTGTATTTTTTCAGTAGAGACGGGATTTCCCCATGATGGGCAGGCTGATTTTGAACTCCTGACCTCAAGTGATCTTCCTGCCTCGGCCTCCCAAAGTGCTGGGATTGCAGGTGTGAGCCACCATGCCTGGCCCTCTTTTTTTCTGTTATTTTTTGAGACAGGGTCTTGCTCTGTCACCCAGGCTGGAGTGCAGTGGCACAAACACAGCTCACTGCGGCCTCGACCTCCTGGGTTCAAGTGATCCTTCTGCCTCAGCCTCCCAAGTTTATAATCCTCTGCTTTACCCCTAATTCACTATACAGGGTCTATACATATACAGGTTGGGAGTGGGGGTAAAGTAGAGGGAGGATGAGGAGGAATGGCAAAAAGAGGGAGGCCTGGGGAGCAGGAGGAGACAGGAGGAGGCATGGGAGAGCAGGAGCTTGCCGGAGCCCACAGACTCACCAGCTCCTCCCCACCCCCACTCTCCTAGGCTCTCTTGTCCCCTCTGTGGCCATCCGGTCCCATCCCTACACACCCCCATATATGTATCCCCACACACCCCCACACATGTGCACACTGATGTGTTGTTGTCTGTGTTCACCAGACGGGGAGCTCCTTGAGGTCTCCCTGGACTTTGTACCCCAAGCCCCCCACATCATGTCTGGCACAGGACAGGCATTCAGTATACATTTATTGGATCAATCAACCAATTTTGGGAATATTATGCAATTAGGCTAAAGGCACGAGGCTGAATGCCCAGCCTACTGTTCCTAAATCTGACCTTCATGCAATCCTTCTTCTTACTGAAATATTAACTAGGCATCAATGCCTCTTGGATTTTTGAAACCTGAGTGGGGTTTCCAGAATCAGTGTGTGGTGGGGATTTAATCCTGGTTTAGGCCTTTCAGCCAAAACATCTCTTCCTAAGTCCCTCAAACATACCCAAATCCACTGAACTTATGGAGAAGCCAGCAGTCTCTGCTCTGTAAATTCCAGTTTAAAAATGTCAAACACAATATTCCTAAGGGTTAGATAAATGCCTTCATAATAAAAATAAAAGCTCTACAACCAGAATAGAGAGATCAAACTCAAATAAGTCAGGAAGAGAAGTCCAAGATCAGTAAATCTGTGTAGTTTTTCATAAAAATGCTGATTGTCTCAGTATGAGCCACTCAGGTTCCAACACAGGCATGTGAGTGGTTCTTATCAGTCATTCATACCAGCCAGCGCTGCTGGAGTGGCTGCCAGGTGCTGGGCACTGTGCACACGTTACCTCAGTGGTCCTCACCATCACCCTATAGTTAGGGAGCATTACTTTCTTTTTCTTTTTTTTTTTTTTTTTTTTGAGATGGAGTCTTGCTCTGTCACCCAGACTGGAGTGCAGTGGCACGATCTTGGCACACTGCAAGCTCCGCCTCCCAGGTTCACGCCATTCTCCTGCCTCAGCCTCCCAAGTAGCTGGGACTACAGGCGCCCACCACCACACCTGGCTAATTTTTTGTGTTTTTAGTAGAGATGGGGTTTCACCACGTTAGCCAGGATGGTCTGGATCTGCTGACCTCGTGATCTGCCCACCTGTGCCTCCCAAAGTGCTGGGATTACAGGTGTGAGCCACCGCACCCGGCTGGGAGCATTACTTTCTCATGCAGATGAGAAAACTCAGGCTAAGGGAGGTTAAGGAATACATCCAAAGTCACATAGCTATGACAGGCTGAGTTTAAGCCCGAGGTCACAGTGCCTGTGGGATCCTAGAGGCACAGGGAGGGGCAGGCCAGGGAATCTAAATGCAGAGCATGTTAGGAGGGACCTGCAGCCCAGCAGAGGCCCCTGTGGGGTTCAGTCACGGCTTGGAGGCTTCCAGGACCAGGTGTGGGAAGCCAGGAGTCCTGGAGAAAGCTGAGAACCCACCAGCTCCTCAGTTCTTAATAATTAGAAACAGTGGGTGGGGACTTGCCCTCCTGTACAGCCCTGGTGAACGCAGTGAGGACCCAGACCATCACCTTTCTCCCAGCCCGTCCTGCCTGACCTTCTATACTAACCAGGCGCCTCTGGCTTCTGGGTTCCTGATTAAATCCCCAGCTCTTCTGTCTGTTACTCTTAAATGTCACAGTGTTCACTGGCACTGTCATAGGTCCTCAGGTCCTTGATCAACAGAAAAGTACCTGGGGACTCGCTGTCTCCTGCCCTCCCTTCGCTCCCCCCGCAGAGCAGATGTGGGACCCCAATGCTAATGGCCTGCTTGCTCTTCCTCCTAGACGCTGAAGGAGTGGGTGGCCATCGAGAGCGACTCTGTCCAGCCTGTGCCTCGCTTCAGACAAGAGCTCTTCAGAATGATGGCCGTGGCTGCGGACACGCTGCAGCGCCTGGGGGCCCGTGTGGCCTCGGTGGACATGGGTCCTCAGCAGGTGCTGTACGATTCCCTCCCACTGAGGGAGGTGCTACTTCTAGACGTCAGTCATGCCTTCCCGGGGGTGGCAAGGGAGAGGCTCACCCTGATCCTCAACCACAACCCCCCATAACCCCAATTCCCAATGAAGATGAAACATTCCCCTGGTCTCAAATGAAGCCGTGTTATTGCTTTCCAGTCTTGTCAGGACTCTGGGGAGGGGTTGGCTCTTAGAAGCCAGTGCAGATGACAAGTGAAGGTCACCTTATCATGGAAAGGACCCCCTTGTACTTTTCATTTCCTGGACACAAAGTTCAAATTTCTCCTTTAAGGAAAAGGAAATTGTCCTTTTCTTTAAATTCATATGCATCTTTCTCAAAGGGGTTGTATCTGGAGCTGCATTTTTTTCATCAGAACCATCTCTTAGAACTCTACTCCATCATGAATGTCTTAAATCTAAGCACCCGCTGCGCTTACTTTAGCACTGAGGAACCTCAGGATCATCCATGTTTTCTAGGATTTGTCCACCTAATTTAAGCCAGTTGTCATCTGCATTCTTTTTTTTTTTTTTTTTGAGACAGAGTCTTGCTCTGTAGCCCAGGCTGGAGTGCAGTGGTGCAATCTCAGCTCACTGCAACCTCCGCCTCCCAGGTCCCAGTTCAAGCAATTCTCCTGCCTCAGCCTCCCGAGTAGCTGGGATTTCAGGCGTGCACCACCACACCCAGCTAATCTTTGTATTTTTATTAGACACAGGGTTTCACCATATTGGCCAGGCTGGTCTTCAACTCCTGACCTCGTGATCCACCCGCCTTGGCTTCCCAAAGTGCTGGGATTACAGGCATGAGCCACCGTGCCCGGCCCGTCTGCATTCTTGCTGAAGAGGACATTCAGCTAATGATGCTAATTGTCAGTGTGGATCTAAAGAAGCACTTTACTTTTGATTAGGTTTTATATCTTAATTAAAAGTGTCTTGGCTGGGTGTGGCATCTCACACTTGAAATCCTAGCACTTTAGGAGGCTAAGGCGGGCGGATTAGTTGAGCCTGCCCAGCTGGTCAGCCTGGGCAACATGGCAAACCTATCTCTACCAAAAATACAAAAAGGTAGCCGGACATGGTGGTGCACGTCTGTAGTCTCAGCTACTTATGAGGAGGCTGAGATGGGAGAATCACTTGAGCCTGGGAGTGTGCCACTGCGCTCCAGCCTGGGCGACAGGAGTGAGACCTGTCTCCAAAAGAAAAGAAAAAAGAAAAAAAAAGTGTTTCATGGGACTCATTTTAGAGATGGAGAAACTGATGCTCAGTTTCTCCCAATGTCAAACAAGACTCCCAATGTCATGTCTTTGAATTTTCTGGAAGAACAACACAGCATTTTTGAAAATGTGATTCCTGATCATTCTGCAGCTGCCCGATGGTCAGAGTCTTCCAATACCTCCCGTCATCCTGGCCGAACTGGGGAGCGATCCCACGAAAGGCACCGTGTGCTTCTACGGCCACTTGGACGTGCAGCCTGCTGACCGGGGCGATGGGTGGCTCACGGACCCCTATGTGCTGACGGAGGTAGACGGTCAGTGAGGCGCCCGGGCTACAGTGCGGTGCTGCTGTGCTTGCAAGATTGAAGGGGTGAAGATGAGGCTCTGTCCCTGGGTTTTGGGTCTCTCCCTGTCATTAAGAATGCATAGGCCGGGTGCGGTGGCTCACGCTTGTAATCCCAGCACTTTGGGAAGCCAAGGTGGGTGGATCATTTGAGATCAGGAGTTCAAGACCAGCCTGGCCAACATGGCAAAACCCTCTCTCTACTAAAAATACAAAAAAATAGCTGGGCATGGTCGTGGGCGCCTGTAATCCCAGCTACTTGGGAGACCAAGGCAGAATTGCTTGAACCTGGGAGGCGGAGGTTGCAGTGAGCTGAGATCACACCACTGCACTCCATTCTGCTTGGGTGACGGAGTGAGACTTCATCAAAAAAAAAAAAAAAAGAATGCACAGAGAGGCGGCTCTCAAAGTCTACCGATCGGTTCACTGAGGCTGGTTTTCTTTCATTTGTGAAAAAAACGGTAAACTTTTGTGTCCCTGGATGGAGGTTCTTGAGTTGTGAGGAAAACAGTTGTCTAGGCCACACACTTTCGTTTTGAACAGTATCAAATGTAATTCGCCTTTTATAAAGAAAAAGAAGAAAGGTTAATAGAGATATACACACATCTTTTTTTCATTCTTCTACTAACTGTAAAATCCCCAAATGAGAGGCTATGCCACGTGGCACTCTGCAACAAATCCCCGGTGGGTCTCTCCGGTGAACTTGGATAAAATAGCTAATTATTATTAAGGACAATGGGATCTGTATTGCAAATTAGCTTATCTTATCTGACTAGCTGATGACTGTACTATTTGTCAGGGAAGAGATCCAAGGATCTCTTATGTACAGTCTTATTTGTACATAAGAAATCATACTTTGCAATTTCATGCAAGATTTGAGCCTGCAATATTATTATAGAAAGCACTGTTAACATCAGTACCCATGAAACGACATTGGTTTTTAACTCACATGGCAGAGGTGTCCACACTTCTCTGAACATTCTTCTCCCCTTTTTAAAGGGAAACTTTATGGACGAGGAGCGACCGACAACAAAGGCCCTGTCTTGGCTTGGATCAATGCTGTGAGCGCCTTCAGAGCCCTGGAGCAAGTAGGTGGCAGCTGTGTTTGGGAGAGAGGAGGAGGAGGATGGTAACGACAACTTTCTTTGAGTTGTTTGCTGTGTTCTGAGCAAACTGCCTTAGGTCACTTACTCGCCCCAACAATCTTTGGAGGTGTGTGCGACAATGGTATCCATTTTGCAGATAAGGACAGTAAGTCTTGGGAAGGTCAGAGAACTTACCCAGAGCAGTGAAGCTGGTGGCAAGGCTGATACTTCGAGGATGGATTCCAGCCTGCACTGTTAACCATGTTAAAAAACAAGACACAGCCAAAGACACAACAAGCCTGTGGCCAAGCTGCTATCTGATGGGACTGGTCTTTTTTTCTTTAATCCTTATTTTATCTTATCTTGTCTTTTTAAGCCTTCTTTTTCTTCTTATCACAAAGTATGATTTGTTAGTAGAGACACACACACATTTTTAAAATGTATCAGCTACTTTGCAAATGATCAAGATAGGAATCTCCATGACATTCTGCAGGAATCCTTGGATCTCTTCCCTGAGAGCACAGTGGCTCTCTTTAGAAGTCCAAATAAGGGCTCTGGAGCAGAGGCAGGGGTACATATTTGAGGAGGTGGGTCCCCTCTTTCCGGCCTCCAGAGGACATTGTTGGTGGACCCAGGTTTGCACCTTTAACTCTCTCGTGTTTCAACACAAGGATGGTTTTATCTCAAGCCACTCTTCTCCCCTCTCCTGATGAATGTGCTTAGACACCAGCAGAGGATTGGATCTAGCTGTGTGGCCTTGGGCAAGCAACTTGACCTCTCTGGGCCTCGGAATCTGTTCTGTGAAAATGTGTGCACTCCTCCAGGTCAGCCCTGGGGTCTGGTTTCATCTCCCCTGTCCTGGACGCCGCCTCAGCCCTGTCCAAGGCTGCAAGGCTCTGAGGGCTGAGGGGCCTCCCTGGCACCCTGTCCTGCAGAGCAGACCTGGGCTTCTGGGGTGTCTTTTCCTGAAGGTTATTTCATCAGGTGCCAGGGGCTTCCCTCTCAGAAGTTTATTTTCTCCTGAGACATAAGCAGATGGGAGGGGAGTTAAGTACTCTGACTTCACTCCTGAGTCTCACAGAAGACACCTCAGGAAATCAGCACAGGTCTCAGCGGGCTCCTGCTGACCACTGCAAAGGTGTCTTCTTATCCCTGAAGCTCGCATCACATACGCCCTGAGCATTCGATGTGGCCTTGGTTTCTATCTCTGTCTCCCTCTCTCCTTTCTTTCTCTCTCCCTCTCCTTCTCTTTCTTCCTCTATCTCTCCTTCTAAGGGATAGCAATATTTATAAGATTGTTCTGATAAAAAGGCCAAAATCTGTTTTGCTTTTTAAATTTCAACTCTGAAAATTACATAATCACAAAGAAAACAGAAGAAATATTCACTGCCCTGGACAAGTCAGTTAATCTCTGAGCCTGACTTGCCTCATCTGTGAAGCAGGAATGATAGTTTCTACCTCACAAGCTCGCAGGGATTCAGTGAAGAAACATCTCCATGGGGGATGGTGCGCGAGGTCCTTCGAGAGTGTTCCTTTCTTCCTCCCTCCCTCCCTTCTTCTCTGCCTGCCTTGCCTACAGAGCTCTTAGGACACATTCCCTCCCTGGGTTATTTTCTAGGAGGCAGAGTGAGCACTAATATCCATATTTCACAGGTAGAGCAGTAAACTGCCAAGGGGAGGCTTGGCAGACCCAGCTGCTAATGCATGCGGCCTGCACACTGAGTGCTATGGGTTTGTATTTTATTAAACATGACTTGCCAGAAAATTCTTAGGATTTCCAACTACTCCTCAGCAATTGTTTGCTAGTTCAATGTTCACACAGAACCTTCAGATATTAAGATTTCAGAACTTCAGATGGACTTCCTAAGACACACAGAAACACAAGGGATAACATAGGAACAAATTACTATCCCCCAAAAGCTCTTATCCAACTGAATGACTGATTTTCTAATTTTCTCATTTTAATTACCACATAACTTATTATTCTCTCATACATAATCCCGTGCTCATGTTGCATTTGTTAATCTGTGGTGAGTCAAGCCCACTTATTAGAACTGATTACAGTGTGTGCGGTGTCGTTTATCTGCTTGTAATCACTTTTAGAGTTCTGCATGCATCCTGTGCTCTAGGAAAAGACTTTGACCTCTCCTCTTAATGTGGTTCTCAAAGATATGAAGTTATAAATTATAAAGATATAAAAAGATCAAAACCAAATGGGGGAAGAAGCATGTTGTAAAAATTTTAAAGGAGCTAGTCCATGCCCTAATATTAACTAGAAAAAAACTCAAGTTCCATTTTGCTGCAAGATCAAAGCCTTTGAATAAGTTAAAAGGCAGATTGAAATCATAGCTGAAAAATAACAGCTACTTGAAGTAAAAATTATCCCGAGGCTTAACAATCTTTCAAAGGAAAATGTTCTCCTTTTTCATGCTCAGAATTATGAGGACAGAAAAGCGATTTGTAATTGCCTAACCTTTCTTGAAAAATTCCTTTTGGGGAGAAGGAGAAAAATGCCTCCCTCTGTAGCCACACAGGCAAGCTCTGTAGTATAGAATTTGCTTTTCTGTAGCTGCTCCTTTCCCCAATTCTTGATCATAGCATTAAATTGGCAGGACATGTTGGAGGGCACACACCGAGCATTACCTTGAATTCTCCTTCACAATCGTAGTTACAACTCCATTGCTGTAACAGAACTGTGGGGAATGCAAATTCATACATTGAAGGTAAATAATAATTTCATGTGTTTATGTTATATGCAAACAAATAGTGGATCTTCAAAGGTGAATGGGCAATGTATTAGTCCGTTTTCATGCTGCTGATAAAGGCATACCTGAGACTGGGAAGAAAAAGAGGTTTAATTGGACTTACAGTTCCATATGGCTTAGGAGGCCTCAGAATCATGGCAGGAGGCAAAAGCCACTTCTTACATGGCAGCAGCAAGAGTAAATGAGGAAAAAGCAAAAGCTGAAACCCCTGATAAACCCATTAGATCTCATGAGACTTATTCACTATCACGAGAATAGCATGGGAAAGACCTGCCTCCATGATTCAATTACCTCCCCGTGGGTCCCTCCCACAACATGTAGGAATTCTGGGAGCTACAGTTCAAGTTGAGATTTGGTGGGGATACAGCCAAACCATATCATTCCACCCCTGGCCCCTCCAAATCTCATGTCCTCACATTTCAAAACCAGCCATAATTTCCCAATAGTCCCCCAAAGTCTTAACTCATTTCAGCATTAACCTGAAAGTCCACAGTCCAAAGTCTCATCTGAGACAAGGCAAGTCCCTTCCACCTATGAGCCTGTAAAATCAAAAGCAAGCTAGTTACTTCCTAGATACAATGTCAGTACAGGTGTTGGGTAAATATAGCTGTTCCAAATGGGAGAAATTGGCCAAAACAAAGGGGTTACAGTGTCCATGCAAGTCTGAAATCCAGGGGTCAAACTTTAAAGCTCCAAAATTATCTCCTTTGAATCCAGGTCTCATGTCCAGGTTACACTGATGCTAGAGGTGGGTTCCCATGGTCTCGGGTGGCTCTGCCCCTGTGGCTTTGCAGGGTACAGCCTCCCTCCTGGCTGCTTTCATGGGCTGGCATTGAGTGTCTGCGGTTTTTCCAGGTGCACGGTTCAAGCTGTCAGTGGATCTACCATTCTGGGGTCTGGAGGACAGTGGCCCTCTTCTCACAGCTCCACTAGGGAGTGCCCCACTAGGGACTTCATGTGGGGGTTCCAACGCCACATTTCCCTTCCACACTGCCCTAGCAGAGGCTCTCCATGAGGGTCCCACCTCTGCAGCAAACTTTTGCCTGGGCATCCAAGCATTTCCATACATTTTCTGAAATCTAGTTAGAGGTTCCCACACCTCAATTCTTGACTTCTGTGCACCCGCAGGCTCAACACCACATGGAAGCTGCCAGGGCTTGGGGCTTCCACCCTCTGAAGCCACAGCCCGAGCTGTACATTGGCCCCTTTTAGCTACAGCTGGGGAAGCTGGCACACAGGGCACCAAGTCTCTAGGCTGTACACAATACAGGGACCCTGGGCCTGGCCCATGAAACCATTTTCTCCTCCTGGGCCTCCAGGCCTGTGATGGGTGGGGCTGCCGTGAAGGTCTCTGACATGACCTGGAGACATTTTCCCAGTGGTCTTGGGGATTAACATTAGGCTCCTTACTACTTATGCAAATTTCTGCAGCTGGCTTGAATTTCTCCCCAGAAAATGGGTTTTTCTTTTCTATCACATAGTCAGGCTGCAAATTTTCTGAACTCTTAAGGTCTGTTTCCCTTTAAAAACTGAATCCCTTTAACAGTACCCAAGTCACCTCTTGAATGCTTTGTTGCTTTGACATTTCTTTTACCAGATACCCTAAATCATCTCTCTCAAGTTCAAAGTTCCACAAATCTCTGGGGCAGGGGCAAAATGCCATGAGTCTCTTTGCTAAAACAAAACAAGAGTCACCTTTTCTCCAGTTCCAAAAAAGTTCCACATCTCTACCTGAGGCCACCTCAGCCTGGATTTTATTGTCCATATTGCTATCAGCATTTTGGGCAAAGCCATTCAATAAGTCTCTAGGAAGTTCCAAACTTTCCACATTTTTGTGTCTTCTTCTGAGCCCTTCAGACTGTTCCAGTCTCTGCCTGTTACCCAGTTCCAAAGTTGCTTCCAAATTTTTGGGTATCTTTTCAGCAACAACCCACTCTACTGGTACCAATTTACTGTATTAGTCCATTTTCATGCTGTTGATAAAGACATACCCAAGACTGGGAAGAAAAAGAGGTTTAATAGGACTTACAGTTCCACATGGCTGGGGAGGCCTCAGAATCACGACAGGAGGCAAAAGGCACTTCTTAGGTGGTGGCAGCAAGAGAAAATGCGGAAGAAGCAAACCCCTGATAAACCCATCAGATCTCATGAGACTTACTCACTATCACGAGAATAGCACAGGAAAGACTGGCCCCCATGATTCAATTACCTCCCCCTGGGTCCCTCCACAACACGTGGGAATTCTGGGAGATACAATTCAAGTTGAGATTTGGTGGGGACACAGCCAAACCACATCAGGCAACTTGTGCAATTTTTTTCTTCTGTTGTTACTTAGGATCTTCCTGTGAATATCAAATTCATCATTGAGGGGATGGAAGAGGCTGGCTCTGTTGCCCTGGAGGAACTTGTGGAAAAAGAAAAGGACCGATTCTTCTCTGGTGTGGACTACATTGTAATTTCAGATAACCTGTGGATCAGCCAAAGGAAGCCAGCAATCACTTACGGAACCCGGGGGAACAGCTACTTCATGGTGGAGGTATCCACAGAGAGCAGTGCATGGATGGAGGCCTGTGGGGGTTGTGAATGGGAGCACCAATCCATTCTGGGATCTTGGAGAGGAAGAAAGAAAGCTTTCCTGAGGGCAGAGGCCTTACCTGGGACACACGGCCTCAGGGGAGGTGGGGTGGGTGCAGAGGTCTTGGGGTTTGGGGAGGTCATGAACCCCCAACACTTGGAGTGGATGTGGCTATGTACCTTGTTCTGGAGAGGGGATTCACAGGGGTTTGTGACTTACAAAGCAAAGCTTGGAAACTCTGGCCATGGGATTTGCAGGCAGGTATGGCAGCCACAGGGAGGTAAGCAGACTGCGCGATCAATGCAGGGGCAACTGTGCTGTGTCCTGCTCCCAGCGTGGGCCTGCTGGCCACAGTGGCAGGAGACCCCAGTGCCGTGGTCACA
The DNA here is from genome assembly GCF_000001405.40 of Homo sapiens. NCBI lineage: Eukaryota > Metazoa > Chordata > Mammalia > Primates > Hominidae > Homo > Homo sapiens. The sequence goes on from NC_000018.10 coordinate 74,567,856, forward strand.
GGGAAAGAGAAGGAACATTGGTGTCGCCCGAGGCCAGCATCTGAATCCTAGCTTCTACCATGCCCAGCCTTGTGCAGGTGGTTTCACCTTGAGCCTTGGTTTCCCACCTTGAAAGATGGTACAATAACGCCCCCTCCCAGGATGACTGTGTCATTACATGCAGCCTTTAGTTGAGGTTTGACGCATAATCAGTTTCCTTCCCCTTTTCTCTTTTTCTAGTAATACAGGCAATCTGTGATAGTGCATAAGACATAGAAAGTCCCTCCCGGGTAAATAGCTAATTATTTCATCATTTCAATCTGTTTTCTCATATAACAACGTGTAGGCTGATAATCCATGCTGTATCCAATCCCTAGGCAGTTTTGAGATTCAGATGTCAGCACATACACGGAAACACACATGGCTATGCGTGTGAAAAACAGTGAGTGCCTTCTATTTGTCAGATAGGAGGATGCTAAGTCCCAGGGGTATAGGACTGAATAAAATAGTCTCTGCCCTCAGGAAGTTTACTTCTAGTGAGACACAGATACTAAAGAGATGTGGGAGTGACAGAGAAAATAGGAAGCAGGGACTGTCCTCTAGAACCCGCTTTCAAGAAACATGGCTGTGAAAAGTGGGAGACAGCTGGGATGATGGCTAGAGGAAGCCCTTGGGAGGCAATAGACAGAGGGAGCAGTTGGAGACCTGGGAGGGAGGGGGAGAATTTTTGAGAACGAAGGCACTGAGGAGGTGGGAGGGGGCGAGCTCCAGACCCAGGGGAAGAAAATAACCTCTTCTGTGAGGGCTTTGGGTAGGTAGAGAGCTCCAAGTCCTAGAGCTTTTTCCCTCTTAGCGTCCATTTTTTTCTGTTTAGTAGGAAGTGAGTGTATCTGCAGAGAAGTGATGGCTTGAAGTGGTCACTTTGGGACAGGGGGAAGAGAAGGGATGGGAGGATGAAGAAGGGCCAGGCAGTGGTAAGGTCTGGAGTCATCTGTCCATGCAAATTGCTGGCTTTCTGCAGCATGCTCAGTGGCCAGGGACAGAGAAGGCTGGCCCAGGGGTTGAGGTTACCCCAGAGGGTTGTGGTGGAGAAAGTAGGGAAGAGCTCATCAAGGTGTTGAGCACAGAGGGGCTGAGGTGATCAACGGTGGTATTCAGGTTGAACAGGGGAAAAAACAAAGGCAGGAGGGCAATGTGGGACATCTTGGAAGGGTCAAGGGACTGACGTCTTAATGAAGACCGAGAACAGGTGGTACAGCAACGTTACAAGAGAGGACAAGGGGAGCTGTCATCAGAATGTGAGACAGCCAGCTCAAGCTTTCGAAGTGAGACCGTCCACACTCCAGAGTAATTTAGCTAGCATTATTGCCTAGTGAACGGAAAGTCTTAATGCTAAAGTGACCATACCGAAGATTGCTCTGGTGCCACATTGAAGATGAAGAGGAACAGAGAAAGACCAGCTGGGCAGGAAGGATGGGAGGGAATGAACTGAAGAATCAACTTCAAAAAAGCCCAACCTGTAGAAATTGGTAATTGATTGGATATGGCGTATATAGGAGAAATCATGCTGGTAGGAAGTAATTGCAGAAGAGATTGAGTTTGGGTCTAGATCTCCTGAGTTTTGGAAACTGGAAGCATGCTCAAGTGGAAGGCACCGTAAGCATTCCAGAGTTTTAGGTCTGGTGTTTAAGTAGAAGGTCAGACCTCCAGGGATGAACATTGAAGGGCATGGTTGTATTAATAGCATCTCTGCCCTTAAATTAGCGTGAGCACCGCATGGTCAGAGATAACCAGGTCCACACATGTTTGTGTCATTCCACAATGTCAGGCTTTTACTGATGCTATCTCAATAATAAAAGCCATGGGCTCCATGGAGTTCCCAAGGAGGCAATTCTCCTTAGTGCCTCCCATTCATTCAGAAGTCAGAGCGCAGGCACACAGGCTCAAGCTACTCCACAAGGCAGTCAGTATTGTAAAGCATACATTGTGGTATACCTAGCCAATATGTGAATGTTATAGACTGAACATTCCACAACAAACAAAGTAACATTTACCATCAAGAGAGAAGGAGCTGGGCACAGTGGCTCATGCCTGTAATCCTAGCACTTTGCGAGGCTGAGGCGGGTGGATCACCTGAAGTCAGGAGTTCAAGACCAGCCTGCCCAACATGGTGAAACCCTGTCTTTATGAAGAAAATACAAAAAAAAAAAAAAAAAAAGCTGGGCATGGTGGCGTGCACCTGTAGTCCCAGCTACTTGGGAGGCTGAGGCAGAAGAATTGCTTGAAGCTGGGAGGCGGAGATTGCAGTGAGCTGAGATCATGTCACTGCACTCCTGCCTGGGTGACAGAGCAAGACTCTGTCTCAAAATAATAATAATAATAATTAATAATAATAATAATAAATAATTAAAAAAAAAGAAAAGAAAAGTGATAGGAAAACAGGTTAATGAACCAGTCCAGGGAGAGTGACGTAGACAAAAAGAAATCCTGGCTTGGCCCGGGTGGTCCAGTGGTCTTGTAAGGAAGAGACTTTGATCTGGGCAGAGCCTTTGGTGGCAGATGCTGGGCGCTTAGCACAAGTGACAGCAGGACAGTGTCTGTTAAGTTTTGAGCTGCTGACATCCTGGTCGTTTTATGACTGCCAAGTCCTCTGATAAGAACTGATAGTGGAAGAATGTGTTTGGCTATGTCCTTATCCAGCTGGAAGCAGTCTTTATTGATCAGGCAGAACATCTAGTCCCTGTTGGCAAAGTCCCTTAGGAAAAGTAAGATGGAGTCTTTTTCTAAGATGGAGTCACTTATGTCAAGGGTGCCATATACATAGACACTATCCTGTGAGCTCTTGAAGCTCAGGTAGAGGAAGGATGAGCCAAGTATTAAGCTTTAGAGGTGGAGGAAGAAGAGATGTTATTACAGGAGGTATCAATAGAATTGTCCTGCAGGTAAGAAAAGAAGAAAGAGAAGAAAGCTTCTCAGAAATCAAGGGAAGAGAATTTTTCCAGAAAGAGGAGTGATCAACAATATGGGATGAAACCAAAAGGAAGACAGCTGTGTAAACATCAATCATTTGGCCAAGGAGAGCCTGGTGATCTTGGCTAGAATAGAGTTGGTGGAAGAGCTGAGGAATGAGTCAGTTTCAGGGGATTCAAGAGATGGTGGGAATGAAGCAATCGACAGCAGGTAGGAAATCCAGTCCCCATGACTGAGAAACACAGAAAGTGAAGTCAGGTCTGGATGTTGCCTACCTGAGTTCTGAGGGACACACGCAGATATGTATTTCACCATGTGAAATGCTTACACTAAAGGAACCAAGGCAGGAAGTATATCTCTTACCTTTTATCTACTCTGCAGGTGAAATGCAGAGACCAGGATTTTCACTCAGGAACCTTTGGTGGCATCCTTCATGAACCAATGGCTGATCTGGTTGCTCTTCTCGGTAATGCCTTATTTTGTTTCACTTTTTAAGCATCAGGGATCAACTAAAAGACAGCTCTACTTGATTTTATGTGCCTCTCCTTGCTTTCTGAACCAGCTCTGAACAAGGGTGTAGATGCTTAGATTTTCCTCCCCTTGGCAAACTGTTCCCTCCACTTATAAGTAAGTCTGCATTATTTCTTTTCATGGACTGAAACTCTTCTTCAGTTCATCCATTTTGTTTTATTGGACATTGTGACACATAGCCATACTTAAGGACAAGAGGGCAGAGACTCAAAGGATACAAAAGACTGACAGGCCACCCTGACTCCCTTACTGGTGCTCCTAGAATGCCGGGCCGGGTGGAGGTGTGGTATTCCCAAGCAGCTGAACCACAAGTTCAACTTCAGTAGACCTGGCATGACTTTTTGACTGAAGATAAATCAACAAAGGGATGATCAAAAGGGAAAGGAACTAAGCGACACACCAGGTGAGGCCCTTCACCCACTTTCTCAAGAGCATCTTGTTTTTCACGACAGACTGGCCCTTCCGCAGACCAGCCTGCACCTTGTAGCATGTGGGTTCTGGGTGTGGGTGACCAGGTATGTCCTTGCTCTGCCACAGACCACCTGTACGACCTTGGTAAGTTACTTGAGTTCTCTAGTCTTTGGTTTCTCATTTGTAAAGGGGCACAATCGTCTGTTCACCTAGTATTGCTTTTAGGATGCAAAAAGGTGATGTGTGCAGAACGCTTGTCACGGTGGCTGGAATGCAGCATGTCCATCAGTGAGTAATGGCCTGCCCTGGCCTGACTCCAGAAATGGTGTCAAATATGTCAGCACCACTTGGCTTCATTTTTCAAGGTTGCTGTGGCCCCGAGTGGCACAGCGACGCCGACGAGTTCCCCGATTGTCCTGGTGCTGTCCTTGATTTCCCATGGATTGCTGGTGTGTGCAAGAGGAAGTTGTATGTTTTTCTCGGGGAGCCTGTTTGCTCAGGCTCAATTCACCTACAGCTCTTCTAGGCATCAGAGCTGCCCATAGTGGGTTCCCTGGGAAGCTAAGGAAGTTTAAACTCCAGGGGCCTCACTTACAGGAGCTCCTTCCACAGTCCTGGAAGGGACACTCATCATTTTATATTCATAATTTGGTGTTCTTTTAAAAAAGAGGTTCACACATTACCTATGCTTTAGACCCTGCAACACCTCGCTGTGCTCCACTTGGCATGTATAGCTCCTTTATGCAAATTTCACAACATGGCCAGGCATGGTCACTCACGCCTGCAATCCCAGCACTTTGGGAGGCCAAGGTGGGTGGATCAGTTGAGCTCAGGACTTTGAGACCAGCCTGGGCAACATGGTGAAACCCTGTCTGTACAAAAAATACAAAAGTTAGCCAGGCATGATGGTGTAGGCCTGTAGTCCCAGCTATTTAAGGGGCTGAGGCAGGAGGGTCGCTTGAGCCCGGAAGGCAGAGGTTGCAGTGAGCTGAGATAATCGTGCCACTGTACTGCAGCCTGGGCAAAAGAACAAGACCCTGTATCAAAAAAAAAAAAAAAAAAAAAGAAAGAAAGAAAGAAAGAAAAATAATAGAAAAAGCAAAAAAAAAATGTTTAATAATGTGCCCCTTTTGGGCAGACAAATTGCCAGAAAGCATTTACTCCCTTGGCCTCAGTAGTCCAGGCCATGGTACAATCAGCCCAGATGGCCCAGGTGTTGGGAGGATCTTCTCAAGGTCTTCAGCATCATTTTTAGTTGCACAGCTTTCTCCTTCATTCTCCCAAACTGAATAATGAAATTTACCTATATTTCTACCATCTATCTAGCTATCCATCTATCCATCTATTATCTATCCATCTATCTTTCTATTCATCCATCCAACTATCCATCCATCCATCTATTATCTATCCATCTATCATCTTTCTATGCATCTATCCATCCATTATCTATCTATCCATCTACCTATCATCTATCCATCCATCCATCCAACTATCTGTCTATCCATCCATTATCTATCCATCTATCATCTTTCTATCCATCCATCCATCTATCCATTCATCCATCTATTATCTATCCATGTATCATTTTTCTATCCATCCATCCATTCATTATCTATCCATCTATCATCTTTCTATCCATTCATCCATCCATCTATCCACCCATTATCATCTATCCATCCATCCAACTATCTATCTATGTATCTATGTATCTATCTATCTATCTATCTAATCTATCTATTCTTCTATGGCCTTCTAGTTTTCCTGAAATATAGCTCTTGGATGATATTTCCCATGCTTGACAATTCAGACGGAATACACCCAGCCATTTTCCCTTAAAGAGTTTAAATGGTTTCCAGAAGAATCAGATGGTATGCAACTCACAATTTTGGGGAGTGGAGGTTAATTTTCTGTTTTACCAGAATGAATGTTTCCTTCCCTATGAACTGCATCTGAAATCTTTAGGAGCACATTTTGCTCTTCCCACAAGCATGATTGCTGCATGGCATCTTTTTCGGCTGCGTGGCTTCAGCCAGGCATCGGATTCCGTGCAGCCCCACAAAGGCACATTGCTCTGCTAAGGAAGAGTCGGCTCGGGCTCATGAATGAAGTCAAAAACGTGGTTTGACTTTCTTTAGTTCTTGATACAAATCAAATAATCCACAGCACAGTAATTTCTGGATTGTGTCCTCTATGTGGTTTTCATATGTTTTGTACAAAAACATAAGGACATAGTGTTGAGCTTTAGTGTTTATGAGATGACAAGCAGGAATTTTGCTTGCCGACAGGCTGGGCTGTAGTGGAGATGCCCGGACTTCCAGGGACCCCTGATGTCAGGTGAGAGTCGGCTGTGCTGTGTCCACTCCTGCAGGCTGACAAGCAGGCATACACACTAGTCAGGATGTGGGAATCCACGGGCAGCCCTTGCCTTGTGCAAGCCTCCTCACCTCTCTGTCTCTGCTGTGATCATGAACAGACAATAAACGCTAGTGAGCGCCAGCTCTGTGAAATGCATGATAACCTCCACTAAGGTACAAAGCAAAACCAAGTTAGTTCCCTGTCTGAAAAGGGGCTTAGTATGCAGGGGAGGCAGGAGCTGCTAAGAGGATACTTGTGTTTACAAATCGAGCTCTAACCTTCTGTAGTTTCCCTTTGCAGACACTTTCCTATTCTTTGCATTTCCCTAAAAGCCATAAAACAGAAAAGGCCATTGTACCAAGGGCATTTTTATAAGCAGCAAATATGTGATGTTATTTAAAATGTTCAAATCCAAGATGGCTGCTAGGCATGCAGGATTCTGTTTCCTGTGGGCAGTTTTCAAAGGCACCTTCTGCCTTCCCCGCACTTCCCAAGAAGGCTGTGGTAACTGCAGAAATGACATCACGTCATGATTACAAGAGGAAAATGAACAGGAGGGGAGGGGGCGAACTCTTAAGCATACTATTTTCATTCAAATGCTTTCAATATTAAAGAACTAGGGCAAAGAAATATGGAAAATGGGATCTGTGAAGCAGCATTATTTCTGAATAGCACAGACATCAATGGCTCCCCTTTCCCTGTGATGGCGTTTCAGGCAGGGCCAAAGTGACTGAGCCGTACTCCACAGCTCTCTAATCAGATTTTTCTGCAAGCATATTAAAAGGGAAAGGAAGGCCAGGTGCAGTGGCCACAATTGTGCCACTGCACTCCAGCCTGGGTGGCAGAGCAAGCTCTGTCTCAAAAAAAGGAAAGAAAGAAACAGAGAAAAGGAAGAAAGGAAGGAAAGGAGGGGAAGGAAAGGAAGGGAGGGATGGAGGGAAGGAAGGAGAGAAAGGAAAGAAGAAAGAAGGAAGGAAAGAAAGGAAGGAAGGAAAGAAAAAAGAAGGAAAGAAAGGAAGGAAGGAAAGAAAAAAGAAAGAAGAAAGAAAGAGAAGGAAGGAAGGAAGGAAAAGGTAAATGAGGAAATCCTCTTTCTCTTCCTTCTCCCAGTCCAGCAATAGGGAAGGCTGCTTTGTATACTGAGAGAATAAAGTTGTAATTTAAAATGATGCCGAGAACAGAGGCCTGGATCGTTTTACTAGTGAGGTACAGTGCGTGCTTAGAAGGCACGCACTCTGCAACTCTGTCCTTACGCAGAAGACTGTCAGCAGAAGTTTAGGGACATATGCTCAAGAGGAGATCTCATGACTGCATTATCAGTGGGGACTCATTAAGCTGCCCTGGAGACATTTTTGTGTCATTTATATCAGTCTACTTCCTGGCTGCATTTTGCCTTTGATACGTATTTTCTACAGAGAGTGGGCGGTATTTACTAAATCTCAACATCTGCTGCTCTTATGGATATTTAGTGATGATTTTTTCCATTTGTATTGATCTCCAAACTCTTTCATGAAGAGCACACTAGTGTATACAGGGGATTTTGTGGTCATGATGGTATCTCATAGAGTAGACCTGAAGGGTATAATGCTTTTAATTAAAAATGAGTCTTTATTATAATATACTCTGTGTGTGTGTGCGTGTGTGCGCGTGTGTGAAGGGGAAGAGAAGTTGAGAAGGGATGACAAAAATTTTTGGTTTCTCAGGTATGTATGTATGTAGGTGTGTATACATGTGTGTGTGTGTGTGTGTGTGTGTGTGTGTATACATTTTTTTTTTTTTTTTTTTTGAGACGGAGTCTCGCTTTGTCGCCCAGGTGGGAGTAGAGTGGCGTGATCTGGGCTCACTGCAACCTCCGCCTCCTGGGTTCAAGCGATTCTCCTGCCTCAGCCTCCCCAGTAGCTGGGACTACAGGCACGTGCCACCATGCCCTGCTAATTTTTTGTATTTTTAGTAGAAACAGGGTTTCATCATGTTAGCCTGGAGGTCTCAATCTTCTGACCTTGTGATCTACCTGCCTCGGCCTCCCAAACTGCTGGGATTTCAGGCATGAGCCACCGCGCCTGGCCGTATAATTTTTTTTTTGAGACAGAGTCTGACTTTATCACCCAGGCTGGAGTGCAGTGATGTGATCATGACTTACTGCAGCCTCAACTTCCTGGGATCAATGATCCTCCCACCTCAGCTTCCCAAGTAGCTGGGACCACAGGCATGTGCCACCATGCCCTGCTAATTTTTGTATTTTTTGTAGAGACAGGGTCTCGCCACGTTGCCCAGGCTGGTTGGGAATTCCTGGGCTCAAGCGATCCACTTGCTTTGACCTCCCAAAGTGCTGGGAGTACAGATGTGAGCCACCGCACCCAGCATGTATTTTAAATGTTTTATAATGAACACATATTACTTTTAAAATCAGGATAAGACAAAACTAAAAAACCTTGTTTATGTATAAAAGGCATAGCTGAGAACGTGAACATGATGCAGGTAACTCACTCCGACCTCATTTGTTGCAGGCCCAGGTGTTTTCAGCCACACCTTTGACAAGGTGAACACTAAAGCAGGGCGGACTCCAGCTGCGTGATCCTGGTGACCAACTCCTTTCTCTGACAGTCACTTCTTGGATGGAGTTGCTGCCAATGGCTTTGGCCACGGGGACCCAGACAGTCAAGAGGCCTGCTGCAACCCTGAAGAGTCCTCCCACAGTCTGGCTCCAGGACCACAACATTGGCACACTCCTTTCTACCTGGCTTTGTTTTCTGTGTGTGTTTTGTAGGTAGCCTGGTAGACTCGTCTGGTCATATCCTGGTCCCTGGAATCTATGATGAAGTGGTTCCTCTTACAGAAGAGGAAATAAATACATACAAAGCCATCCATCTAGACCTAGAAGAATACCGGAATAGCAGCCGGGTTGAGAAATTTCTGTTCGATACTAAGGTATGGCCACAGACTGATGGATAAGCTGGAAGAGGCATGAGGCTAGTATATCATATTTGCCCTCTGTCTAAGTCATTGTCTGGTGCTAATCTCCGTATCTTAGAATCCAAAGCAGATGTGAATTCCCAGGCATATTTTTGACATTCACAGCCACTTCCCCGTGGGCTGGATCAACCAGTCCTTTTTCAATGGCGTCTAATTGGCACTGGCTTCTGGCACTTAACCACAAGCAGTTACCCATTTCCCAGCCATGTTTTCCAAAGCTGTTCATTAACCTAAATCCCACGTCAGCCTTCAGCCAGTGAGCTGGACTTCTTACCTTTTCAAAGACCAAGAAAAGTCTGAGATGATTCCAGCTCCAAGACCTCTAACTGTTCATTTTTCCAGACAAAACCAAGAGCCTTAGGGGCTAATCTGTAAGTGAATACATCATTGTCTCAGTGGACTAAGTAAACACAAAGCTGAAAACATTCCTTACAGGCAAATTTCGAATTGTTTTGCTTTTCTCTTCTTCCTCTTTCTGGGCAGCATGCTTGCCTGACAAGGTGTTTGGTAGCTAGGGCTGGTTCCTGGGGAAGGGGCCGAGAGGGGGAAAAGCAAGCTGAAAAGAAGCGGTAGAGTGAATTATTATGAAGCAGGCATCTTCTTGCAGACCAGCTCCAGGATGGCCAGAAGAAAGAAAACTGGCTTAAACATCTGAAGAGTTATTTGATGTCTTCTGAATAAGAAAATGCTTTCATTACATAAGTTATTATTGTAATTTGGGGTTAGAAATTTATAATTGAACCCACGTTTCTGAAAGGGCTCCTTTATCTATGGCCATACCACACTGAACGTGCCCGATCTCGTTTGAAAGGGCCCCTTTGCCATTTGTTAACTGAAAACTGCAGATCTTGGGCAAAGAGGGGCACTCATCAATGGGGAGCATTGGTAGTGATGGGTAGTGAAGGCATCTGAGGACAGCAGAGAGTTTGTGTCCTGAGGAAAAAGTCCTTGCGTGAGGCACAGCTGAGTAAGGTGACAGTTAACGTGTCCTGAATGGTGTCTCAGAGAGGCAGAGGGTGGTAACACAAGCAACCCAGGTCCACTGGGTTCTAATTAAGCATCCTTTGGATAATTTTATTTTAATATAGGAGGAGATTCTAATGCACCTCTGGAGGTACCCATCTCTTTCTATTCATGGGATCGAGGGCGCGTTTGATGAGCCTGGAACTAAAACAGTCATACCTGGCCGAGTTATAGGAAAATTTTCAATCCGTCTAGTCCCTCACATGAATGTGTCTGCGGTGGAAAAACAGGTAACAAATGCTTATTGTGACAATAACATGTTTCAGTAACATGGTTTCTGAATCCCGCACATCACGGCTTAGTGAGCAGTGAGGTTGCTACCATTGGAGTATCATTTTTTTCCAACACAAGAGGAGTGGAACAAATGTCAAGAAACCAATATTGCCCAGTGCAGTGACTTGTGCCTGTAATCCCGGCACTTTGAGAGACCAAGGCTAGAGGATCCCTTAAGCCCAGGGGTTTAAGGCTGCAGTGAGCTATGATAGCACCACTGCACTCCAGCCTGGGTGACAGAGCAAGACACTGTCTCTTAAAAAAACAAACAAAAAGAATCCAGTCTTTTCCCTCAAGTATATGCAATTACAGCAGTCAGATAAATAACCATTTGAAACTAGTGTGCTAGGAAAATTTGAAAGTTAGATGGTAGATATAAAAGCAAGATTGGTTTACACATAGATGGAGTAGGGACCTGCCTATGCTTGGACAGAAGCAGAAAGTCTCAGGCCTCAATCATTAGATCTTCATGATGTCTGAAATTAACACTTTGGAAGCAGTCATTTTAAGGAAAATATTTTCTAGAAGGAGTTATGTGTCCAAATTACCAACCAATCATCAATTTGCCTCAAGTTAGTTTAACAGAAAGTAGACTCTTGAATGAATGAGCTAAAGAAATATTTCATCCCAACAGTCATTCTCTCTCCATCCCATTATCCCCCTTTATTGTCTTGTTAGCACTAATTACATTCTAAAGTAGTCTCTCTTTCTCCCTCCCGGCTTCCTCCCCTCCTCTCTTCCCTCCCTCCTTCCTTCCTTCCTTCCCTGCCTCTCTCCTGCCCTCTCTCCTCCCTCTCTCCCTTCTCCCTTCTCCCTTTCCTTCCCTTCCCTTGCCTTCCCTTCCCTTCCCTTCCCTTCCCTCACCTCCCCTCTCCTTTCCTTTTTCTTCCCTCCTGTTCCTTCCTCCCGCCCTCCTTCCATCCTTCCTTCTCCTCTCCCCACTCCCTTCCCCTCCCCTCTCCATCCCCTCCCCCTCCCCTCCCCCTCCCTTCCCTTTCCTTTTATCTTTCTCTCCTTCCTCCCTTCCCTTCTTTCTTTTTGGAGGTGCTACCCCCTTTTCTCACAACATATAAACTCCATGAGGGCAGGGCCTTCCTTGTCTTGTTCACAGCTGTATCCGCAGCACCTAGAACAGTCTCTGGGACATGACACGTGTTCTATAAATGTGTGTTGAAGTAATTAATGGAAGAAATTTGAATATGGCACCTCCCCGGGAGACTCTCAACAGTAACAATGAAAAAAGAGCAGGAGGGGAGAGAACGAGGCTGAAATGAGGCTCTCCATAGTTGAGCCTGGAGTTGCTCCCACGTCTTGGAAATTTCCCAAATACTTAATGCTTCCAAATCATTCACAGGGTACTGAGGAGTCCAAAAAGAGGACGATTCAAAAGAGAAGTCCTGCTGTGTTAGGCTTCATCACTTTCAACAAGTGATGCTCCAGCACCTCTGTGTGTGTGAGATGCTGTGGTTGGAAGGGGGTGGGCCGGGGCCAGGAATGCAGGGTAGAGGATAGAGGGGAATCTCCCTCTGGGTACAGCTCAGGGTTTCCTGCTGTCAGCACTGAAGAAGGATCTCACTCTCGCCCTCTGGCAGAGTGAAGGGAAAATCACAACACTTGCGTGTGTCAGGCTGGGGCTTCAGTTTCTTGATGGAAGAGGCTATATTAACTGTACTAATCAGTTTCTTGATGGAAGACTATATTAACTGTATGAGAGAATAACTTGACACTTTCTCTTATCATTGAAAATGTCACCTTTTAGGTGACACGACATCTTGAAGATGTGTTCTCCAAAAGAAATAGTTCCAACAAGATGGTTGTTTCCATGACTCTAGGACTACACCCGTGGATTGCAAATATTGATGACACCCAGTATCTCGCAGCAAAAAGAGCGATCAGAACAGGTGGGACCTTAAGATCTTCTGACTGGCCAATCTGCACTGGGACTCAGGGGTGGTACCCGTGGGACCGTGGGTAAAGCAGACACTTTTAAAACTCAGAAATCAACTCTCCTTTTAATACAGAGCACATTGTTGAATGCATGCCATGTGCAGGGCACGCTATACACGCCATCTCAAGTCATCCTCCCAATGGCCTTCCCCATCTAACAGAGGAATAAATGCAGGCTTACAGACATGAAGTATTTTGCCAAAGGGTGCCCAGCTCACAAGGGGCAAAGCCTGTGTTCAAATTTAAGTCTGGAGACCTGAATTTTGAAGAAAATGATGGACTAGAAAATCTTCAACCCCCTCCCCCTGAATACAAACTCATAGAAATGTTGGCCAACATGTAAAAACATCCTTTCAAAACACAGATTAGCCCAGGTGTGATGGCTCAAGCTTATAATCCCAGCAGTTTGGGAGGCAGAGGCAGGAGGATCGCGTGAGCTCAGGAGTTCAAGACCAGCCTGGGCAATATGGTGAGACCCCCATCTCTATAAAAAATATAAAAATTAGCTGGGCGTGGTGGCACATGCCTGTAGTGCCAGCTACTCAGGAGGCTGAGGCAGAAGCATGGCTTGAGCCCAGGAGGTTGAGGCTGCAGCAAGCTATGATCATGCCACTGCCCTCCAGCCTGGGGGACAGAGTGAGACCCTGTCTCAAAAAATGAAAAACAAAAAATACAGCTTAGCTTGTATGACATCAGAGGAAATCCTTCAGGGTTGAAAATGAAGGAGAAGCTAAATTCTAGGGGAGTAAATAAGCAGACCCTGGGCTGGCCGGCAGGGATCTGCTCTTCCTGGTCACAAAGAGACTGGGGCTTTAATGGCCTTGGGCCAGAGTGAGGCAGGAAGTTGAAAATGAGACCCATTATATACAGGCAGGGCATCCCCGGAGAGCCACACCTATCCTGTGTGTGTGTGTGTGTGTGTGTGTGTGTGTGTGTGTGTGTGTGTAAGCTTGACTGCCTTTGCTTGGACGTTGGACGGACACAAGGTCTCCCCTGAGAATTTTTAACCATGGACCCTTGCTCCTGTGGGTTTGGGTGTTTAATTTTACCTAGTGTGTGGTCTGGTTCTCACTAGTGCCATGGCTGGACTGCCTGCTGATGCAAGCACAGCATTGCCCAGGAGGACACAGCCCCCAGGCAGGCCAAGGAGATTCCACAGGAGCTTCCTGGAGATGAGCTCACTGTACACAATTGCAAAACACATGAGAAACCCAGTTCTGGTGTTTCTGACCCTCAAGCCAGTGGTCTCTTCACAATGCCACATTGCTTCCCCAGAAGGCAGCACAGCTCTATTTGGAACTTCTTTGGTGGTGCCTGTTTTAATTCCATGCACTTCAAGGTCCTGGGTAGAGCCATGTGCTGGGCTGAGCAGAGGGCGTGTACTTGGGTGCTGGCTGTGGCGTCAGGGAGCAGGGACACCCAGTCTTTTTGGCTTCTGCACCAGGAGGGGGACCCTGCCAACAATAGCAGAATGGGGGCTCTTCCCAAAGCAGGGGGTTCTAGGTCTCTCCCAAAGCTAGGTGGAAAAGCAGTGGCATGCATTTAGGTAGACCTATGGCATCCTATTACAGATGAGGCCTGAGGCCACATTGGCTAATGGTGGCAAAGCCAGAAAGGGAAGCCCAGATCTCTTTGAAGCACTAACTCTCTCTCAGGGTTATCAGTACAAGGGACACAGACACGGAAAACTACAGATCAAGTCCAAGACAGGGAGCCATGCTTCTTTCCATCACCATTCCTGCTGCCCCCAACCTTAGCAGGTATTTCGCCAGTAAACTTTAGGATTGAAGAAATGTAATGGCAGCTGAAGAGAGGTGTGTGTTTGAAATACCCAGGTTGACAACAATAAATAGGTCTGAAATAGCCTTTCAGGAATGCATAAGACACCTTTCGGTCTATTTGTGTGCTAAACTGGTTCTGCGAACGAGGCACATCACTTCGATTCACGTCCACATCTTTCTTTGTGAATAAAGAAGAGGTGGCATGTTCTCTCTGGTTTCTTTGTTTCATTTTTCATCCCACTCCATCACTGGCAGCATGTCCGGTAAGCTAGAAGGTTTGAACTCATCTCTTTCTAAAACCTACGATAGCAGTTAAAACTATTTTGTGCAATACTTTGAAAATTGCTAGAAACACTGTGACATTTGAGCGATAGTACAGCTATTGGCATATCTGTCACCAAAAAACCCAAAGAAGTCCCACTTCCATAATATTTAATTCATGAAGAAACAATATAGGGACATTGTCTTGTGTCGTGCCAAAAATGCATGACCTCTTGCAATCACAAGATAACATCAGACAAACCCAGAGTGAGGGATATTTTACAAAACTACCGACTGATAAGCTTCAAGATGGTCAAGGTCATGAAAGACAAGGAAATACTGAGAAACGTCTGCAGCATACAAGAAACTAAGAAGCAATAATAAAAATGCAGTGTGGATTCTGGATCAGATCCTGGAAGGGAAAAAGGGAAAGACCGGTGAAATTGAAAGTCTGGAGTGTAGTTAACAACATTGCACCGTTGTCAGTTTCCTTGTTTTGATCATTTTGCAATAGTTACATAAGACGTTCATATCAGGGAAAGCAGAGTAAGAGATAGATGGGAGCTCTCTCTCTACTATTTTTGCAACTTTTCTAAATTCTACACTTTTCTAAAATTAGTTCAAAATAAAATTTTTATTTACAATTGTATTTATTTATTTATTTAGAGACAGAGTCTCGCTCTGTCACCCGGGCCTGAGTGCAGTTGCAAGATCTCGGCTCACCGCAACCTCCATCACCCACGTTCAAGCGATTCTCCTGCCTCAGCCTCCTGAGTAGCTGGGATTACAGGCATATACCACCATGCCCAGCTAATTTTTGTATTTTTAGTAGAGACGGGGTTTCACCATGTTGGCCAGGCTGGTCTCAAACTCCTGACCTCAAGTGATCCGCACACCTCAGCCTCCCAAAGTGCTGGGATTACAGGCATGAGCCACTGCACCTGGCTCTAAAATCTTTTTTAAAGTAGGTAATTGTGAAGAAGACATCCATAGTTTTCTTCTTGACTCTAGTGTCTATCTTAGAATATAATTGCATGATATCAAGGGGCTTCCTTACCCCAAAGCACCAAATCTAATGGTAAAAAAAGAAAGATTAACAAGGAAAAAGAGAGAGGAAGGTAAAGGAGGCACTGACCTTGAGGAGCTTCCTGGGGGTGTTCTTGTCCTTACCCTATTCAAATGCCTTCTTTTCCTGTCTCAGTGTTTGGAACAGAACCAGATATGATCCGGGATGGATCCACCATTCCAATTGCCAAAATGTTCCAGGAGATCGTCCACAAGAGCGTGGTGCTAATTCCGCTGGGAGCTGTTGATGATGGAGAACATTCGCAGAATGAGAAAATCAACAGGTCAGCTGATGCCTGTGCAATGTGCCTCTCTCTTCTTCCTTTACTGCACACACCCGGGTCTACACGTGGGTGAGCTCCTGTTCAATTTATGTGAGAATGGAAAATCGTCCAGACTGGGAGCTTAAAGAACAGACATTCATTCCTCACAGTTCTGGAGCCTGGATGCCCTAGATCAGGTGCCAGGCCATTTGGTTCCTGGTGGGTATGGGCTGTCTTCCTGGCCGTCCCTGCGATGGTGGGGTTAGGTGGTTCTGGTGTCTCTCTTTTTATAAGAGCACCAGACCCATTGGATTAGGACCCCCATTTTAACCTCATTTAACCTTTATTATCTCCTCCAGGCCCTGTCTCCAAATACAGACACACTGGGGGGTTAGGGGTTCAACACAGGACTTTGAGGAAACACAAATATTTAGTGCATAACAAAAAAGGCTATTAGGAATGTTTGCTTTATGCGCTACTGGCAGATACTACAAGATCTCCTAAGCATCCCAGACTACTGAGAAACAAGAAATTGTTTGACCCTGATATCCATATCAGTGATAAGAAATCAAGGAAAATTCACTTTTGGATTTGAGTCTAGGACTGATTCTCATCTTCTTAATAATAATAATGCAATTTTCACATGGAACTTACTAAGTGCTTTTCATACTGGGATCTCAGAAGTATGTTAAATAATTTAAATGGAATTTATAACATCAAATCTTCCTGTCTAAATGACAGAATATTTTTCCTCCTTCATTTGAATGGAAATTGTAACAAAATTTCTCTTTGTTTTTCCTCTTCTTAGGTGGAACTACATAGAGGGAACCAAATTATTTGCTGCCTTTTTCTTAGAGATGGCCCAGCTCCATTAATCACAAGAACCTTCTAGTCTGATCTGATCCACTGACAGATTCACCTCCCCCACATCCCTAGACAGGGATGGAATGTAAATATCCAGAGAATTTGGGTCTAGTATAGTACATTTTCCCTTCCATTTAAAATGTCTTGGGATATCTGGATCAGTAATAAAATATTTCAAAGGCACAGATGTTGGAAATGGTTTAAGGTCCCCCACTGCACACCTTCCTCAAGTCATAGCTGCTTGCAGCAACTTGATTTCCCCAAGTCCTGTGCAATAGCCCCAGGATTGGATTCCTTCAAACCTTTTAGCATATCTCCAACCTTGCAATTTGATTGGCATAATCACTCCAGTTTGCTTTCTAGGTCCTCAAGTGCTCGTGACA
Organism: Homo sapiens; assembly: GCF_000001405.40. Taxonomy (NCBI): domain Eukaryota; kingdom Metazoa; phylum Chordata; class Mammalia; order Primates; family Hominidae; genus Homo; species Homo sapiens. The sequence goes on from NC_000018.10 coordinate 74,584,935, forward strand.
CATAATCATTCCATCCAATGATCGCCTTTGCTTTACCACTCTTTCCTTTTATCTTATTAATAAAAATGTTGGTCTCCACCACTGACTACAATGATTTCCCCATGGATTCATTTTCAGAGGAGTTACTAAGGCATGGTACTATATTAACCTCTTGCCTCCCCTTCATTTATTTTTTCCCACTTCTTGAAAAGTTCCGAAGCTGAAATGATCAATATTCATACCCATATGCCATTTGGGAGTCCTTGTGCAAAGATGAGTATTTTTTTTTTTATTCCAAGCTTCTTTACCTTTCCTGAGATCGATGCCACCTTGTCAGCTTCTCTGCCTCCCGTTCCTTCTTCCTGTCCCATCAGAAAAGGCCCACTCTCTCTCTATCCAACATCTGTGCACAGGTTGCACCAGAGCAGAATTTATCCTGATAGAATTTCTCTCACCCCATTGAAGTTTTACTCAATGACAACATCTAAATTGCTCAAAGCTTTTAATAGCATCAGTTTTAGATAGAGAACTAATCAACCCTGACATCAGTAACACACGCTAAATTTAAAGCCATCAGCTAATGCTGCATTCATTAATCATTTTAGTTAACCATCATGTTTGGCTTGATTGGATTTGACGGTGTAAACAACAAAAAAAGACAGTCATTTTTCTACAGTTGAGTGTATATAAACAAAATCAATCTTTATGAATTTATTATTTAAATCACATTAATGGAGAATCATTTAGGGGCTTATTAAAATTTTTTTCTATTATGACTCCAAATAAAAACAAAGCAGAGGGCCAGGCGCGGTGGCTCATGCCCATAATCCCAGCACTTTCGGAGGCCGAGGTGGGCGGATCACCTGAGGTCGGGAGTTCGAGATCAGCCTGGCTAACATGGTGAAACCCTGTCTCTACTGAATATACAAAATTAACTGGGCATGGTGGTGCATGCCTGTAGTCCCAGCTACTCGGGAGGCTGAGGCAGGAGAATCGCTTGAACCCAGGAGGCGGAAGTTGCAGTGAACTGGGATCATGCCACTGCACTCCAGCCTGGGCGACAGAGTGAGACTCCGTCTCCAAAAAAAAAAAAAAAAAAAAAAAAAGCAGAACACATTTGCGTTCAACTTTTTTCCATCACTCTGTTGGTTCTTGAGATGTCAGTGTCAGTTTAAAAACGTGCTGTACCACCTTTAAAAGGACTGGAGCAGGCAGGCAGTGATTCAGTTCACCTTGACTCTAGTCATAGAAGTGGACCCAACTGAGAGCTCAACCTAGTTGTGGGCATTTGTGAAGGATTCCAGTTAGTGTTTTCTTTGGAAGCAGGAGGCTTCAAGCCATCACATCTCCAATTCTATAGAATATCAAGTCATCGTTAAAGAACAGCAGCAGGTGTTTGATATTTTGTGCTATTAAGTGTAGTTTGCGCTCATCTAATTATGCAGAGTTTCGTGGTGTTTCTCGATTTTGTTGAACCTACCTGATGCATTTGGCACTGTAGATAAGGACTAACAGTAAGAGAGATTTAGAGTCTTCATGTTAGTCCATTAACATAAGTTTATTATAAAATACACTGTAAGCATTTCTGGCTAATGTACCATCAGATTTAAGAAGTTACCCAACAATATGTATTCGCTGATCTTCATTCCTGCTGAATCTGAGACCAGCAGTGTCTCAATTATTACGTTGCTGCCAGGAGAGAAGGGGAGGAGAATGAATAGTTATGGAAGTTGTAGAATCTAGGATATTCCAACCCTGGATTGCCAGAGTTCAGAGTCCATGTTTTTCTGTCACCCAGGGTCACGACTGGTCTCCCCAGCTCTTCCCTCCTGTTTTTCCACCCAATTCTAAGCCCTGTGGTGATCCAGACCCTACCCTGACGTGGGAGTCAGAAAGGAGTATCTTCCAAGCTCCTTGTACTCAAAGGGATAAAAGAAAGCTACTCAGTTGTTATTCAGATATATTAACCAGCCATATGGAGGCAAAAAAGGGAGAAATTTAAATATTTGTTTTTTAACATTTTAATGATGAAATATATGCACTTGGACAAAAATGATCACCCAGTAAAGTTGGGCGTACATTGTGGCATGCCCATCAGGGGGACTTTGTTGTATTGGAGGAGGGCAATGTATCTGGCTTTGTTAGTAGACGTAGCGCATTAAAGCGTAACTATTGTGATAAGTTTAGGGGTTAGGAATATCATTTGAGTTTGGTAGATGCTTTTCTGGAAAACAATGAGGCTGGGAATGTTTCTGGCTTTATGTTGTATTCATAAAAATAAAATGTACTGGCTTGGAAACTTCGGTGATTGTGTGCCAGACAGTGCGAGAGCCCTGGTCAGTGACACTGTTCCTTTGCACTTGCTGCTGGGAGAAGGGAGTGAGCGAGGGCTCCCCCGAGGGCTTGCTCCCGGACACTTCTCACTGTTCACACTCATGCTGGGAACTCCGTGGCCTTTGTACTCGCCAGATGCCCATGACTCCCAACCCAGCCCCCTCTTCCGAGAATCAGGCCCACCCATCTTCCTGCCCATTTCACATCTGAAACTCTACTCACCTAGTATGAAAACTTCCATCCATTCCTCGAGACTGTTACCCCTCTGGTGCTCCCTACCTTGGTAAGTGGACCATCGGCTAGTTGATAGCAGAGCCCTGCATCGTCTTCCACACTTCCCTCTCTTTCCAATGCAATTCAATATCAGGGCCAGTCCAGCCCGTTTCTCAAAAGCCACCACTTCCTTCTAGTTCCACTGTCACCTCGCATAGCTCATAAGCCAACACTCTTCAGTTTTGCTGGGTTATTGCAGAGGCCCCTAACCAGCCACTGCTTACACGACAGCCCCTCTCACTGTACATGCCATGCGGCAACTGGCTTGTCCCTCTCACCCTGCTTAAAGCTCTCAACTGGCGACATGGTCTGAGGATGAAGTCAGACATCCCAAGAAGGTCTACAAGTCCTGCTCAACCTGCTCTCTGCTTACTCTTCTGGCTTGCTCTGCCCTCACTAGATACACCCTGACAACCCCATCCTTCAAATCCTCCCAGTTTCGCAAACATCCAAGAGCTTCCCTGCCTCAGAGCCTTCTCAGAGTCTCTCCCTCCTCCAGCAACACCCTTACAACCCCCTTGGTGTCACTAATACCCCTCCCACCCACCCTCCACATTATTCTTCAAATCTCAGCTTAGTCGTAATTTTTCAGGGAAGCTTTTTCTTATTCCTCATGAGTAAGTGAGGTGTCCCTATTATGCTACCATAGTCTCCATAGTTCCTTTGTCGCATTTATTATCATTGCCATTAAATACTTAGTCAAGTACCACATACTGACAATTTGGCCAACAACAAACATATATGACAGTGGTCCCATAAGATTACAATACCATATTATTACTGTACCTTTTTCTATGTTTACCTACATAGATACTTACTACTGTGTTGCAACTGCCTACAGTATTCAGTACAGTAACACACTGCACAGGTTTATAGCCTAGGAACAATAGGCCACACCATGCTGCCTAGGCGTGTAGTAGGCTATGCCATCTAGGCTTGTGTGGGTACACTCTAGGGTGGCTGAAGATGTCCAGACACGCATTTCTCAGTATCCCTGTTAAGTGATGCATGATTGTATTTCTACAATTTGAAAACTGCCAGCTCTCCTGCTAGACTGTAACATCTTTACAGGCAGAGATTGTCTGTTTTGTCTATCCTGATGTCTTGAAGGTTCCAGGCATACTGTATGTCATTAGGAAACATTTAAGTGCTGAAATGAATGATTTCAACATTTGTATCATCCATTCTCATGCTGCAATGCACACTCATGATTTCTGTGCATCTCTCTCCCTCCTATTAAACTTCACGCTGTATAATATTAGCGACCATATCCTACTAATCTCTGTACTTCAGGCATCCAGTGGGGTGTTGCTACACACATTAGATAATCAGTATGATTGCTAAAATCTTCCTCTTGACTTTGCAGCAGCGATTTTGGGGGTCTTCCCTACCAGGTGTGCTATACCCTTCCTGGACTTCTCTCATCTTTATACTCTCCACTTCACCTTGTTCCTAGTTTGAAACCTTCTTGGGAGCAGCTAGTACTGGGGAGAAGCACAGAAAACAAGCCATGCAGAGGTGTCAATGGCTAATAACTGTTCGATGTGTTAGGCTTCCCAGCAGTGCTTGTATCTTACCAGGGGCCACACCTTCATTCAGAGGCCACAAACTGGAAGCCCGGGAGCCCTGCACTGGCTCCCTCACCCCCGCTGATGTGGCTTTCACGGTGTCCTAAGCACTTTTGAATGGGAAGCTGACATTGCAAAACTGGAAGATTTCACTTTCACACACACACACACGATTCCTCTTGAGCAATCAGAAGACAGAGTGAGATGACACTGCTCTGCCATTCCTGCAGGTGATGAGAAGCTAAGCTGAGGAGAGCACGAAGCCCAGCATCTGACCATTTAGACATGCTCAACAAAGTTCTTAGAAGAAGCAGAGGAAGGAGAAAGCTCACAAAAGAAAACAAATGCTATTTTATCTGACTTCTCACTTCTACGGATAGTTGTTTTCACTTAAAAACAAATCCCCAAACTGTTTCATGATAGGGCCAAGTGACTTTTAAACACAATCTAGTTTAGTAGATAGTATACTATACTATTTTAAGGGCCAGGCGTGGTGGATCCTGCCTGTAATCCTAGCACTTCGGGAGGCAGAGGCAGGAGGATCCCAGGAGTTTTGAGACCAGCCTGGGCAACATGGGGAGATCCTGTCTCTTAAAAAAAAAAAAAGTGTACTATACTATTTTAAATGTCTACTTTTAAATGAATTCAGTGTTATCTGTTATTTTTAATGTTATTTTTCAGATCAAGTTTGAATATTAATTGTACATGTAATGGCTAAAAAATTAAATCATGATTTGAGATCTTGATTATACAAAACACTTGTTTCTATCTTAATGTACGATGGTTAGACCTAGCATAACTATGTTAACGATCTGTAATACTACTGCCTTTCATAACGAAGAAAAACTTAAACCAAGTCCTAACATTAGCACATATTCCTTCTGCTCTTCCACTGACCAACTATGTAACATCTACATTCTGTATTGCAGAGCACTTATCTTCCTCTTTACCATGTTGAGAAAGCTTTCTTCTTTAGGAAGTAAGTTCTTGTAAGGCAGAGGTTGGGTTGGATATGTTCTATACTTTGCTCAGCTCCCCAAAGCCCTAATCAATTGATAAAATACAAAGACAAGAATGCAGGAGATTTTCTGAAGCAACAAAATGATGCATTCTTTTTAATTCCTAGCATGATGTAGAAGAGAAGTGATGGCAGGTGTAATAATTTCTTTTCTTTTTCTTTCTTTCTTTCTTTTTTTTTTTTTGAGATGGAATTTCACTCTTGTTGCCCAGGCTGGAGTGCAATGGCGTGATCTCGGTTCACTTCAGCCTCCGCCTCCCAGGTTCAAGCAATTCTCCTGGCTCAGCCTCCCAAGTAGCTGGGATTACAGGCGCCTGCCACCACACCCAGCTAATTTTTTTGTATTTTTAGTAGAGATGGGGTTTTACCATGTTGGCCAGGCTGGTTTCGAACTCCTGACCTCAAGTGGAGGTCACCCATCTCAGCCTCCCAAAGTGCTGGAATTACAGGCTTGAGCTACCATGCCTGGCAAGTATAATTTCTTAACAGTTATGATAAGTAAACGCTTTGGAGCTATTTTAGTTTGGATAGAATTGAAAAAAATGTCATTATGTGGACAAATTTTATTTAAAAACATTATTCTAGTGTAATTCCTTAGGCAGAATGAAAAAAGATGTCAGATAAATTATGCCTTTGACTATAACAGAAAATCTGAAGCTTTAAATCATCTCACCTCCCACACTGAAATTCACCAAAACAGCATTCGAGAAGAACTTAGATTTAAAATTCTAGTGTGGGTGGTTAAGTGTTCATAGCATATTCTTATTGCCATTGTAAGTAGGCATTTGAATGGAATGACAAAAAATGTTAATTTAAAGGAAATGAAACTTTAAATGACACTTAGTCATCAAAAATGACTAGTCACCAAAAATGACCAATGCTTCCTTCAAATTTTAAATAATTATAACCAAATAAAGGAAGCCATCTATAGTTTATTTAAAATCCCACTTTCAACCCCAGAAGGCAGAGTTCAGGGATACTTTAGCAGGTGAAGTAAAGTAAGGGGAGGCGGCTCTGAAAAGGAGAGATAACAGAGAAAAAGCAACAAATTCAGCATGTCTCCTGTAACATTTTTAGCTTCAGATGGGTGAGAAATGTAGTGAAAGGGAAACTTGAAATTAGTTAGCCTAAAGCAGAACTCCTGAGGAAGAGGATCACTTGGGAATGAGAGTATATACCATAAGCTATCATTCACTGCTCTTGGCCTTGGAAGAAAAGATTCTGGTTTACATTCTTGGCTGAAGAGGCAACATAATATAGCACAGTGGTTCCCAAACTTTCCTCCACATTGTAAGTACCTGGGGACTTTAAAAAGTACTGATGCCAGGGTTCCTCTTCCCCTGCCCGATTTTCTAATTTACTTGCTATGGGGTATCACCTGGGAATTTTTTTTAAGTTCCTGAGGTGATTCTAATGTTCAGCAAACTCAGAAAGCACTGGTGTAGAGGTGAAAGTGTGTTGAATGGACTCTGGTTCAAATTTGGACTCCAGATTTTACCAGTTGGATAATCTTGGGCAAAATACGTTATTTCTCAGATCCTTGGTTTCCTTAGCTGTAAAGTAGGAATGGGAACATCTTTATTGCAGAGTCGTTGGCAGCACAATGACAATATATGCAGAACACTTAGCACAGTGCCTAGCACGCAGTAGACACTCAATACATGGTGTTACTTATTTTTGTTATTTTAATTTTCTATTTTTCCATTTATAAATAGATAAATATTCCACAAACAATTTCTTAAAGAGGAATAATTAGAAATCAACTTATGTGTGCTGCTGGGGTGTGTATAATGCAGCTACAAGTTGGGATCCTCTTTGTTCTGAAGTTGAAGTCTCTTGCTAGAAGTGTCCAGGTACAGGAAGACAGTAGCAGTGAGGACCCAGGTCACCACACGTTCTTGGTATTATTACCTCTCAAATCTCAACAGAGAATGACAGATGTCATATTGTCCTTGCACTTTTTTTTACTTCATTGATTGAATGTATTAAATTAGGTCATCACATTCATAAAGATGAAATCAATCATATTTGTTGAGATAACTAAACTATTGGCTTCATACCCTGGATCCATTTCTCCTTTTCCTTCCTAATTCTTACTTTATTCATGTTTCCATCCCTTTCCCACTCAGCCAAGTGCCACAGGTAGAGCTGACACCTTCCCAAGATCCAGGTGGTCTCTGAGGCCTACAGGCGATTCCATTCCTGTCTGCAGTGCTTAGCTCAGGGTACACATGTGAGCCACTTCTGGCCATGGGATGTGAAGGCATGCTTGCTGGGGGCTTTTGGGAAATTCCTTTTCTCTTAAGAAAAAAATCATAAGAAAAGGAGTTCTCTTTTTTATCTCTAGATGTTATCCCTGGAATCACTCTAGCCATCTTACTACAGCCTGATGTTCAATAGGGCATTGAGAATTGAAGTGCAGAGTGATGAGAAAAATCTAGGTCCTTGATACCAACATTCAACTCCTGAGTCAATAAATTCTGAAGCCTCCTTTATGTCTGGATGACAAATTTGTGAGCTGATACACTTTTTTATTGATTAAAGTAGTGGAGGTTCATTTCTATTATCTGCAGCTAAAAGCCTCCTGGTATAAGTGCTTTGTGTTATCCTTCCAATTATTCTACATTTCACCATCACTTTCAAAGCAGTAATATTATACATTTCTAATTTGCATAACTTACTAGTTTTCAATTTTTTTACCCTAGTTAACACAAAGTCCTTGAAGTGAATATCATCTTTATTTTATTTTAGTAATAAGAAACTGGGGCTCAGAAAGTTTAGGTAACACAGTAGGAAATGATGAAACTGAAACAAGCAATCATGTCTATTTGATTGCTTTTTTCCTGTAAAGACAGTCATTAATGCTCTTCACCAAATGTTTTCATTTCTTCTGACACATGCCAAGATCGCACTTCCCCATCCTTTTGAAGTTACTTGCAGCCATGATAATTGCCCTGGCCCAATGCAATGTGAACAGGTAAAAGACATATTTTACTTCTGGGCCAAAGCTTCAAGAACCAGTGCATATTTTGTTGTCTTCTCTCTCTCTAATGCAGGTAACAGAAGTCCCATGAGCCTGGGTCCCACAAAGAGACATGGAGTGTAGCATCCAGCAATGTCGTTATAAACTTGTAGTGGGAATTAACAATACACATTTGTTGTTATAAACTAAGATTTGGTTATAAACCACTAAGCATAACCTAGCCACTGCTGACTGATTAATTCATAAAGTGGCTATATCACTTTGTGTTTTTAAGTGGCAATAATTTAACTCAGTTCTCTATTAGATACCTCAATTCCAAATATTTTTTTTTCTGAGAAATGTATGTAAATTTTATTCAGAAATAGTAAAGTTTTAAAAATGTTATTTCGATAGTTTCTGTGGAACAGGTGGTTTTTGGTTACATGGGGAAGTTCTTCAGTGGTGAGTTCTGAGATTTTGGTGCACTCATCACCCAAGCAGTGCACACTGTACCCAATGTGTAGTCTCATCCTTCAACCCTTGAGTCCTCAAAGTCCACTATATCATTCTTATGCCTTTGCATCTTCGCAGCTTAGCTCCCACTTACGAGTGAGAACATACAATATTTGGTTTTCCATTCTTGAGTTACTTCACTTAGAATAATGGTCTCCAACTCCATCTAGGTTGCTGCAAATGCCATTATTTCATTCCTTCTTATGGCTTAGTATTCCATAGTGCATATATATCACATTTTCTTTATCCACTCGTTGGCTGATGGGCAGAAATAATAAATTAATTAGCTAAAAATACATTTACATAGTCATCATCAAACCAGGTGTTCATTTAGGTTAATAAAACTGTAGTTCCTGATAGCTTTCTTTGAGACAAACAGACTTACATCAATTTTTCTCAACAATTGAATCCTAGGCATTCTCTGTGTATTTAAAAATGTTGCCTCAGTATGGAGAAGTTGTTAGGATGAAGTGCTAGTGCCTTATCTGAAAAGTATCTCCCTCCTCCCAGCAAGCCACTCTGTTGGGACTACATCCAGCGCAAAGGTCCAGAACAGAAGCAGCATGCAGGTGAACGTATGTTTAGGGTATTAGACAGGGGGAGATCGTCACCAGGTATCCAATATAGACAGAATCAGAGAACATGACATCACTTCTTTGAACCTCATTTTTCTCATCTGTAAAATGGAAATAATGTGTCTATTCAGAGTAGTTATAATAATTATTTGAAATAATGCATATAAGGTTTGTTGCATAATGCCTGGCATTTATTTAATAGTTGATATATTTTAATTTCTTTTATACATTCTCATTTTGTCAACTTGCTATTGTAAAAGTGTTTACTATTCATTATCCAATGGAAAAATATCACATATACCCAGAAAAAGATGTGAATATATTGATTGCTTTCTTTTCTCAGACATGATAAAAGTATACATTTTGAACTTATGAAGACTGAAAATCTTTGCTCTGAGTTTTTCCTTTGCGACTTTCTTAAGACTGTAACTGGTATATTTGGCAATAAAACTTCTGTTATCATTTAGGTTGCTTCATGATGCAAGTAAAAGAAAACTGGACTTAAATAAGAAAAGGATTTTTTTTTTTTTTTTTGGTTAACAGGTCTCAAGTGTGGCTGGCTTCGAGCAAGTCTTGATCCCAGGGGTTCCTGGTGTCATTGTAACCACCCAACGGGTTCATCTTGCCCGCTGCCCAGACAGTGGATTCATCAAGACAAAGGAATTGCAATAAAGAGTTTAATTCACACAGAGCTGGCTAAACAGGAGACCAGAGTTTTATTATTACTTAAAGCAGTCTCCTGAAAATTCAGAGACTGGGATTTTTAAAGGATAATTTGGGGGAGTAGGAGACCAGGGAGCGGGGAGAATTGATGGCTCTGGTGTGACATGAAATCATAGGGAGTTGAAACTGTCCTCTTGCACTGAGTCAGTTCTTGGGTGGGGGCTACAGGACTAGATGAGCCAGTTTATCCATCTGAGTGATGCCAGCTGATCCATGAGTGCGGGGTCTGAAAAACATCTTAAGCACCAATCTTGGGTTTTACAATAGTGATATTATCCTTAGGAACAATTGGGGAGGTTTAGAATCTTGTGGCCTCTAGCTGCATTATTCCTAAACTGTAATTTCTAATCTTGTGGCTAATTTGCTAGCCCTAAAAAGGCAGTCTGGTCCCCAGGCCAGAAAGGGGTTTGTTTTCAGAATGAGCTGTTATCATCTTTGTTTCAAAGTTACACTATAAACTAAGTTCCTTCCAGAGTTAGTTCTGCCTATGCCCAGGAATGAACAAGGACAGAGTTTAGAAGCAAGATGGAATTGGTTAGGTCAGATCTCTTTCACTGTCATAATTTTCTCAGTTGTAATTTTTGCAAAGGTGGTTTCATCACTAGGACTCTCTGTCTTCACTAAAAGTCTGTGTTGTCCATGTCAAGCATTATTCATTCAAAAATAAAGAGAGGAAGAAAAAAAAAGACTTCCCTTTTTCCTTAGAATCAGAAAATTAGTCTTGAATGACATCTATGGACTCTCTCAGTTGGAAATGAGGTCAAACTGACTTCCTTAAGGTCCTGTCTTAGTAACTCAAAATACTCAAAATAGAACTGAAACATAAACTTAGATTTTACTTCACTGCTCAGGGGAGGAACATAAGTGTTAACTAAACCCCCAAGGTAAGAAAGGTAGCAAGATAAATCACCCAAAGATCACAGAATGCCCAATCCATATACAGAATTGTGCTATTGTTATTGTCAAGAAATTTATCACCTTGTCATACAACACCAACACTGTTGAAATAGCTATTAAAACACTGTAGGAAGTGCTAAATTTTCACATAAATTTTAAATTTCAAGTGAACTCTTTGAAGGCAGAACCCAGTTTTATCTTTTATATAACAGGCACCCAATAAATGTTGGTTAATGGAATACAAATAACATTTGCAGCTGGTCACTTGTGAGGAAATTGTTTCCCACATTTTTCTCTAGAATTTTTAATTAACTATTACTATTAAACTGAGTCTACATGATGGAAAAGCTTGACTCTGGAGTTTTAGGTTGAGTTCCACTTTTACTAGCTGTGTGATCTTGGAACAGTTTATTAGTCTTCTAAATTACTGTTCCTTACTGTGGATAAGAGAATTCATGTGGATTACAATCAGAATTAAACCAGATAATGTCTACAAAAAGTTTTCTATGAACTATTTAAAAAGGTAAGGAATTATCACTCGAATGTATTCTGATTTAAACTGAATTGTGTTCGAATTGGCCTTGAGTGACGATTTGGCCTAGAAAGCCTATCTTCAGAACATCACACACACACAAAAATCCAATTACTTACAATGATTTTTTTGAGACGGAATCTCGCTCTGTCGCCCAGGCTGGAGTGCAGTGGCGCAATCTCGGCTCACTGCAGCCTCCGCCACTGGGTTCAAGCTATTCTCCCGCCTCAGCCTCCAAGTAGCTGGAATTACAGGCTCGCACCACCATGCCTGGCTAATTTCAAATTTTTAGTAGAGACGCGGTTTCCCCAGGCTGGTCTCAAAATCCTAGCCTCAAGCAATCCACCGACTCGGCCTCCCAAAGTATTGGGATTACAGGCGTAAGCCACCCCGCCTGGCCAGTGATCTTCCTAAACAGAAATCTGATCACATAACTTCCCATTACAGAGTCTAACCCTAACCCTGTGCCTACAACATAGTCAAACCTCTTTAGCAAGGCAGATGACCTCAAGCAGGATTTCACTGCCTCTTTGTCACAGCACTTAACAAGCTGTGATGTATTTATTTTTATTCGTCTACACAGGTCTTCCCTACTAGATTCTGAGTTTCAGAAGAAAGGCCTCTAACTCGAGGTTCATGAATGGACCTGCACAAGGGGGCGGACGGGCTGAAGTCCTGCCTTTTTTTTTTTCCAAAAAACCCGTATGCTGTGCCGTTAACGTTCATAAAAAAGTCCTTGTCGAACGTTTTAAACAGCCAAGGTGTTTCAGCTTTAATAAAAGCTGAAAATTTGGCAATACCAAACAGGTCACCAAGCCACAGTCCGCTTCTTGGCCTCCTCTTTGGTATCAGAGTTCGGCTAGCGGCTTCCTGTGGCCTCTTAAACAAGGACCTCATTTTGGGAGCCATTCGAGAGATTTTTTCTCATCATCTAAAGTAGCATTCTCGCCTTGCACAGCTGAAAGTCATTTCTCGAAATCGGAGCGCCAGAAGCGACAGGAGCCACTCCAGGCCCGGGGGAAGCGAGCAAAGGGGCAGCGGGCTGCGTTTGCCAACGTAGGCCTCTCGGGTCCCGCGCCGTTCTGGGCCTTCTCCGTGTTTCCGGCGCCGCCCTCGGGGTCCCTTACAGAGGGCGGGAGGCGGGTGGAGAGACGGGGCAGGAAGCAGGCGGGATCGGCCTGGGAAGAACCCGTTCTGGGACCCTCTAGAAATCCCAGACAGCCCTCCCGGGCTGACAGCGCCTGCCTTGGAGCCCGACGCGCTCATCGAATTTAGATTGACTCCTTCGGCTCTCCGTTTTCCTTCTCTAAGGGAAGGGTGGGACTTCCTATTTTATCTCTTAGCGGCTTCCGGCAAGAGCTGATGTGTTAAAAACAAGACAGCACATGGGCCTGCCGGCCACTCGGATAAAAAACAAGGAACTCGACCTGGATTGTACTAAACCAGTTCCAAGATTCTGTTTTTCGGCTGTGGCGTCCGGCGCTGCATCCACTACGGAGTCGCCTTGGAAGCCACCGGAAGTCCTTCGACGGAGAAACAGGATGTCCCGCCTCTTCCTCCCAAAGGGAAGACGGTGAGCCGGAGGAGTCAGTCAGAGGGGCGAGCAGGAGCGATTCCGTCGCCAAACAGGTAAGTTATTCTCTGGCCGGGGCGGGGGGTTTGGAGGCGGGGACCGTCCAGCGTCAGCGCGGGGCCTGGGGGCGGTGGCTTGAGGGCTCGAAGCCGGGCGGCTGGGCGCCCAGAGCCCCGTCTGGGCCCTTCGCTCTTTCTCCTCCCCCCTCCCCCCGCCTCCGCCCCTCCCTGTCGCCTTCCTTCCCGACACCCGCCCAGACTCACGCCCGGACACACACCCTCGCTCGTTCGCTCACGCTGCCTCGCCGCCCTCCTCCCCCAGGCCCCAGCTGCCGCCCTGCCCTCTCACCCGCTCGCTCCGCAGGCCGGTCCCGCGGGCAGCCTCGCTCCGCGCCCTTGCGCGAGCGGAGCTCTTGTGGACACCTCGGGGCTGCGGACCTAGCGTGGCCTCGGTTTCCCCTGCCGGGTTCGCCTGTCCGCGCAGAAACAGTCCCCCGTTCCTTCGGGACGCACCCCTGCACCGAAATCGGGCCGTTCTCGCGTGCCCGGGTTGCTCTCAAGTGGAAAACAGATGCTCCCCTAGCTGCACAGCTGCAAGCTTTAGCGTCTGGTTTCCAGCAGGGGCTCCCTGGACCGCCCGCCCACTCTCGTGTCACCCCCAGGTGCCCTGGCTGCGCCGCTGCTACTCGCGCCTTCTTCCGTTAAGCGACGCTGGTGTGGGCGGGCGGAGGGCACACAAGTGCGGTGGCCGAAAGCACCGCGGTGGCAGCGAAGGGTCCTAGCCATTCCCGACTTCAGCTCGCTTTGCGCCACTGCGGGGAGACCCGCGGCTGCCTGACACCGCTGCGGGCAGCAGTGGGTTTCTCAGTAGATGCTCACCTCTTTCCAGCCAGCTAGCACGCCCTGGGTGCTTGGCCTCCTTCTGGAGTTTAAGCTGGTGGAGGCGGGGTGCAGTGGCCGCTGACCTCTGTCGGTTGCGCTGGGTTTTGAGTAGCCATTTATTTCATTGGGGAGTTTTGGAATAGGACATCCCACATCCGTGGACACACATGTAGAATACTTTTATAAGTAATTACAGTCTTAATAGTGATTTGAGTTACAGCTTTGCAGTCTATGCCTGGTGACATCCTAGTCGTAGTATGTATCTGTTTTGTGGTGAAGTGCTGGTCCATTTAGAACACTGTAGACAGGGGCCCTAACATATACTCATCAGAACCTTATTAAGAAGAGCTTATATGTCATTTGGCATACTCACTGTGCTTCATTTAGTACAGCAATCTTGTGTAGTAGGAATTATTCCCTTTTTACAAACTGAGACTCACTTTGCTATATACAAAATTACTGCTACTGGTACAAGGTAAAGCTTTCTTCTTGCGTGACATGTAAGGCAGGTGTGATAATTGCTCACAACACAGTTGCTACTGGTGCATTTTTTTTTAAACTTTATTTCGGAATAAATTAAGATTTACAGAAAAGTTGCAAACAATAGGACAGTTCCATTGGTACCTTTTAAGCAGAGCAAAGTGGCTCCACTTCAAAAACACTGGTTCTTGCTTTATGCCAAACACCCTTCTAGGTGTTGGAAATAGTAATATACTTCCCTAGAGGATTTTGAGATCTGGTTGAATAGACACATAAATAAATATATATAATACCTTTTTCTGCTTACTAAAATAGAGATGTGGGAGCACAGTGGAAGTTACGGCTGATTGATGGTGGGGAGTGGTGAAAGCTTCTTGCAGGATATGTGATTTGAGATAGGTCTCAAGGACTAGTGGGTATTCACCTGGTTGAAGGGACATTTTCCCCAACATTCATTCCGATTAGGTTTGTTTTATTAGAGTAGAACTCGCTAATCTTAATAAAATATACTCTCCTAGTTTGATTCTTCTCTTTCTCATCTCCTTTAAGAAGGTGGTTTGTATCCCAGATAGTGAGAAGAAGCCTAGTTTCTAAATCTATGAATAGGCGAATAAATTAAGCTGTATGTTTCTAATTGATAGTTGTGACTCTTTCGACTGTAGTTGAGATTGGTTTTTTAGGAATGCACTGTGGTCCTCCACTGAGCGTTTTCCTTGCTTTCCAACTCTGATGACTAGTGGAATTAAGTAATGCATTCAGGAAACATTTACCGCATGCTTGCTTTGTGCCAGCCATTGCACTAGAGTAAAATGATGAACAAGATAGTGGGGAATATAGACAAGCAAATGCGCATTGGCAGTGCAGTCTGATGGCCTGCCCACAGAGTGTCACAGTGCCATTCATGATTCTTGGTTGTCAACCATGGCAATGGACTTGGCTGACTTAAGCAGAAAAGGAATTTATTGGAAGGCTATAGATGGCTTTCAGAATTGATGGGAAGGCTGGGGAACTGGATTCAGAAAATAGGCAGCAACCAAAAGAGGCTGGCTGGCTGGGGCCACATCCAAGGCAATATCACGTAAATAGCCTGCCTAGAATTTTGTTGCTGGTGACATTGCCACTGGAGAAACTGCCACCTCTGTTGCTGGACTGTTGACTCTCTTCTACCACTGAAAAATCTCTTATTGCTCCTGCATCTTTGTGACCTTTTTTGCCAAGCCACTGTAGTTGTCAGGGAGCAGAGAGATGGAGAGAGATGGTCTTTATCCCTCGCAAAGACCCACACCTCAAAGGAGTCCTACTAAATAGAAGGAAGCTTGGGCTGTGGGTAGCCCTAAAAGCAAAAATGTCCAGCATAACCACTGAACCTGGCAAGCTTAAAGAGGTTAGGGAGGAATACCAAGAGGGAATGGCGACCAGAGAATGAACAGGAACTCACTGGGCAAAGAGATAAAGAGCGGTTAGGGAATCCAGTTTTGGATAGAAGACTTCCAAGCGTCAAAAGGTAATGTGGAACATTTCAAGAATTAAAAGGTGTTTAGGATGGCTGGATCACGGAGTATAAGAGGAGGTGTGGAAAATAAGGCTGGAGAGGCCCTCTTGAAGAAATGTAGGCAGCATAGTGACATGTACACCCTTTTGCTTGTTTTAAGCACTTTGATTGCAACTACGGAGACCAGTTGGCATGGTGTAAGGCTAGGGGACAGGGATCTTTTAGAGGCTGTTGCATTTATAGTAGGTTAGACATCACAGAAGTCTGAACTAGGATAGTGGCCCAGAGGTAGGGGAAGTGAGTGGATTGTACATGCTCAGTTAGTGGAGTGGATTCGGGGATGGAGTAGGTGAGATGGACAAGTCAAGGTGGACACTGATGTGTCTGCTTCGGGTGACTGGGTGGAGCCTGGTGTTCCCTGTGTGGTGATGGAAGGTGAGCAGTTGCCCCAGTAAGATACTTCAGTGTGGGCTCATTTCTGTGAACACGTTGAGTGGGCAGTTGTATGGATGAGTCTGCAATCCCAGAGGACCACCAGCATCTCACTGCAGCCTTGGTTCCTTCAGTTAGTTGTGTGTGTGTGTGTGTGTATGTCTGTGTGTGTGTGTGTGTGTGTGTGTGTGTGTGTGTCCTTCACAAGATTATGGCAAGACCGGCCTTCATGTGTATGCATCCCAAGTCTCTTGGCATGATGTCTTACTCATAGAAGGGGGTGTTAGGCCATTCTTGCATTGCCTAAAATGGAGAGATAGCCAAGGCTGGGTAATATACAAAGAAAAGAGGTTTCACTGGCTCGCGGTTCTGCAGGCTCTACAGGAAGTGTGGCACTGGCATCTGCTGGGCTTCTGGTGAAGCCTCAGGAAGCTCTCCATCATGGCAGAAGGCAAACGGGGAGCTTGCATATCCCATGGCAAGAGCAGGAGCGAGAGAGTGGGGAGGTGCTATGCACTTTTAAATAGCCAGGTCACATGGGAACTCACTCACCATCTCAGGACAGCACCAAGCCATTCAGGAGGGACACCCCCGCCATAATTCAATCACTGCCCACCAGGCCCTACCTCCAACATTGGGGACTACATTTCAGCCTGAGATTTGGAGGGGATGCACATCCAAACTGTTTCGAGGGGAATCAGTAAATATTGTGGAATTTAATGGAGTATGAGTCATTTGGAGCAGAAAGGAAGTACAAAACATGTCCCTATACAATATATGCATACATATCTGTATACATAGCTACACCTACATATGTATCTTGCTTGCATCACTAGTGAGGGATCCACATCTGTATATATTTTTTGTAGTGGAAAGGCTTTTTGTTCTTATCAGTGTTGTCTTGTGACTAGAACATCTCCTTATGGTAATTATATGGGTAGATCATAATTGTACTAACTCCCTGCTTACTTGATTATCTTGCAATTCCAACTACCTGGAATAAAACCCAGAAATAGCCTTGCAAGAAGTTGATGGCGGTGTAGGAGTGTAAAGGAATTACAGCCTCCCTAAATAAAGTAAAATCTAGAACTTCTAGAATTGAGCACTGAAGGGAGAACCTTTTGCGGGAGAAGGTAGAGAGAGATGATGGTCTCCAACATTGTCTTCTTTAAGTGTCATTTTTCCTTTAGAGGATTATTGCTTTTATTCATACAGTAGTTTCCAGATATAATAATCCTGGTTTAACAGTTTGCTTCTCGAGTATAGCTGAGAAAACTGGACGTTTTCAAAGTATTAAGTACTTAGGGACAGTAAAAGGCAAATAAACATAGAATTCAGTGGTGGTAACAATAATAATGTTTTTGAGCTCTTTATATAAACACTGTGCCAGGTGCCTCTGTACATAATCTCATTTAATTCCCCCAAATCTTTTGAGGTATATACTACATTTTATTGATTTATGGGACACTCAAATTTAGGATAAATAGCTTGTGCAAGGCGACACAGCTATTAAATGGTAGAGCCAGGATTTGAACCAAGATGGTCTGACTTCCGAACCCCTATTTTTAGTCACTAAGTTACATTACCTTCTACAGTATTTTAGCATTGATTCATTCAACATTTTTTTTAGCTCCTCTTATGTCCAGTGTAGTCTGTGAGTTAGTAGAGATCCAGAAGGGTAGGATAAACACATTGCCCTGGTCCTGCTGGGAAACACATCCTGCACTGTGTGTGTGTGAGGGGAGTTGGGGGCAGGGAAAATGCCTCAGGGGGACTCCTACACTGACCCCTGAGCATGCCCAGGTGTGTGGGGACAGGGCATTCAGGAGAGAGCTGAGGCTCCCAGGCAGCCCGGCAGATCATGGGGCAGTGTAGCATTTGGAAGCAGGGGCCAAACTGCGAAGGGTCTTGAAGGCTGAGGTAATACTTGAAGAGTTTATTGTAAGGGCATTGGGGAGCCAGTAATAGGTTCATGCATTTGGTCATGTCTTAGCATTTATTTAAAGAAAGTTTTGAGTCCTGTAGCACTCACTGTGCTGCACAGATGCTATGAGAGTTGATGATAAGGAATCTTGCTTTAATTTGGAAGAAGGTTTAGGGAGACTTCTCAGAGGAAAGGAAGTCCCCCCTGCCCTTCAGTTATTTATTTAGTTGTTTACAATTGAAAAACCAATGCATGCACACAACGAAAAATTGCAAATAGTACAGTGATGCCTCAGACTCTAGGGCTGCTCTCCAGAGACAATCACTATTAACAGTTTCTTGAGTTTGAAAGTGCCCATTCTTTTAATGTGAGCAAAGCAAATGACAACAGTATCTTCTCTCTATGAAGCAGTTCTGACAGTAAAGCCCAACCATGTAAGGCAGGCCACGTAATCAGTACCTGAAAGGCACCTTTCATAAATTCTGTACCGAGGAAGTAGCTTAGGCTTAGGTCTCCTAGAAGCTCAGTCTGTTGGTGAGACACCATTGACGCCTGTGAAACAATAGATTCATTCCACATCTTTCTTTATTCTTAAGCATTTTTGTTTTTTTGGTAGTTGTTGGTTTTTGTTTTAACATTCAAGCACTGGAGAGAATAAGTTCTCCCTGATTTCAGGCACTTTTCCATAGGTAACCACTGTTAAGTAATTTCAGACTGAACAGGATGTCTTGATGAGCTTCCAGTGTTACCTCAACTATGTAATATTTTCTATTATGGATATATTAGCTTATTTAAACATTATCTTATTAGTGGACATTAAGGATTTCTGGCTTGGGTGATTTGATGGGTTGTAAAGCTATTTACTGCCATAAAGAACAAAGGAAAAAGGAGTAAGTTTGTGGGGGAAGTTGATGAGTGCATGTAACATCCAAATGGACTTAGGGGTCTGGTACCTACAGAGCTGTTGGCTAGAGATAAAAATTTAGGCATCATCATTAGTGGATGGGAATGAAAACCATGGAAGTTCACTTGGTCACTAAGGAAGAGGTGGATGAAGAGATAAGAGAGGTCACCTCCTCACAAAGTACAAGGTTTGATTCCATTGTAGCTCCTTTGCTTCTTGGGATTCAGGGAATTCCATGAAGTTCTTTAGATGGGTCCTTGCCTAGTTTTTCTCCTTGTTAGCTTTTGGTTTGCATCCGTGTGGCAAGTTCCCTTCTCCCTATCCCAGAAGCTTCCTCATGTGCATTTTGATCCTTTGCTTGTCTGCTATGTCCACCAGGGGTCTTAGGTTTAACTCACACTTCCCAGACCTCCATAGGCCACACTTGAACAGTCTGTGAAGAAGGGGAAGAACAAGAGCCACAGCTTGCCAGCCCAAAGTGTCAGATCTTCTCTCAGGGGTGGTCCTTGCAATTGTCTACACAGCTGTGCAGACACTGTCTTTCCAGGTGGCTGCTTCAGTGCAGGGACATGAGAGCCACATCATGGATGTAGACACAGCCTTATCTTTGAAATCTCATGCCCCATAGGGAGCAAGTGTTTTTGAACATTCCATAGGCTTAGCTTCTAGGATCCTTGGCAGAGGATAATAAATAAACACAGAATTCAATGGAAGTAACAATAATAATGTTTTTGAGTTCTTTATATAAACACTGTGCCAGATGCCTCTGTACATACATCATGTAATCCCCCCAAATCTTTTGAGGTATATACTACATTTTATTCATTTATGGGACACTCACCATGTGTAAGAGTCCTTGCATCCCAAGGGCACCCGAAGCATGGTGTCCCCATCAGATATTTATAGTTCATGCATAGTTCATCAAAGTCTGGATGCAGTTTACCAGTTGGGCCATTCTTACAGTAAGCAGTTTCGCTTAGTGGCATAGTTGACATTCTTACCCTTATTAGGTTACCAGAGGGAACAGAGCCAGATGGTTTAACTAACAGTCTAATTTTCATGTATCAGGGAAAGGGTTTTGTTAACCTTTTCACTCACCGTTTGCCACACCAAGAAAGAAATGGAGTGCATTCTCTTGATATTTGGGGTCTGCCTTCCCGGGGCCATTTCTAGGGTAAGAGACATTCCGGCGGTGACTTCAGTCTTGAAGAGCACCTCCTTCACCCCCAGCTACTTAGTGAGGTCTCCAGTCCATTTCCTAATCTTATAAGGACTGGGAAGCATGGGCCTTGCATCTGCTGTCTGCAGCTCCTAGCTGTGTGACTTCAGGTAAGTCTCTTCATCTCTCTGAGCCTCAGTAACTTCACTATGAAATGCGTATTATCTTGTAGCTTTTGTGTGAGTGCTAATTGGTGGAATGTGGATAAGTCTTCATCCAGGAGCTGACAAAGCCAGCCCTCACTCTGTTATAGCTGTTATCCAGCAGTGGTCAGAACAGTACTGCCCATGCCATGAATTAAGCACATAGCATAATACGGAGTTTGAAAAAAATAAAAAATTAAAAAATCAAAAAATCATAGGAAGTTTGTTTCCTCATACATAGCAGTTAAGGTTTTCTGTCCAGCACAGCAGTTGTTACCCTGAATCGTCAAGAAAATATGAAATTATATTCTATATACATGTTAAGAAAGTAGGGAATTATATAACTTTTTATAGGATTTCTATGAAAACCACATTTTTTTAAACTTAAAAAATTAACTTTATTATGAACCCAGTAAGATATAATTGTGGGACACACATTGGTATACTAGAAAGGTACGTCATTAACTAGCCAAACCAGCAAAAACCCAGCCCACGTCTGTGTGTGTTAGTGTTGGACTAGTGTGACAAGCAAGGAGATTCTAGTTCCTGGACCGTCGGTGGAGACTGCGGTCCTTGGGTTCTTCATCAGAGCTTTTCCTGACTTCCTAAGCCCGATGAAATTACCTGCAGAATAATATGTTTCTGTGAACTTTTGGAGAGGAAAGAGGCCATGGTTTCACGCCAAAGCGCCCTAACCCTTCAGATTGTCAGGGATCACTAGCGGCGGGCCTGGGCCTGGGCTTGATGTGGACATGAAGAGCTTTTCCAGAAAATAAATGAGAGCAGTTTAAGGAAACAGGTGAAAAACTTCTGGGAGATCATTTTTGTATTTAATAGCTACATGGTGATCTTAAAAATAAAATTTGGAAATCTGCTATGTGAAAAAAATGCAGCAATTGATTTGTAATGAGTTTCAGGTTGAAGCTCATCATGTGTGTAATGCTGAATTCTATCTGGAAAGGTGCTTTTTAGAACTATTATGAAGAAAATCTGGAAAGAACCAGTTTCTTATGACATAATGGAGATACCTACATTTATATATTTTTCAAAAAATATATTTTAAATATATTTTGAGTAGATACGGGGTCTTGCCCAGGCTGATCTCGAGCTCCTGGACTCAAGCAATGTCTCCTGCCTCAGCCTCCCAAAGTGCTGGGATTATAGGTGTGAGCCACTGCACCCAGCCTAGATCTAAACATGTAAAAATTCTTTGATTTTCATACTTGTTTTATTTCTTGTGATGTCATCACACATATTCTTTATGTGACGACACAGAGCACAGTCCTGAACTGTGGTGGAGTTTATTATGTCGGCACACCTGAGGAGACATTTGAGTGTCAGTTTTCTTGGAATTTTTGGAATTATTTCAAAGTAGACTTGATATAGAATTAAATAGGAGAAATGGTTAAATTAGAGTTTAGATGGCGTTAGCTAAAGCAAAGTAAATGCAATTTTATTTAAAATAGAAGAAATAATTTTAGATATATCCGGTGTAATTCAGAGACTAGTTGATGAGGAAATTTTACTTATTTCACTTTGATGAAAGAGAGAAACATCTGGTGAAATACTAGGGGTGGTCTTTTCACTTTCAGGCCTTAGAGGAATGACTGCTACCGTAGGGTTATCACCTTTTAGAGGGAATGAGGATTGTGGCAACCCTATTCCGACTCCTCATCGTCTACTAGGAAAGCTGTGCCCTACAGGAGGCAGGTGTTTCGTCAGTCTCAGAGATTAGTTGTAGAACAAGGATTAGAAGCAGGCCTCTTGATTCATGGCTGGTCTTTTTGCTCCTCCATTGGTGGTTCTCAATCCTAATGTGTATCGGAGTCACCCAGAGGGTTTGGGCATCAACCAGAAACTGGCTCAGCAGGCCAGGGCTGGGGCTCAAGAATCTGCATTTCTCACAGGTTCCCGGGGTGACTTTGCAGCTGCCAGTCCTGAGACCACACTTCTGTAGCCTCAGCATCACCTGATGTGGCGTTGATCTCTCAGGCCGCTTGTAAGAGGAGATTAAGTAAACCTTCCCAGGTTTATACCAGACTAACCTTTTCCCTAGTACTCGGATAATCTAGTTCTTTAATTTTATGTTAGAAAAAAGAAATGCACATAGTGATTAGATGGGGGAAAAAAAAAAAGAAATGGAGTATTTCTCACAGAGTCACTGTGGCATTTTCAGTCGTAAATTTGGAGCTAATTCTGTTTGTCACGACCACTGGCCATTGACGGGGCTGGGTTTGTGCTGTGAGGCCCAGTCTTAGCAACGTTTTCTGTGAAAGGGTGTCCAGATTGATTGCTAGAGTGTATAGGAGTGAAAAATTAGTTCTGGTTTTGTGACTCTGTACTTTTCTTTGTTATTTTGTGTACTTAAATAATCCCTTCTTATATATAAAAATCTCATCAGGCCCTAGCACACTTACATGCACATAGTAGATGACAAATAAATGAGTTGAAATGGATTAAAAGAGTAAGGGGGAAATAACATAGGTCATTTATCTGGAAAGACTTCAGTGCCCTGGAGAGTTACTCTGTTCTCTAGAGTATCCCAATCACAGGCTCTTCCTGAACAATTGTAATTTATTTATTCCAGCTTAATCCTTATTTGTAGTTATTGAACATTTTTAGCACAGAAGTTAGAGATAGCATATTTTTATGTTAGAGTCAATAATCCCTCCCTTTTGTCTTTTTATCTTTCATCTGAAATGACTTTTTAAAACTTTCTACTTTGAAATAATTTTAGAAAAAAGAATTGCAAAAATAGTCTAGAAAGTTCCTATGTATATACCTTTTGGCCAGCATCTCCTGTTGTTCTCATGTATCCATAATACAATCATTGAAACCAGGCAATTGGTAACAATTAATCTAAAACATTTATTTGAATTTAACCAATGGTTCCATTGATATCCTTTTTTTCTGGTCCAGGATCCAACCCAGTATCCCACATTGTATTTTGTTATGTCTCCTTGGTCTCTCCAGTCTGTGATAGTGTTCTTTTAGATTTCTTTTTTTTTTGGAAACAGAGTCTTGCTCTGTCACTCAGGCTGGAGTGCAGTGGCTCATCTCGGCTCACTGCAGTTTCCGCCTCCTGGTTCAAGCGATTCTTCTGCCTCGGCCTCCTGAGTTGCTGGGATTACAGGAGTGCACCACCACATCCGGCTAATTTTTGTGTTTTTGGTAGATACGTGGTTTCTCCATGTTGGCCAGGCGGGTCTTGAACTCCTAACCTCAAGTGATCCGCCTGCCTTGGCCTCTCAAAGTGCTGGGATTACAGGTGTAAGCCACCGCGCCTGGCCAGTTCCTTTAGATTGCTTTGTCTTTCATGACTTTGATACTTTTGAAGAATACTGGCCAGTTATTTTGTAGAATGTCCCTCAGTTTGGATTTGTCTGATGCTCTTTCTTGTTAAATTGAGGTTTAGGCATTTTTGGTGGGAATACTAGCACAGGGGTGAAATCATGTCCTTCTCAGTGCATCATATGAGGAGGTATGTGATATAGATATGTCTTCTTCTGGTGAACGTGAACTTTGATCTCTTGGTTGAGGTGATGACGTGTCAGGTTTTTGTACTGTGAGGTTAAACATTTTTTTCTTTGTGATTAATGACTCATTTTTTTTTTGATTTTGGTGCAGAAAGTTTGAAACAAATGAACATAATATCAGAATCTTTTGAGTTTGACTTTAACTGTGGGGTATTTCATATCTTGAGAAGGTTTGTTATTATTTATTAGAACCAAACATAGCAGGGGAGAGGTAAAGGCTTAAGCTGTTGGAAGTACATGCATTTGCTGATCTCCGTCAATCAATCAGTATTGAATTGGCAGCCGAGGAAGCTGTCCAGTTCTTTTGCTGTGGTTCTGCACTCTGTCTCACATTTGTCTTCCAGTGAATGACTTTCCCTACCTGTGCAGGGGGGATACATTCTTGAGAAATGCCTCTAGGTGATTTCATTGTTGTGTGAACATCACAGAGTATACAAACCTAGATGGTGCAGCCTGCTACACACCTGGGCTATATGGTGTGGTCTACCGCTCCTAGGCAACAAACCCATATAGCATGTTACTGTACTGAATGCTGTAGGCAATTGTAACTCAATGGTAAGTATTTTGTGTATCTAAATCTATCCAAACATAGAAAAGGTGCAGTAAAAATATGGTATAAAAGATAAAAAAAAGGTATACTTGTTTAGAGCACTTACCATGATGGAGCTTGTGGGACTGGAAGTTGCTCTGGGTGAGTCAGTGAGTGAGTGGTGAGAGAATGCGAAGGCCTAGGAGATTACACTTTTGTATAACTGGCAGTGTAGTAGGTTTGCTTACACCAGCATCACCACAAACGTGAGAAATGTGTTGTACTAAGACATTACAACAGCTAAATGATGTCACTAGGCAATAGGAATGTTTCAGCTCCGTTGTAATGATAGGGAACCATCATCATGTATGTGGTCCATTGTTGACCAAAACATCATTAGGTAGTGCATGACTGTGTTTCAGTTCATCAGAGGGTAGTCACCCTAAGTATCCTGTGGCTTATCCATTTGGTGGTTCCTAGAGCTGGGTAGGTATGTTTTATTTGTAGATCATGTGGATGACATTGCTGTATATATTATATATGCTTTATATAATATAAATTGTCTCTATTCTCAAAACACATATGCCTTTATTGTCCCAACCGGAGCACATTGGAAGAAACATATTGGATATATCCTTCACAGGCTTGTAAGCTTCTTGGAGGCAGGGAACAAGTCTCTTTTTGTTTTCCAGTGACTTGCTTGGGACCTGCAATACACAAGCCACTCATAAATATTTGATGAATAAATGAATACTATACGTGCATTTTGTTAGCTGCTTTTGCAAGTTACCAGAATTTTGTGAAATCTTTTCACATGATTGTGGAGCTGTGTAATCTAACAGTATTCAAGTAGATGGATTGCCACATTAGCTTTACTTTTAACCATCCCCCATTGTTGGATAGTAGGTTGTTTCCAGTTTTTCTCTACAGTTCATGGTGAACATCCTGAAACCCACATTTCCCCTCTCCCTCTCGGTCTCTCTTGTGCGTGCATGCGTGCAAGCAGCTTACCCTCCAGATAGGTAATTACCCATTTAGGTAATTACCATTTGAGGACGTTCGTTTTCCTGTACTTTCCCAATGCTTAACTCTTTAGTTTTTTAGAATAGGACTTAAATATTTTGGGACTTTTTTTTGTTTTATTTTGTTGAGAAGTCTCGTTCTTGTCCCCCAGGCTTGAGTGCAATGGCTCATCTCGGCTCACTGCAACCTCCGCCTCCCTGGCCCAAACAATTCTGCTGCCTCTGCCTCCCAAGCAGCTGGGATTAAGGTGCCCACTACCACACCGGGCTAATTTCTGCTTTTTTTTTAAGTAGAGATGGGGGTTTCACCATGTTGGCCAGGCTGGTCTCGAACCCCTCACCTCAGGTGATCCGCCCACCTCAGCCTCCCGAAGTGCTGATATTACAGGCATGAGCCACCACGCCCAGCCTATTTTGGGACATTTTTAAGGTTTCTTCCTGGGGTGTAGTAAGTGGGGATCATAGTCTGACTACAGTTTGCAAATAACCTTCCAAATGTTCATGTGAAATTTTCCAATTTTTTGTCTCAATGAGAGAGCAGAATAAACCTCAATGAAGTAATGGTTAACACCTAATGAATATTCCATCACTTTTGATATCCTCTCTAAAGTTACATGTGGTCCTTACCAAACAGGAAACTTCCTGAGGGTGGGGTATGTTTTTAATTCACATTACTCACAAAAATCAACCGCAGGTCAATTAAAGGCTTAAATATAGAAGGCAAAACTATGAAACTTTCAGAAGGCAATGCAGGACAGTAGTTGTATGACTCTGGTATAGGAAAGGGGTCTTAAAAAGATCACAGAGGGTGCAGACCATAAAGGAAAAGATCAATATGTTTGACAACACTAATGTTGATATAGCTTTTGTTTATTAAGAGAAACCATCAAGAAAGTGAACAGACAGGTCATAGGGAGAATAGACATATTCAGCACATATTACTAATAAAAGGTTAGTATCCAGCAGGGTGACTACAAATCAGTAAGAACAACAGAAAAGGGGACAAATGACCTAAGTAGGCATTTCACAGAAGAGGAAACTTGAATGCAAAAATGCTCAACTTCATTAGTAATTAGGGAAATGCAAATTAGGACCAAAATGATGTATAGTTTCTTACACATTAGATTGGCAACAATGTAAAAAGTCTGACAATATTGTTGGGAGGACAGGAAACAACTGGAATGCTTATATACAGCTGGTGGAAGTGATAGGCTGCCTTTGGGAGTATCTAGTAAAGTTGAGATACCTGTATCCTTTGACCCAGTAATTCCACTCAGTCTTTATCTTGGAGCAGTGGTTTCTGAATTGTTTCGCAGCATCATTTGGGAACTTGTTTGAAATGCAGATCTGGGGTCTCTGCTGTGGACCTACTGAATCAGCAACTTTAAGGATGGGCCAGGTTTCTGACTGTCAAGCCCTGTAGGGAATGTGATGCTAAAATATGAAAGGTATTACCCTAGAGAAACTCATGCGCATGAGTGCCTGGAGACATGTGCAAGGATGCTCACAGTCACGCTCTTTGTAAGAGGAAAGACTGGGAGCAATGTCCATCAGAGGAGAACAGATGCCTGCATTGTATCATATTCCCATAGTGAAGTCCCGTACAGTAGTGAGATTGAGTGAATGTTAGCTGCATTCATCACCAAGGATAATACGCAGCTGGAACATAATCTCAAGGGGGAAAAAAGCTACTTGTAGAAGAATACACAGTTTTTTCCCTTTTTTTAAAGTTTAGAAACATGCAAAAACAAAATTGTAGATTGTTAGAAATATGGATATGATAAAGTAATAAAGAAAAACAAGTGATACATGCAAGACTCAAGTCGGTGGATAACTGTATAAGAAGGAAGGTGATGGGAACACAGAGGGACAAATTATCAGAGATAATTTGTTTTTCTTGAAGTATTATCTGCACTCAGGATTTTGTTATATTTTGCACAACACCTTTACACATATTAAAAGTTTTTTGTATATACCAAATATCTCAAAAACAAACATGATTTTTTATTTTGCATACTCTACGTAGGGACTTTTCTGTTTGTGTGAAAAAGATTTGATGGAGATGGAGAGACAGGTTCTTGGAGGAATGTGATAGAACTTAACTCTTCAGTTGACCTCCTGTAAAGACTCAGGTGTAGAGATATGAAAAAGAAGACTGGATTCGATGATAATTATTAATACTTACTGAGCACCTACTGTGTGCCAGGCACTGATATGAACACGTGACATACCGAGTTTATATGCCATTAAATGAATGAAGATTGCATCTTGCAGTGACTCTGTGGGGTAGGCGTTATTAATAAGTGTTATCCTTGCTTTGCGGAAGAGGCACCTTGCCCATGGGCACAGAGAGATCAGGCACAGAAGGGAGTCTGACTGAGTCACTGCCATGCAGGGTCAGAGGAAGAAGACAAGCTTAGGCAAAAATAGTATGTCTGAGAGAGACAGAGGGAAGAAAACAAAAATCAAGGCAGAAATGGGAGTGTGGAAGAAGACTGGTAAATGTTTATTTACGTCCTTTTTTAAAAATCTTAGTAAGTTTTTTTTAAACTAGCATACATGACTTTATCATTCTAGGAGATTACTAGCCCTTAAAAGTATAAGAAGTAGTTAATCACATTTTGATTTTAGTTCTTGAATATTGAGTCTAAGTGACTTCTAAGGAGTGCATCTTTCAGTTCATTAGAAAGTGGTAGTGTCCTCCCACAAGATTCTGGAAATCATACTTCTTTGCTTAGGCAATTTCTTGCTAAAAAGCAGGGGCACATTTGGGGAATCAACGTTTGCCTATTTTTTCTAACCTTTTATAACTTTGTTTTCTTTTGTCATATTTATCTTATATTATGGGACTTTTTCTTAGATCAGTGTTGCTTCTACTGTAAACCTTAAGCCATCATATTATAGTCACTCCTTGAACTTAACATGTATAGGAAAAACAAAAAGATGACTCTAGAAGTCAAATTACCTCTCCTGTGAAGCCAAACAGCACTGCTGTTTTTCTTTGATACTGAGTGCTGAAATTGTCAAAACCATGAGAACTGTCAAGCATTTGTAGTTATGTAATGTCATGCTTTCTAGTAGAATCGGCACCTCACTTAGAAGTTGACAGCCCATGAGACTCCTTCTGTGGCAAGGATGCCTGCATTTCAGACACATGTAGTACTTGTAGGAGATCCCTTATGGGGAAATACAGAACATAGGTTTCTTAAACAGATTTGAGGCACTTTAGCTCTTCTAGTTTCAGTTACATTTTGCTAAATTTAGCAAATCCAAATTTTAATTCTCAGTGCTTTTTGGTGTGTTTGATGTTCATACTTCTCTTTAATTTTCCTTTTTATGCTGTGCTTTTCTCCCCCATTAAACAAATCCACATAGTTGTTTTAAAGAAAAACAAATAAGGTAATAAGAAGCCTAATAGGGAAAAGAATTGTTTAACATAGTTGGAGTAATGCCAGTCTAACCATCAAATGTAACCAAAGCCCAGCAGGCTTTACAGTTATTGAATATAATGGCAACTTCATGTTTTAGACCTAGAACAAACAACAGACTTTTTCTTTGGGAGTGTGTAATTCACTTGTGATTTCTGCTGGTCATGAATTATGGATCAGAGTTTGATATATGATTATTGGATCACTTATAAAATGAGGAATAGCAGTTACAGGAGTGCATGTTAATTTGAAATATAATTTTAAAACCATTATAATTCAATGGTTACTACTAAGGTAGTAATGTACTTTTAAAAATAGCTTAGAAAGAAAAGTAAGTAGAAATTACAGTTTCCAAAAAGGGGATCAAATAATTTTTATTAAGAATCTTCAGGGTACAAAATCTGATTTTCAATATGGGTGGTGTTCTACTGTATTTCACTGTAACAACCTAGGATTTCAAGATGGTAGGTCAGAGCTATGTTTGCTAAAAGTGGCATTCAGAATAATTTTATGTGGCAAATTATGATGGAGGTCAATGTGTTTGGAGTCCCTGTGTGACAGCCGTATTACGTACAGTGCATGCATGCTTTTTCCTGATTCACTTATCACTTCCCACACTCTCCTTTTCTTCACCTCAGCACTGTGTCTGGTAAATTTGCATTCAGTGGATATTCGTTTTTTTTTGAAGAGTTATGAGAGATTTTAGTCCAGTGGTTCCCAAAACTGGCTCATCAGAATCATCCAGGGAATTCTTTAAAAGTACAGATTTTTTGTCCCTATCCCAAACTTTCTTAATCAGAATCTTTGACGAGTAAGACCTAGAGATTTCATATTTTTGATGATTAGCTAGATTTATAAATGATTGGCATTGTCTGTAATTCTCTTGTTTTACAAATGTGGAAGTAATAGCACTAGGGATGCTTTTCCAGTTGCATTTCTGAGAAAAAGGTTTTCATAAGTCTTGTAAAGGCTAAAAGCCTTCATGAATGGCAGAATGACAAGCAACATGATCATTTTTGGAATGATGTGTGGCAGAGATGGCTAGCTCTCCACCCACTTCATTTCTTCCCTTTGCACAATTCCAGGTTATGTTTTGCAGACTCCCTTGCAGCTAAGCAGATATGAGTGGAAGTGATAGATGCCACTTAAGCATCAAGGCTTTTAAGGGGCCATGAGCCAGCTGCCTCTTCCATGCTTACTTTCTTCTGTCAGCTGGATGCAGGGAATGAGAAAGCTCAAAGACAGAGCTTCAAGGTGGAAGGAGCCAGGATCTCTAGATCACAGCCTGGAGCAGAATGTTTGCTGACCAGGAATACCTGCCTTTTCAAGAGTGAGATAAAAACTTTTATCACAGGCTGGGCGCGGTGGCTTACGCCTGTAATCCCAGCACTTTGGGAGGCCGAGGTGGGCAGATCACGAGGTCAAGAGATCGAGACCATCCTGGCCAACATAGTGAAACTCCATCTCTACTAAAAATACAAAAATTAGCTGCTTGTGGTGGCGCACGCCTGTAGTCCCAGCTACTCGGGAGGCTGAGACAGGAGAATTGCTTGAACCCGGGGGGCAGAGGTTGCAGTGAGCCAAGATCATGCCACTGCACTCCAGCCTGGCGACAGAGTGAGACTCCGTCTTAAAAAAACTTTTATCACGTTTGAGCTGTTTTAAAGTTAACATATTCTAGCAGTTGTAAGTGAGGGCATTAAATTCTTGTTGGGTTGGTTCTAGCACTGTATCCAAATCTAAAAGGAATGGCAGATTATGGATTTGAAGAAAATTTATATTCTGCAGTTTTCCTTCTCCACATATAACATTTCTGTTTTCTGTTCTTCATGATTTAGAAGAGTAATATTACAGTTAGGACATTTTATGAGACTGCAATATTTGCTTAGTCCCATAGTCTGAAGGGGGCCACTGTTCATGTGTGAAAATAAGTAATTGAAGACTTGTGATCCCATCTGTGAAAGGTTGCCAGCAATGGGGAAAGAACTGTTGTTGTTGTTTTTTTTTTTAAGATGGAGTTTCATTCTTTTTGTCCGGGCTGGAGTGCAATGGCATGATCTCGGCTCACTGCAGCTTCCGCCTCCCGGGTTCAAGTGATTTTCCTGCCTCAGCCTCCCTAGTAGCTGGGATTACAGGCATGAGCCACCAAGCCCAGCCCCTATTATAGTTTTAATTGTTTACATTTTAATGGGACAGGAGGAACAGTTATCTTTTGTCAATGGGTGATTGTTACTGGTGAATTCAGCATACATTAACCAGTTTTGCCAGTAATGGGAAAAAACCCCATGCACTTCTTTCATACGTGACATTCTGTTTGTATCTGTCACCCAGGACTCTGTTTTAAGACTGGTATGGGCACCACAGTGGACAGGAATTGACAGAAAGATTCAAGTGGCAAAGGAGTTTGAAACTTCTTAGTACAGAGACATAGCTGTACTAGGAAAGGTATAATTTTCAGTAAACCTTCAGTTGAAGATAAAGCTTTTTGGATTCTTGGATGTCTTCATGGTGACTAAGAACTGCTAAGTGGAGTAAAGGTTTTGTCAGGTCTAAGAAAACCTTTGTCGTTTTTATGGAGGTTTATATTCTTTTGACCCTTCTGACAGTTTCTAGAGATGTTGTAGAGGTCTTTGTAAGTCACATGTACAAAACCAGCCCACTCCCTCCACCCCTGTACCCGCATTCTGATTGTTGTTTTTTCACTTTTTATTTGGAAGTGATTTGAAATTTATTAAAAAAATGCACAAACAAAACTAGAAAATGTTTCTAGGACACCTGTATAACCTTCATCCTGAGTCATCTGTTGCAATGTTTACCCATTTGCTTTGTTGTTTCCTCTCACTCTTGCTCATTCATGTCCACGCTCTCTTGCCTACCACACACATCCATATCCACACACCACACACATCCATATCCACGCACCATACACATCCATATCCACACACCACACGCATCCATATCCACGCACCACACGCATCCATATCCACACACCACACGCATCCATATCCACACACCACACACATCCATATCCACACACATCCATATCCACGCACCATACACATCCATATCCACACACCACACGCATCCATATCCACGCACCACACACATCCATATCCACGCACCACACGCATCCATATCCACACACCACACATATCCATATCCACACAGCACACACATCCATATCCACACACATCCATATCCACACACATCCATATCCATGCACCAACACATCCATATCCACACACCACACACATCCATATCCACACACCACACACATCCATATCCACGCACCACACACATCCATATCCACACACATCGACACACTTTACTTTTTCTCCTGAACCACTGAGAGTCATTTAAATGCATTGTGACCCTTTACCCATAAACACTCAGTCTGTATCATCTAAGAATAGGGATTTTTCTCTTACGTGACTGTGGTGCTATTTTCAGTTTTATAAATTTACGTTGGTGCTTTTTATCAGTTGGCCTAAAATGTCCTCAATAGCATTTTCCTCCTGCCAGCACAGGGTCCAGTCTGAGAACAGGCACTGCAATTCATGTATCTTTAGCCTTCTTTAATCAGGAATATTTTTGTATGAAGCCTTTCTTTATATACTTTTATAAAGCCTTTCTCTGTCTTTTATGACATTTTTGAAGACTGCAGTTCCCTCCACCTTTTTTCTTTCCTCTTTAAACAATACATTCCTCTTTTTGTATTGTCCACTGTTTCCTCTTCATTAGCTGGAGGTTTTGTTGGCTGCAGTAATGACCAGGTGATGTCATGCCCTTCTCAGGGGGTCACGTCTGGAGACACACTGTGTCCATCTGCTCTTCATTGAGGATGTTGATTTTGATCATACAGGCAAGGTGTTGCCAGTTTATCCACTGGACAGTTACTGAGATTGTTTTTCCCTTGTAACTAATAAGCAGGTTATGGGGAGATGCTTTAACACCATGCAGACATTTGGCTGCAAATCTAAAACGCCCCCCCTAGATTTGGTATTCCTTGATGATTCTTGCTTGATATGGTCTTTGCCAGTATGCTTTTCTATCTCCAGCACTCCCTCCATTTTTACCAGTTGCCCCTCAGCCTTCTGCTACAAACAGAGCCATCCTTTTGCTCCTCTCTCCCCACTCCTCTCTCCGTCCATCTCTCCATCTGCCTGTCTATCATTCAGTCATTGAACTGGGCTTACTCATTCCTACTTGTAATGGTTTAATGGGACCGCATTATTTGGGTGCTCCAATTGTCCGAGATTTGGTCAGGGGAAGCCCCTTCAAGCTGGCTCCTGTGTCTTTGTGCTTTCTTTTTTTTCTTTAAAGCATTTCCCTACTTTCTGCCGTAAGATGCTCCAAGCTTACCTTGTGCCAACCTTGCCCCAGACCTGGAATCAGCCATTTCTTGAGACTCCCAGTGGGCTTTCAGTTGGGCATAGTACTAAAGACCAAGTTCTCCATGCCGGGTGTGCTCCTTGTTAACTGGCCATCCTTTCTGCAACTTCCCAGTCACCCATTCTTGAGTATTTAATGTGAGGTCCAGCGAACCATAGGTAACTTTCTTGGTGCAGATGAGTGTTTGACCAAATTTGAATCCCAAGTGTCTCTGAC
Organism: Homo sapiens; assembly: GCF_000001405.40. Lineage (NCBI taxonomy): Eukaryota > Metazoa > Chordata > Mammalia > Primates > Hominidae > Homo > Homo sapiens. Next base: position 74,618,480 of record NC_000018.10, read on the forward strand.
TGTTAAAACAAGTCACCTTCTGATGTTCATTTGTGGAGTTCTGATTCTGAGTTTAGTCTGAGGGCCTCAATCATAAATGTATTTCCATCTAAGGGCTGGCTTTTTTTAAAAAACAAAAAATGAGGTAGTCATTATTCTCCATTGCTTCAATAACGTTTAGAGATGTTTTTTAAAGCTTCCCATTCAGTCACCTCTTCCCCGCAAAGTAATATATTTTGGAAAGTATAGAAAAGTGCCAAGAAGAGGAGGAAAAGATTACCTACAATTTCACCATGCAGAGGAAAAAAACTATTAACCTTATTATACAAATGGACTTGGATAGAACTATATCCATTAAAAAATGTAATACTTAAGTTTTTCTCTTTTCTAAATATACTTAAAACTCAGATCCTTGATACCTAATAATTTATGTTCCATATGTCTTGAGGCTTGATAGTTTTATATCATATGTTAGCTTATTGGCATATAGAATTACAGTGTTTCTCAGATTTTGTCCAAAATTAGTAGTTTTTGTCTTTTATCCCCTGCAGTTCTTTGATTAGTTGTCGTATTTCATCTCTTCTCATGGACCCAGTGAATCTAAGCAAGAACAGTGGTTTATTTTCCCCAGATTTACGTTTTGGAAGTACTATTTTTTTCCCTGTATTTCCTGGAACAAAACCCAAATCCATTATTAAGATACTTTTTTCTACTTTTTGAGTGTTCAACAACTCCTTAATATTGGAAAGATATTTTCTCATTGAACTGAGGAATCTTAGTCCCTAAAACTGTACAAACAAGGAAACCAAGGCTCAGCCAAGTTTTGTGAGTTGCCCTGTGTCCTACAGCTTATTGGTCCAGTTGGAATGAAAACCATGGCTTGCTTACTGAAGCTTAATGTTCTTTTTCAAAAGTGTTAAACATTTTCACTGTAAATTTATTATATGTTTCTTTAATTTTATTCTCCTAATTCTCTTTGCTTTCCTTGACATTCATATGTTATATGCTTTATCCTCTTGCCTTTTGAAAAAGATGAAAGGAAAATTTAAGGAACATATACTAACTTTTATCTTGGAATGCCTTTTTTATGGCTGCTTTATAAATTCTTGAAAATAAAGGGTCTAATGGAAAACTTAATGAGAAAGGAGGGGCTCTATCACATGTCACCTCCCCCACCTTTTTTAGTGAATAGACCGTTTAAACTAAATTAAGTAAAGGATATAAATTCTGTTGTTTCAGTTTTAATATTTCATGACTGATTTTATAGATGAAATTATATTTTACAATAAATAGGAAGAAGAATTTATACAGCCTGTTCTATTTGATGTGAAACAGCAAATCCCATTTCTCTGTAGCTGTAAAGAAAATTCATTATAATGTCTTTAGTTGTACGAGATGGTTTCATCGTGATTAGTTACATTGATAATAAAACAACCTTTTTCAAATGGCATAAGATACAAACGATCCTAGGTGTCTGCTTTTAATGGCATTGAATTTTTTCACTTTCTGCTTAACTCGTAGAATTGCCATTCCTTTCCTTTGTCCCCTTTTTTCTATCCCAATAATTAAAAAAAAAAAACCCAGACAATTAGATGGAAATGCCAATAAAGCATTGGTTTTAAAAATATTTTTTGAGTGGAGAATATATTACATTTTAGTTTTTTTATGTAAATATCTCTGACTACAAAAGATATATTTGTCAGAGATGGTTGATATAAGGTTGTCATACAGTTAATTTTATTACTGGATCAATTTAATATATTTGGAAAATAGTACTTGGAGTATAGGAAGGTTTTGAAAAAAGAAATTGCCAGGTGAGATGGCTGTGCTGATTTTGCAGGCCAAATTTGATTTGTTGTTTTATAAAGCTGTTAGTACATCTGCATGAAGAGTGCTGGCTGGGTGGAAGTCTTTGATAATGAAAGGAATGCTGGTCTCCCGTTCTGTTTTAGCCACTATGGCTTGATCCCTGTCAGGATGGACTTCTGGTGATTGTTTAGCTCTCATTTTGAGCATTAAGGAAATATTTTAATAACCCGCAGGCAAAATTGAATTGGATGTTTGAAATATAACATGTGTGTCCTCTGGAATAGAAACGATATTCTATTCCGACATGAGTGAGAATTTTACTATACTCTGACCACTTGGGCATGGGAGCACGTAGTTCTAGCCTGTTTGCCTTCCAGGTAGGTACCTTTGCAGTCTGCCTGGAGAAAGTTCTTTGTAGGGTCAGGCTACATGTGGCATGCAGGAAACTTTGGAGGTGGGACTTGCTCAGGTCCACATCCGATGACCAGAGGCCCCTAAGCTTGAAGGCCTCCTGCCAGGTGAAGGTGCTAGGCTTCTGTAGCATAAGTGGCCAGAGAACTGGGACTCATTCGGCTCCGATGACCTGTGGCTCTACGTGTGTGTACTGTGTAGGTTTGGGGTTATGGCTGTGAGAATTGTAGGCTGCTGAAATGTCTGAGCCAAGCTGGCAAGGAACACATGATCAGTTACCTCCGAGGCAGGCCCCTTGCTAAGTAGATTCTAGGGGTCTATTCAACGAATGCCTCCATCCAAAATGAGCGGATTTTTCAGGAAACGTTAAGATATTTCTCCATTTCCATATAAATCTAAATTTAAAACTCGCTCTACTGTATCTCTTTATTATTATTATTTTTTAATGTTTAATTTTGTGGGTACATAGCAGGTGTGTATATTTATGGGGTACATGAGATGTTTTGGTACAGGCAAGCAATGAGTAATAACTATATCATTTGTAAAATGGGGTATTCATCCCCTGAAGCAATAGGTAATTCCTTTAGGAGTTACCTATTGCTACATAACAAATTTGGCCAAAACATAGTTGCTTAAAGCAATAAGCATTTATCATCTCTCAGTGTCTGTGGATGAGGAATTGGAGGGTGGGCTTGCCTGGGTGCTTCTGGCTCCGGGTCTGTCCTGTGGCTGCAGGTAGGATGTTGTGGGGGTTGCTGTCCTCTGAAGGCTTACCTCAAGCTGGAGGATCTGCTACCGAGACAACTCACTGCCCTCTGGCTGTGGGCAGCAGCCCCCAGCTCCTCACTGGCTCTGAGTCGGAGGCCTCATTTCCTTCCCCCATGGGCCTCCCCACAGCTGCTTAAATGTCCCTGCTACATGGTACTGGCTTGCACTGGACAGAGTGACCCTAGGGGAGGGCATGCAGGAAGCACAGGGTCTCTTAGAACTTCGTCTCCAGCATGCAGCATCCTCACTTCCACTATTTTCTGTCCCTTACAAACAGCTCCGTACTCAAGAGGAGGGGAATTGGGCTCCATCCTTTAAAGGGAATGTCAAAAGAACTCATTTAAACCACCGAAGGCATTTTCCTGGGTAGGGAAATAAACAATTTTACAAACATGTAAATTAGGAATGCAAGGTAGCCTGGTCTCAGGACTGTGAGGACGTGGGTTTCCTGGACCCCAGTGTTTATGTGCTAGTCCTCTTGTGAGGAAGACAGACCCTATTACATCTACACGTGGTGAAATTGCCTCCACTGTTATCTAGTGAATGGTTTTTTAGGGTGTTGTATACTCTCTTCTCGTGGATGAGTTTGTACAACTTGCAGTTGTAAACCTTTTCATGGAAGAGTGTTTTTTTTTCCTTCATAGGATCAGATACTTGATTTTGTGGTCTTTGTTATGAATGGATGTTTCTGCCGGGAGGAGACTGGTGAGGAGAGGGTGGAGTGCAGCGCCCTTTAGTTACCCTCAGATTGTGCACATGGGGTTTCGTGACTACAACTAATACTAAGCTGCCTTTATGCATGGACTTGATGGCTCTATTAAATGAGGTAATACCATAAGGGCAAGACACATTTTCAACAGGAAGTCAGCTGACGTGACAGATGAAGAAAGAGATGCGAGTGGCCCCCTAGTTTCTATTGCCTCTTACCTTGCGCAGCCATTGCCCTTGCAGCTCGCAGGGGGCTTGTGGGCAGCCCTGCCTGTCCGGCCTTGCCCTGCGAGGAGCAGGGAATCCAGTTCTGCTGGAGGGCGGTCATCACTTCTGGATTCGTCCTTTTTTTTTGTACTCCCCAAAGAGAAAGAACAAAAGACCACTAGATGTTTTCATACACGCGTGTGTATGCACACCTGCCTTGTCACACGTACCCCTCAGTGAAGTTACTGTGGGCCTGGTGACAATGTCACACTGCCTGCATGACGAATTTGGGTGAATCTAGGAAGGGCGAAGGGTGTGATGGGGCTGGATGGGAGAGGATGGGTTCTTTATGGCATCACCATAGTGGTGTGTGTCTGTGAGTGTGTGTGTGAATGAATATTTGTGTGTGAGAGTGCGCGTGTCATTGTGTCTGTGTCTGAATTTGTGAATATGTCTGAATGTGAGTACGTGTGAGTGTGTATCTGAATGAGTGTGTGGGTGTGCAAATGCATGTGTGTCAGCCTACAAGTGCGTGTCTGTTTTAGTGTGTGAATGTCAGTATCTGTGAATGTGTGTGTATATATCTGTGTGTCAGTGTATCTGAGTGCGTGTGTCAGTGTGAATGTGAGTCCGTGTGTCTGTTAGTCTGAATGTGAGTTGGTGTGTGAGTGCATGTGTGTGTGAATGAGTGCATGTGAGTGAAGATATGTGTGTATCTGTATCAGTGTGTGAGTGCGTGTGTATCTGAGTGCGTGTCAGTGTGACTGTGTGTGTGTCCGTGTGAATGTGTGAGTGCGTGTGTGTGTACGTGTGAATGTGAATCCGTGTGTGTCTGTATGTCTGTGAATATGTGACTGCGTGTGTGAGTGCGGGTGTTAGTGTGTGTGCATGTGAGTGTGTGTGTGCATGAGTGTGAGACTGCGTGTTTGAGTGCAAGTGTGAGTGCGTGAGGGTAAGTGCATGTGTGAAACTGCATGTGTGAGTGTGAGTGCGCGTGTGCGTCTGTGACTTTGGGTGTGTGCACATGAGGGCGGCAGAGCGAGAGCTGCAGCTCGCTTCGTAGATACTCTTTAGGAGGGAGAAAGGCAGAGAGAGAAATGAGAGATTGAAATGAGTGAAAAGTGGAACAAAAGGATGAAAATGAAGGGAAAAATGTCATGCATGCCGCCCTAGCGTGTGAAATGGTTTCATTTGACTGAAATAATTGTTTCTCAAATTCTTCCCGAAATGCCTTCTTTGATATGCAGAAAGAAACGTCCTGTGAGAAGCGGCCAGCAGGTGTCATCAGAAGGCTGCGCTTGATTTATTATTGTTCTCAAAAAGTATTTTAATTTCTTTATTGAAACTTTTTTTTTTCTTTTAAATCATAGGCAGAGAACGATTTCAGTTTGAGCATGGACTTTGTTTTGTGACAGTTTCTGGGTGAATTAATAATTTATAGGTAGAAATGAAGATAATAAAGCTACATGGAGCTTATGTTGACAGTCAAGGAACAACTGCTTGAGTGTTTGGGTAAGATGGATACTTGGGGAATCTTGGTGGCACAGTGAAGAGATGTGTGGAAAGGGAATTGATGATTTGAATAGGAAACGTAATGCTTGAAGAAGACTGGGTTTAATAACACATCCATTATTTTAGTCTAGATACTTGCCAGGTCTTCTCAATCTTGAAACCTTACTGTGGGAAGAAATCTGAGGCTCATTCTACTTCTCCACTGGGTTACAAGCACTGGTACTTTGAGAGGGAAAGGAGATCACGCCTTCCTCTGAGAGCTGGCAGTCAGTGAGTCTTCTGCCTGTTTTCGCTTTGTTCCGGGGAGAGCCAGAGGGGCTTTCTGGTTCATGATAAGCTTTCAGTTCATGTTTGTTGAGTGAATGACATGAAATCTGCCTCAGAAAAATGAGGCCTTAAACTGTCCCAATTGGATGATTTTTGAATTCTTCTTTAAAAAAGACCCGTTCCGGCTCTGTTGGTAATATGCTACTTGTTCTAGTAACCTTTCCCAGTGAACTAAAAACAACTTTTACATCAGCATAAACTTTCTCACCTGCTGAATCCCTTCTAGATGGCTTTGAGATACCTATTAAACCACTCTGCATCCCTGCTTACTGATGTCATTCTAGTTCTGGACCGTATTACTTAAACTCTTACACTGAGCTCTTTCTGCCTTTAGATTGTCTCTGCCTTCAGTATGTCTTGCGTCTTGAAAAGTTAATCTTCCTAAAGCAGGGCTGTGTCTCAGTGACTCCCTACTGGCACCAATGAATAAAATCCAGCTCTTAATATGGAGCCTTCTGTGATCTGGACCTGGTCGACCAGCTGCCAGTTTTCTAAGTCAGTCTGTGGTAGAAAGCCAGTGCCGTGGCCCTCTGGATGGCTGAGAGCTTTCTTACGTGCTCGTGGTTTGTGTTTTAGGGCTTTGCCAGATCGCTGCCTTCTCCTTGAGATATTTAACTGTTCCTACTTGCCCCCTCAACAAACGACAAACAGTTTTAATTTCCTCAAGGTTAGGCTCAAATGATATTTTTGCTATCTGAGTTAAATATTCTGCTTGGGAGTATGATTCCTTGCTCACGTATACTCTGTAGATCTTAGTTTGCATTGTGCACATGATCATGTATGGCCTTGTATTGAGGTCCTTGGTGTGTATGTCATGTGGCCCCCACAGAATCTTACCCCAATGCATGAGTACATTTGTATGACTACAGTTCCTTTCATGTGGTAGCATTCAATATTTATTTGTTGAATGTTTGTTGTTATTTCTTGATATAGTGAGATATTGGGTTATTTCATTAATTTAGAAATTCAGTTGTGAAATAACAAATGTGGAAACTTTTTTCCTTTTGTTTTAGAATTCTTGGAGCCATTATTTAGAAGATTAAGGCTCTCATTATTTTGCTTCTTAGTTGTCATTCTTTTTGTCTGTAAAAATATGAGTCAGATGCCCTCAACAGAGTGTTCGCTCTAAGCAAATGTGTGTGTGTGTGTGTGTGTGCCTGTGTATGTGCGTACGTATGTATGTCTTCCCTAAGTAATGTGGTGGTGTGTGTTCCCTTTATGTATTTGGAAAGTGGAACTCCTGCTGGTGCCTAGTGAAAGGGACAGTCGTGCACTGCAGCAGTGTTTGCAGATGAAGACGTGGTAGACTGGGCATGGAAAGGGAGTTCCTGCTGTTTTAGACTAAGCATTAAAATGTTTTTAAGCAGAACTTCTGTTACAGATTTTTTAAACATTGTATCTATCTATATAGATATAGACATATACAAAAGTTGATAGAATAGTATAATGAATCCCCATGTGCTTGTCACTCAGCTTTAATCATTATCACATAACTTCACCATGCCCCTCTCCTGGACTATTTTAAAGTGTATTGCAGGCATTTTTAATTTCATCTGTAAATACTTAGATATTAGACATTTCTTATATCACAATAAGGCATTCATTCATTCTAGTACCTTACAAGTGCTTGGAACTGTTCTAGGCTCTTGGGATATATGGCTGGATAAAATAAATCATGTCTTTACAGTCTAGCGTGTAGAGACAGAAAATAAACTAGACACATAAATAACCATAACAGAAAAAGCATTGATTTCATCAGAATTTAAAACTTCTGTTTATCAAAGACACCATTAATCAAATGAGAAGGGAGGAAATGTTGGTTAAACACATATCTAACAAAGGATTTATATCCAGAATACGTAAGCAGTTCAATAATAAAACAACCAAATTAAGAAACAGCCAAAAGACTAACAAAGCACATTAAAAAGTATTCAGTGCCATCACTAGGCATCAGGGAAATGGAGATTAAAACCATACATACTAGAGTGACTAAAATTTAAAAGACTGATATCAAGTGTTGGTGAGGGTGTGGGCCAAACAGAATTCTTATACATAGCTGCTAGCAATGCAAAACAGTACAGGCACTTTGAAAATCAGTCAGGCAGTTTCTCATAAAGTTGGACGTCCATCTGCCCTATAACGCAGCAGTATCAATCATTGATATTTACACAAAAGAATGAAAAAATATGTTTTAAAAACACATGGATATTCTTGCTCAAGTATACTGCTGTAGATCTTAGTTTGTATTGTACACATGATCACGTATGGCCTTGTATTGAGGTCACTGGTGTGTATGTCATGTGACTCCCGCAGAATATTATCTCAGTGCACGAGTGTGTTGGTGTCACTACAGTTCCGTTCATTTGGTAGGTGCTCAGTACATATTTGTTGAACTAAGAATATTCATAGCAGCTTTCTTGTAATAGCAACAAAAGGAAACAGCCCTAATGTCTATCAGCAGAATTGTGGTGTATCTATTCAGTATACTACAACCCAGCAGTGCAATGGAACATGCTACTCACACATGCAGTAAAAGCGTCAGGCTGAGCCCAGGAGGCCAGACCTCCCTTCCCCCACAGAGCATATTGCATGGCTCCATTTTACTAGACCAGGCAAAACTAAACTATCGTGGAAGAATTCTGAATAGTGGTTGCTGTGGTGGAGGGACCAGCTGCGAAGGTGCATGAGGCATCTTGCTGGTAGGATGGCAGGGCTGTATCCTGATAGGGATTCCTGGGACGTCACCTCTGCAGATCTCTGGGCCTCTTTTTCTCTCCACTTTTCTCCTCTCCTTTGTTTTATCCTCAACTTATAATGCCCCTCCTTGTGCTATGGCCTTCGTACTTTCTTAGGCAGAAAGCCGGACTCACCTAGTGTGTTCATCTCAGGAATCGCTGTCCTTTGGTGTCTGATGTCGACTGTCTTGCACTGTTGCTTCGTAGGTTTCATTTACTTTTTTTCAGTTGTTTCAAACATGAGAGTAAATCCAGTCCCTGTGATCTTGACCAGAAGCAGCTGCCCTGGGTTGGACAATGTATCTGTTTTAAGCAATGTATTGTCTCGATGTCTCATCTCTTACAGTGTAAGCTCTCACAGGACTAAGATTTTGGGTGGTGTTTGCTGTATATCCAGCATCTACAGGCAAGAATACTTGATATACTGTAGGCACTAAGTGAAGGTTTTGAAATGGGTGCATGATTCTTTCTTTCTTCCTTTCCTCCCTTTACTCTTCAATTGCAAATGTTGAATAGCAAACCAATGCTTTATAGAAAAGAGCATTTCTGTCCCCCTCCCCTGCTCTTCTTTTTTGGTTAGAGATAGGGTTTCACCATGTTGCCCAGGCTGGTCTCCAACTCCCAGGCTCAAGTGGTCTGCCCACCTTGGCCTTCCAAAGTGCTGAGATTACAGCCATGAGCCACTGTGCCCAGCCAGAAGAGCATTTCCTAAGGATCCTTTGCAATACCAGTCTCTTGATTCTTTATAAACAAAGCGTTCTGTAATCAAATAAGGTTGGAAAGAGCTTGTGTACCGAGAAATCCTGTGGTAAAGAAATGTTTGTTTGTTCAGTTTTCTCTCTTTCTCTCTCTCTCTCTCTTTCTCTCTTTCTCTCTTTCTGCCCTGCCCTGCCCTGCCCCGCCCCACCCCGCCCCGCCCCGCCCCGCCCCTTTTCTCTTCTCTTTCCTTTCTTTTTCGAGACAGGGTCTCACTCTGTTGCCCAGGCTGGAACGCAGTGGTTCAGTCGTAGCTCACTGCAGCCTCAAACTCGGAGGCTCAAGCGATTTTCCCACCTCAGACTCCTGTGTAGCTGGGACTACAGGTTCACACCACCACAGCTGGCTAACAAACTAGAGGTTTCTAAACTTATTTGACCAGAGATGTTTTTTCACTTAAAACAGCTACTCTTATATAATTTATATTTTCTGGAACCTATTCTGAAGGAATGTATCTGAACTAATGTTGAATGTCTTATAAATGCAATAAAACTAGATAAATTTATCTTTTTACTCATTTTCAAATACTTTTATATTATACATAATATATGACAATTTATATATTTTAAACAGCTTTATTGAGATATTTGCAGTTCAGTGGATTTTAGTATTATATTCATGGATGTGTGCAACTATCACCACAGTTCATTTTAAAACACTGTTATCACCTCAGAAAGAAACCTCTTACCCTTTAGCTATCATTCTCCATTCTGCCTGCCTACCCGCAGCCCTGAGAAACCAAGGGCTGCCTATTTTTCTGTCTGTATAGATTTCTCTATTCTAGACATTTCATATAAAAAGGAACCATATAGTACATGGTCTTCACTTGGCATAATGTTTCTAAGGGCCATCCACATTGTGGCATGTTAGTACTTCATTTTTAATTTTATTTTTATTTATTATATTTTCAGAGACAAGGTCTCTGTCTCTGTCTCCCAGGCTGGAGTGCAGTGGTGTGATCGTAGCTCAGTGCAGCCTTGAACTCCTGGACTCAAGCAATCCTCTTGCTTCAGCTCCGGAGTTAGGACCACAGGCACTTGGCACTAATTTTTATTATTTTTTTATTTTTTTAGAGCTGGGGTCTTGCTGTGTTGCCCAGGCTGGTGTCGAACTACTGCACCCAAGCCATCCTCCCTCCTTGTCCTTCAAAAGCATTGGGATTGTAGGCATGAGCTACCGTGCCTGGCCGATACTTCATTCTTTTTTATGACTGAATACTATTTCATTGTGTGGATACCGCATTTTCTTGATTCATTCATCCATTGACAAACATTTGGGTTGTTTCCACCTTTTGGCTGTTATGAATAAGTACTGCAGTCAGCATTTGCATACAAGTTTTTGGGTGGATATATGTTTTTGCTTCTCTTGGTTGTGTATACCTCCAAGTAGAATTACTGTGCTATATGCTAGCACCATGTTTAATTGTTTAAAGAACTGGTAGACTGTTTTCCAAAGTGGCTGCACCATTTTACATTCCCCTTAGTAGTGTTATGAGGGTTCCAGTTTTTCCACATTCTTGCCAACGCTTGTTATCTGATTTTTTGAGTATAGCTATCTTAGTGGGTTTGAAATGGTATCTCCTTGTGGGTTTGATTTGCATTTCTTTAGTGACTACTGATGTAGAGTATCTTTTCATATGTGTATTATGTATATTTTCTATGAAGAAATGTATTTCATATTCTGTGCTCATTTTAAATTGATTTATCTTACTATTGAGAATAAAAGTTTTAAAAATATATTTTAGATGCAAGTCCCTTATCAGATATCTGATTTGCAAAAATGTGTTCCCATTCTGTGGGCTCTGTTTTCACTTTCTTGATAGTGGCTTTTGAAGCATAGTGTCTTTTGAAGTTTTTAATTTTGATGAAGTCCAATTTACTTGTTTTTTTCTCGTATTGTTCGCGCTTCCAGTGTCCTGCATTATAAGCATATTTTTGTTGCCTGATTTTAGCTGAGTCAAAGCAATAGGCTCCATTTGATTTGTCAACGTTATGGAAAAAATAGCTAAAATAGTTTAAAATAGTTGTCATTAGCCTTGAGACTATAATACGTTGATGCCTTTTTATTAACGTGGAATCAAGTGGCATTTGGCTGAACATTCCCATCATGGTGTAAAGTAAATGGAAAATGATATGTTTTAATTGAATTAAATAGCATAATGAAAAATAAAATCAATATTATTGATTTCAAGGCATTTTATTCAATAAAATTCTTTTTTTTCTCAAAATTTACTCCATTAATTCTACTCTACCACTGACATTTCCCTTTGCCATTAACCTTCAGACAATATAAAATGACAATTAGATGAGGAAATTAATGATTGACAGCTGGACTAGAAGTGGCTTTTCATTGGTAAAAGAGCTTGAGCACGAATGGTGATATGTAATGAGATTATACGTGTTGTTCATTGGAATATATTTAGAAAAATCATGGTAAAGCTCTTTGCTTTAGGAGAAAAGGATGAAACAGTGGTGTCTTTTTTTTTTTTTTTTTTTTTGAGACGGAGTCTCGCTCTGTCGCCCAGGCTGGGGTGCAGTGGTGCAATCTCGGCTCACTGCAAGCTCCGCCTCCCGGGTTCACGCCATTCTCCTGCCTCAGCCTACCGAGTAGCTGGGACTACAGGCGCCTGCCACCATACCTGGCTAATTTTTTTGTATTTTTAGTAGCGACAGGGTTTCACTGTGTTAGCCAGGATGGTCTCGATCTCCTGACCTCGTGATCCGCCTGCCTCGGCCTCCCAAAATCCTGGCACTACAGGTGTGAGCCACCACGCCTGGCCGAAACAGTTGTTTTAAAATTATGTTTCTTTTACATAGGACTTGGGCTTCTGTTAGAGGTTAAGGAGGGGAAGGCCTCACTTCTAGACTTGCATCACAGCAGTTTTGTTTTAATATATTTTACAGAGTAGGAGCTCATTGAAATGTTTTTTGAAAGGAGAGCTTCTCTTTTTGTTTTTTTTTTAAAAGGGTAGTAAATTGAAGTATGCTGGTACAGAGAATTGAAATATGGGAGTTTTTCTGCAAGCTTGTTGAGAAATCACTTTTTCTACCAAAGATACCATAGTATTTCTTCTGGAGTCAACAATAGGGTGACATGGTGTTCCTAAAATCCTACTTCATACTTTTTGATAAAAGACTTTAGACATGTAATCAAATTCATCTCAGTATAAAGGGTGTTTCATTGGGGCTAACTTCATGATACTTTTTCATCTAGTTTTAGACTAATACGTGTGTCTTTATATTCAAGATTTAATACCATGTTTGTTTACTTCACAGGTTATGAGTGCCAGTGAGCCGCCTTAGATAGAAGCATCGTCAGCACTTTATTAATGATGGATAGTGAGAATAAACCCGAAAATGATGAGGATGAAAAGATAAACAAAGAAGCACAAGACTTGACAAAGCTTTCATCCCATAATGAAGACGGTGGGCCTGTATCTGATGTGATAGCAAGTTTCCCTGAGAATTCTATGGGCAAAAGAGGTTTTTCAGAATCATCGAACTCTGATAGTGTTGTTATAGGAGAAGACAGAAATAAACATGCTTCCAAACGCAGGAAATTAGATGAGGCAGAGCCCCTTAAATCTGGAAAGCAAGGTATTTGTAGATTAGAAACTTCTGAGAGCTCAGTCACAGAAGGGGGTATTGCATTAGATGAAACAGGGAAGGAGACCTTTCTGAGTGACTGCACAGTTGGAGGCACATGTCTCCCAAATGCCCTCTCCCCTTCTTGCAATTTTAGCACTATTGATGTTGTTTCTCTGAAAACAGACACTGAAAAAACATCTGCTCAGGAAATGGTTTCCCTTGATCTGGAAAGAGAATCTCCTTTCCCCCCGAAAGAAATTAGTGTTAGTTGTACCATTGGGAATGTAGATACAGTTCTCAAATGCAGCATCTGTGGGCATTTGTTTTCTTCTTGCTCTGACTTGGAAAAACATGCTGAGTCTCACATGCAGCAGCCTAAGGAACATACCTGTTGTCACTGCAGCCACAAAGCAGAGAGCAGCTCAGCACTACATATGCATATCAAACAAGCACATGGGCCACAGAAGGTCTTTTCCTGTGATCTTTGTGGTTTTCAGTGTTCAGAAGAAAACTTGTTGAATGCACATTATCTTGGCAAAACACATCTCCGTCGTCAGAATCTGGCTGCTCGTGGAGGATTTGTACAGATCTTAACAAAACAACCTTTTCCTAAAAAATCACGTACAATGGCAACAAAAAATGTTCACTCAAAACCAAGAACTTCTAAATCAATAGCAAAGAATAGTGATTCAAAAGGATTACGAAATGTGGGAAGCACGTTTAAAGATTTCAGAGGAAGTATTTCTAAACAAAGTGGTAGTAGCAGTGAGCTTCTTGTTGAAATGATGCCTTCCAGAAATACTTTGTCACAGGAAGTAGAGATTGTTGAAGAACATGTTACTTCCCTTGGTCTAGCTCAGAATCCTGAAAACCAGAGTAGAAAGCTAGACACCTTAGTAACCTCAGAGGGTCTCTTAGAGAAATTGGAATCTACAAAAAATACCCTTCAGGCAGCACACGGTAACAGTGTAACCTCGAGGCCAAGACCTGAGCGAAATATTCTCGTGTTGGGTAATAGCTTTCGTCGACGAAGCAGCACTTTCACCTTGAAGGGCCAGGCAAAGAAAAGGTTTAATCTTTTAGGAATTAAAAGAGGTACAAGTGAAACTCAGAGGATGTATATGAAACACTTGAGAACACAGATGAAAACACACGATGCAGAATCAGTGCTGAAACACCTGGAAGCGTGCAGCAGTGTGCAGAGAGTGTGTGTGACTACCTCAGAAACCCAGGAGGCAGAGCAGGGCCAGGGGAGTGCCCGTCCTCCGGACTCCGGGCTGCATTCCCTGACAGTGAAGCCAGCTTCTGGCTCTCAGACGTTGTGTGCTTGTACAGACTGTGGGCAAGTAGCTACAAATAGGACAGATTTGGAAATCCATGTGAAAAGGTGCCATGCCAGAGAGATGAAATTTTACTGCCGTACTTGTGACTTCTCTAGTATGTCAAGAAGGGACTTAGATGAACATTTGCACAGTAACCAGCATCAGCAAACTGCTTCTGTCCTGAGTTGTCAGTGTTGTTCATTTATATCCTTGGATGAAATAAATCTTAGAGACCACATGAAGGAAAAGCACAATATGCATTTTCTTTGCACCCCTTGTAATCTGTTCTTTTTGTCTGAAAAAGATGTGGAAGAACACAAAGCCACCGAGAAGCATATTAATTCATTGGTTCAACCAAAGACTTTGCAATCATCTAACAGTGATTTGGTTTTACAGACTTTACCTTTGAGTACTTTAGAATCAGAAAACGCAAAAGAGTCTATGGATGACTCAGGAAAAGCATCTCAGGAAGAACCTCTGAAGTCCAGGGTAAGCCATGGTAATGAAGTGAGGCATTCCAGTAAGCCTCAGTTTCAGTGTAAGAAGTGTTTTTATAAAACAAGATCTTCTACTGTTCTCACGAGACATATAAAGCTTCGGCATGGTCAAGACTATCATTTTCTTTGTAAAGCTTGTAATCTTTATTCATTGAGCAAAGAAGGAATGGAGAAACACATTAAAAGAAGCAAGCATCTTGAAAATGCTAAGAAAAATAATATTGGCTTAAGCTTTGAAGAATGTATTGAAAGGGTATGTATAGGTGCAAATGATAAAAAAGAAGAGTTTGATGTTTCCGGAAATGGAAGGATTGAAGGCCATATAGGTGTGCAATTACAAGAGCATTCCTATCTTGAGAAGGGCATGCTGGCGTCTGAGGAACTGTCACAGTCTGGTGGTAGCACCAAAGATGATGAATTAGCTTCAACCACTACTCCAAAGAGAGGGAGACCTAAAGGTAACATCTCACGGACGTGTTCACACTGTGGCCTTTTGGCCTCTAGTATTACAAACTTGACTGTTCACATTAGACGAAAACACAGTCACCAGTATAGTTATTTATGCAAAGTGTGTAAGTATTACACTGTAACTAAGGGAGATATGGAACGTCATTGTGCCACCAAGAAACATAAAGGACGGGTAGAAATAGAAGCAAGTGGAAAACACAGTTCAGATATCATTGTTGGCCCTGAAGGGGGTAGCCTTGAAGCTGGTAAAAAGAATGCTGGCTCAGCAGTGACCATGTCAGATGAACATGCTAACAAACCAGCTGAGTCACCCACCTCCGTTTTAGAGAAGCCAGATCGTGGAAACTCAATTGAAGCTGAAGTTGAAAATGTATTTCATTCTCTAGATGGAGAAGTTAACAGCCATCTTCTTGATAAAAAGGAGCAAATATCTTCAGAGCCAGAGGACTTCGCCCAGCCGGGGGATGTGTACTCCCAGAGAGATGTTACAGGCACAGGTGAGAATAAGTGTTTGCACTGTGAGTTTAGTGCTCACTCCTCTGCTTCTCTAGAGCTGCATGTAAAACGGAAACATACAAAAGAGTTTGAGTTTTATTGCATGGCATGCGATTACTACGCGGTGACTCGTCGCGAGATGACCAGGCATGCAGCAACAGAGAAGCACAAAATGAAAAGGCAGTCTTATCTCAACTCTGCTAATGTAGAAGCTGGTTCTGCAGACATGTCCAAAAACATCATTATGCCTGAAGAAGAGCATCAACAAAATTCTGAGGAATTTCAAATAATTTCAGGTCAACCATCTGATACTCTTAAATCTAGAAATGCTGCAGATTGCTCTATTTTAAATGAGAATACTAATTTAGATATGTCTAAAGTGCTCTGCGCTGCTGACTCTGTAGAAGTTGAGACTGAAGAAGAATCTAATTTCAATGAAGACCATTCCTTTTGTGAGACTTTCCAACAGGCTCCTGTCAAGGATAAAGTTAGGAAACCTGAGGAGATGATGTCACTTACTATGTCCTCAAACTATGGCTCCCCAAGCAGATTTCAAAATGAAAATTCAGGAAGCTCTGCCTTAAATTGTGAGACAGCAAAGAAAAACCATGAGATATCGAATGATGCAGGTGAGCTGCGTGTCCATTGTGAGGGTGAAGGAGGAAACGCAGGAGACGGTGGAGGTGTTGTCCCCCACAGACACCTGTGCCCTGTGACGCTCGATGGGGAGCGCTCGGCTGAAAGCCCTGTGCTCGTTGTGACAAGAATAACCAGAGAACAGGGAAATCTGGAGAGCGGGGGTCAGAACAGAGTTGCACGTGGGCATGGTTTGGAAGACTTGAAAGGTGTCCAAGAAGATCCCGTTCTGGGGAATAAGGAAATTCTGATGAATTCACAACATGAAACAGAATTTATTTTGGAGGAGGATGGCCCAGCTTCTGATAGCACAGTTGAAAGTAGTGATGTCTATGAAACTATAATTAGTATTGATGATAAAGGGCAGGCCATGTACAGTTTTGGTCGATTTGACTCCTCCATAATAAGAATAAAGAACCCTGAAGATGGTGAGTTGATAGACCAGTCTGAAGAGGGCTTGATAGCAACGGGAGTGAGAATTAGTGAGCTGCCCTTGAAAGACTGTGCTCAAGGTGTGAAAAAGAAGAAATCTGAGGGCAGTTCCATTGGTGAGTCTACACGAATTCGCTGTGATGATTGTGGCTTCTTAGCAGATGGACTGAGTGGACTGAATGTTCACATAGCCATGAAGCATCCTACAAAAGAGAAGCACTTCCATTGTTTACTCTGTGGAAAGTCGTTCTATACCGAAAGCAACCTTCACCAGCATCTGGCTAGTGCCGGCCACATGAGAAATGAGCAGGCCAGTGTGGAGGAGCTTCCGGAGGGAGGGGCCACCTTTAAATGTGTCAAGTGCACAGAGCCCTTTGATTCTGAACAGAATTTATTTTTACATATTAAAGGACAGCATGAGGAATTGCTGCGGGAGGTGAATAAGTATATAGTGGAAGACACTGAGCAAATCAACCGCGAGAGGGAGGAAAACCAGGGAAACGTCTGCAAGTATTGTGGGAAGATGTGTCGAAGCAGCAACTCGATGGCCTTCCTGGCACACATTCGCACTCACACAGGTATGTAGCTCTGCAGCAAGCCAAGTCAGTGAGGACATGGGGCCATTTGTTCCCATCCAGATATGCAGCCCTACCTGTGGCTGCTCATTGGCTTTCCACCCGGTTCACATTTCACTGCCGTGTGCTGCTCTGCTTGTCTGCAATAAGTCATTGTTGACACTTAACATTTTTAAGGGTAATTAAGCCCTAGTGATTTCAAAGGCAGGTTAGCTGACAAGTTTCTTTTAATTTTGTCAAAAAGCCTAGTCCCTCTGATGCCTTTTAAAAACTGCTGTCTGTTGGCGGCTTTTCAGTTGTTTCTGAGTCCTAATTATTTGATTTTCCAAAGTCTGTATTAAGTGGCACCTTATAATTTCAGAAGACATGTTAAGTGACTTTTAAGGAATGGAGTAATCAAATTTTCTTACAATATCAGGGATGTAAAAATATTCATCATTAGATATTTTATATCCAAAAGTGTAACTTCCGGGTAACAAGATTCTACCTTTGTGGATCAAAATTAGTCACCACTTTCCAAAGTTAACATGTGCTGGGGATCTGGTGTTCCTGGAGGTAGCACCTGATTTAGTCTCTGTGCTCTGTCACAGTTAGTGTTCCATTTTAATGTTTAATTTTAGGTGGAAAGTTTTTAAAAAAACATTTTTTTTTGGTGGAAAATGCATAAGCTACTGTTCTAAATTTATGTAAAAATTCACTGCACTGTTTCTGTAAACCTGCCATACATTCTTTATTTTAAATA
This sequence comes from Homo sapiens, assembly GCF_000001405.40. NCBI lineage: Eukaryota > Metazoa > Chordata > Mammalia > Primates > Hominidae > Homo > Homo sapiens. The sequence continues at coordinate 74,636,446 of NC_000018.10, forward strand.
GACAGCTTTTCTAAATCATTGTGCTCCGCTTAGACAAGTTCTGTCTCCATGGTTGAATTTATGAGTGGATTTGAATAATAAATTCACATTTCAGTGAACATATTTTCATTAAAACTGTAAGGTTTATTTTACTGTACTTTTAAATAATGGCTTATTATTAAAGCTATACTTTAAATTCATACAGTTTTTGAAACTTAGTGCATGGTTACGAGGAAGAAGACAGAAGAGTGTGAAGCATTATTACTAGTTTAGGGTGATTAAAGATAGATAAAAGTTTTTCACTGAAGGAAGTAATGGGGCAACCTGCATAAGATTAATGTAAATAAATACAAACATTGTACTTGTGATCCCAAATATTCCTATGCACTGCAGCCATTTTTGGGGAATAAGTCCAAATGCTTATTTGTCTGCACTGTCAGTATCTCTCTCAGTGCCTTGTTGCAGCTTTCTTTCTGAAACGATACAGTTTTAGGAATAAGACTTGTTCACATGCGCAGAAAATATGTACTTTCTTAATATGCCCTCTTAAGGCAGATAAAACTGAATAAAACTAAGAGGAAGATGCTAATGGAGCTCTTTTTAGAATTCTTTATGCAACTGTCTGGTCAAGACATGTTGCTTATAATTGATGTGTCCATTACTTGAATTCTCTTGTAATTATAGTCAATAAGTCTTGTAAATGTGTTAAAGCTCACTAAAAGCATACAAATTCAAGAACAGAGTAAGGCTAATAATTTAAAATAATCAATGTAGGCATTTCAGCACTTAATTTCCCTTGTGTGTTGATAGCTGATCATTCTTAATCCATTAAGATTTATTTAGTCGTTTACAATGCAAAATAGGTTTGCACTGGTCACTTGTGCCATTTGAAAATGTCCACCAGGTTAAGTGCAGAATGTAGTCCATTAGTCTTCCTTGACTATATGTATTAATTGCATTTAAAATCAAGTTAATGTGGATGTGAAAGTGAGGTAACTATCAATATGTGACAAAGTAACCCTACTTATATAAGTTACATCATTGATTGTAACATTTAGTAAAAGTTAGCATAGTTTTTTTTTTTTTAAACATCTTGTGTTGGTCTTATCAGGAAGTACATTTTTATTGTGCTTTGAAACACTACCAAGAGCCCTGTTCCTGAGGACACAATACGAGTCTACCATTTCAATTTTGCAAGTCATTTTTTGGGGAAGTTGGTCTCCAGGTTTTAATTCAGGGTTTTTTTCTTGGAGCATCTTAAAATGAATTGCTTTTCACATACTTTGCTTATGTCCATAAAATAGTAATGCAGAGACTGTTATTAATGGTTAACTGGAAAAGAGCTTACTCTTCCAATCCCTGTTTTCATATTTTGTGATTTACTATATGTTTTATATAACCTTTGCTTCCCATCCTTAGCAGGATAAAAGCAGCACTATAAGAAATAAATGAGTTTTGGTTATCAAGCATCGTAGGAAAAAGGATCCTAGAGTCTCCCCGTGTGCATGCTACTACGAAGTAATCAACATGACCAGAAAGGGCAGTCTTCCCTTTCACATTACATTAGCAGGACTAAAAAACTTCGTTTTCATTTCTCCCGCATTGGTCTGTCAAAGCTTTTATTTCATGTAACATGGGCTGTTGTTAAGTACCAGATTGTCTGAAGCCATTCGTTTTATGTTTAGAGTGCTCTGGTCACTAATGCCATCTCAAAATGTTCCAGGGAGATACGGAGTGTGTGACTTCACTAAGAAATTCTGAAGTTAGGGCTGGTAGTGTTTGTAGCTCAATACGTGACAAAGGACAGACAGCTCAGTAGGAGAGTTAATCTGTAGACTTTAAGCACAGTGACCACAAAGGCTTAACATTGTTCACTGCTTCATCTGTGTCCCACATTAGTTGGCTCTTGGTATATCTTGATGAGTGAATAAATGAACGAGCAGATGAATGAATGAATGAATGAATGAAGTGTTTGAATGTTTAGGGAGGATTGTAGAATGATGGCTCTAGTGGTTAGATGTTGGGTAATATACAACTTCCTTCATTCCTTTAAGATCTAAGGGCTTTCATTTGGTATTTTCTCTTTAATGCTAATGGCACATCTGTGTATGCATAGCAATAGTCATGACTGATGGTTGAGGAGCCCTCGTAGGCCTGAGTGAAGACCTGGATTTTAAAGTCTTTGAAATTCTTTCGGTAAAGTAATAAGGTACCACAAAGATAGAGAGCCTCTTTAGTTTTTCCCTTTGAAAAAACCTTATGGACCAAATGAAAACCAAAAAACCTACTGAGGATAATGCTGTTCCAAGGAATGGAACTGTTGCAAATAATATTGTTTTTAATAATCAAAATGTACCTGAGAGAAATATTTAGAGATCTGCAATTTTACAATTTTGTCTTATAAACACTGTGCCTGCATTCATTTCGGAAAGTACATAGCAAACTTAAAAACAGAAATGTTATTAGTTAGGAAACAAGGAAAAAAGGGCCCTTTTTTTTTCTTTAATGCGGAGAAGTATTACCTCTGCTAGTATTTGAATTTTTATGGCACAGAAAGGAGATGTTAACACAGTCTACTCTGAATATAAGATGTGAAGAATAGTCAAGGCCTCCATGATTCTGGGTGAAGCAGTCAACAAAATAACTCATTTATGTATTGTCAGCATGCTGTGCTGTGATCACTGAGACCTGCAGAAACTAGAGTTTTCCACAAAGGAGCCATGGACAGTAAATTGAACACACCAGAGACCCCACGTCCCTTTCTCTGTGGCATCTGTGCCACAGGAGGAGGAGCTAGTCACATGGCAGGTGCTGTGTGAGCAAAATGAAAACTCAAACCCATGAGACCTTTTACATCCATTCACCAAAATTGTAATACAAATATTGGGAGAGGTTGATCTTCTTTGTTTCGAGTCCTGATATTATTGTTACTTAATAATGTCCTAATTACCCTATTATCTTTGGAGCATTGAAATTTAAAGTGTTGGTAAATTGGTTCTTCACACACCTTACAAAAGTCCCATTATAGAATTCTATGTCTTAGTGAAATGTTCAAAGTAGTGATAGGCTTGGTTTTATCAGAATCATTTAAATAAACTGTATTTTCTAATGTGACTGATAGAATGTGATTGCTGTAAGCTGCAGTCTCAACCTGCTTTTGACATTTAAACATATAAACCTGACTAGATACAACCATTCAGGTGCTAAATATATTTTACATCTACTTCTAACAGCAGAAATGGAAATATTAAGAGATCTGGCTTCATTGTCATTGAACTGTGAAATATTCAACCTTGTCTGCCGGTGCTTAGTACTGTTGACTTTTTTATTTCTGTTGGAAGATTAAAATTAAATGCTTCACTTTTTTTGTCAGCTTTTGGGAATTAAATTGAAATTTAAGACTCTAAAATTTTTTACTGAGTGCTTCAATTTCAACAAAGTATTCTTGGAGGATTTTTTTTTTTACAAGGACACTGCACAAAGGTTCATTGATCAAATATGATTTATTACAATTTTTTAAATTTGAGCTCTTTTTGTATATTTATTAAAGTTCACATATTTCGTGTTCTATCTAACTATAGTAGAGGGAATATTTCACCATGTAAGTACTGAATATGATATGAAAAATCAGGAAACGTACTGATTTTAAACTGGTTTTTACAATTTTGATTTATTTGAAGATGTATTGGTTAGAAAGTTTGGAAATGGTGTATCTATTTTATGTCTTAAAAGAGCGTTATTTCTCATTAATGTGGATGATTATCTGTTAATATGTTTCAGTTTCAATCTTATCTATTACTGACACTAAGTGTGTAGACTTTGAAATAATCTTATTTTCTCATTTTTGAGTATAGTTTAATCTTAATTCTTTATGAAATGACAACAAATTTTGTATGCTTTTTGTGTTGAAATATTTGTTCTTGAAATTAATAACCAAAATGTCAGTTCTTCCAGTTTGTTTAATCATCATCGATTTTTGACTATAAAAATGACCATAAAAGCATAAAAATTTATCTACTGTATATTTATAAATTGTGTTATTAAAAATATAGATAATAATTTGGGACAAATGCCAGGAAAAAACCTGAAATATACCATTGTTTTAATGTGAGTAAATTCAAAGCCGGAGAAATATGAGGAAACAAGGAGGTGGCCACAGAGAAATGTATTTGATGATAAATATGCTTTTAAAAATATCAGCTGCCCTGAGTGCATTTATGTTTTAAAAATGTTTTCTTTGAAGTGTTGAGTGACTTTAAGATGTATTTTTGTGAATTATAAGAAAAATATTTAAAATTATGTAGCTCATCTCATCGACTTAGTACTGCTCAGCAGTCTCACTTTTGAGTTTGAATCTTAGGATTGTTAGTGGAAGTTAGGAAGACTCACTGAAACAAAGTCTTCAGAGTAAAATAATTATGGAATCAGGTCTATTCAAGTTATAAATGAATGCAAGTATTCCATTTTGGGTACAGAAATTCTTAATTAGGTTAAAGGTATGATTTAAGATTTAGTCCTCTTTTCTAAGCTATTGGTGATGTATTATTCAAAATCAAATCATATTTTATGTTAAATTTACTCAGGATCAAAACCATTCAAGTGCAAGATATGCCATTTTGCAACAGCTCAGCTTGGAGATGCCAGAAACCATGTGAAAAGGCACCTTGGGATGAGGGAATACAAGTGTCATGTCTGTGGGTGAGTAAATTGAAGCCATCTCTGCTGCGTGAACCAGGAAGCATGTGCAGGATAGCCATTGTTTCGGAATTCAAAACCGATAGGAGTAAGAGTGGCTAAAATTATGCATGCGTACCCTCCTTTCCATTGTTATGGTAAATTCCTTAAATACAGTTATGACATTCTTCTCCCACTTCTAATCCTGTACTGAAGATGAGCAATTTTATGGGCTACAAGGTCAATTTGAACCTGTAATCTGTAAATTGACTAAATTATAGGATGTTCATTCACATTGCCAGAGAGAACTATAAATTCCATTTAAAGACATACAAAAATACATAATATAGCTTTAGGAATGTATATGTATTTTTTTTTCTTTTGCTGTACTGCTTCAATTTTTATCACAGTAGTAGCTCTTTGGATCCATTGGACTTATTCTGTAAGGAAAGCAACAAAAGATTTAATTTCAGATGGCTGGTTACTGATTATTACAGGGATGATGCTGAAGAGAACTGTTGTTATGCATTTTTGTGTAACTTTATTTCAAAACTTATTTCCTTTTTTAGTTAATGGTTCTTTCTCTGAAGAATCATGTACAGTGTTTAACTGTTATTCAAATGTGTTGCATTGGATAGAAAGTGCTAAGGTGCCTTAATGCAAAACTGATTAATTTAGCAGAAATGTTTAAAAGGTTTTAAAATGCTAGATCATATATGGTATAACATAGGACATTCAGAGGTGGGTTTTAATACCCTGCTTCTGATTAAAAGTCTATTTTAATGCTGTTATGCTAGAGAAATTAATAAGTGCATCATATAAAAATTCTTCATGTGAAACCTGAGAAACTTGCAGTTCTTATGGCTAATTCACAAAATACCACAGGCCCAATTACATTATGCAACTTGCACATATTATATTAGGTTTTTTTTTTAGTAGAAGATTCTGCTGATTGATAGTACCATGTAAATACGTTTTATGTCAAAAACAAGTTCTGTTATTTGTTGGACAGTACATTTCATCCCAGGATGCAGTTGTGTATTTTGACCCTTAGGATAGTTTTACAAATACCTTTGCAAGCACTTTTATGAACCATGGTCTGTGGAATTGATGGTTCAGTGACTTGCAGCTAAAGTAGATGAAGATGACCCTTTGCCCTAAAGTCCCCTGAAGATGAGTGGGAGAATGAGTTTTGTTGCTACTGATTTTAGCTGCAAGGGTCAGGTGTCAAATGGTTCATTTTAATTGCTGCAGGTCTTGGAAGTTTAAAAGATATCTCATCTATTGTTTTTACCATATGAGTTATAGGAAAGGAGAAGGCCCTGACTCCAGTGAAAATTTGCTATTAGGTGGCAGTAAGCAGTTTTTCTCTCATTTCTGAGAAGTAAGTAAACAATTTTTGCATACTGTTGTCAATAGAGATCTAATTCCATTTATTTTTTAATTAGGGTTACTAAGACCCTAGAAAGAGAAGAAGAAAGCTTTTCACAGAACAGTTTCTAATGTGTCTGGTATCAAAAAGAATACACAATTGATCGGCATTAGTTGTATAATTTGAACAGTGCCCACCCTGCTCGCTAACTGCTTACCTCATACAACTGAAATACTGTATGAGTAGTTCATATATTTGATCCTGGAGATACAGAATTGTACATGATTATACATATATCGAGTTTTATACTGTCTTCAGAGAGAGAGCTATGTGTATGTGTGCGTTTGTAGAACAAGCATTCTAGAGTCCAGAATTGTATTTTTTAGAATTATGACAGCATTGAATTTCATCAGACTAGGAAATAATTGTTCTCTTTGTATTTTTACAATGAAATTTGATTTAAAAGTTAGGTAGCAATAATTTTAACAGTGACGCTGAGAGTTCTGAAGAATTGCAGTAAACTGAAGAGTACTTACTGATCTTTGTAGTTGGAACAGAATGGTAGTGAATTAGGTACCCTTCAGTGTTGCAGAAAAAGTATCATAGGTTGTTCCCTATTTCATGTGTTTCAAAGGGATAGGGCAGTGTGTAGGTTAAAAATTAAAGTAAAAAACATAAAAAAGTGCAAGGATTGGTTATCAGATTACTGGCACTAGAGAGTATTTATACATTGACATCACTGACAAAGTCAATTCATTATCATTGATGGCTAAATAATCTTAGAAATGCTCAGTGGACCTATTAGTTCCTGAACATAAGCAGCTCATGCTGCATTTCTTCATTAGCTTTAATTGCTATAAATTTTACCTTTTACAAAATCATGCTTTAAAAGGTGAAGCGATCTTTCAGGAACATTAACTCTATAATTTTGTCACAAACAGAAGGTCCTGCATTATGTTTTCTTTTCCTTAGTAGTTAATATCTTAGTCTCTGCCTTTTAGAATTTTCTTAATGAGCTCTTCATTATTTGAGTTTTAAGGAGTTATTTCTCAAATAGTCTTGATTAATAATATAAAAAAATTGGGCAGTCACATTTTTAAAGTGAAATTATTACTCAGAATACTGTACTCTTTTTCTTAGTAACCTCTTGGTTTTCTTGAAGAAGAAAACTAATACTTTATGGTGAAATTGATGGAAACAACAAACAGTATTGAGCTCAATATTAATGTCTCAGATTATTTGTAATTTACCTCTTTTTCAGATCTTTATATTAGATGATTTTGGATGCTCATCAACTGCACGTTTTGTGTTTTTCATTAACACGTAGTTTTAGGGTTGTGACAAAAACTGCCTTTTAAAGTTTTGTATAAGTTGTATGAACCTAGACTGATTTTCTTTGAATCTTCAGGATCAGTTTTAAGATACCATTACCCCCTTTTGCCCTGCCCCACTGGCAAATCTTAACTACCGTATATCTTGGGTTTAAGTTAGTTTGACAGAAGAAGCTGAATGTATTAGATGCCTAATTCCTATTAGGTCGTTAGGATTAAGAGTTCAGAATTTAAGTTTTGTGTACTCAAGGTTTACCTGCTCATGTCATGGTAAAAATTTCAAAAATGTATTGCTTTGTACATCATGTTTTAAGTACATGTTATGGATAACTTCAGGTTAAGAGCCATTTATTTTACTTTCACTTTTGGGGGAATCTTTTTTTTTTTTTTTTTTTGAAAAGTTGAGTTTCTTACTTGTTAAAAATATCCAAATGTGATCGAGAGAGGAATTTTATAGAATATAGGTGTGTTTATATTTAGGCACTTGATGGATAGTTAACATGAAAATCTGTTATGACTCTGACATAGGGCTTAGTGAGAGAGAAAGTAAGAAATAATAGAAACTATACCTATTTTTTATAGTTAATGCTTTTATTTAATAATTTTGTGTTTAGAAAATAGGCCAAATGCATATTTTTATTACATCCATGATCTTTACCTTTATTTCTTTCAGTAGTCAAAAACGTAAAAATCTCGATGACTTACAAAAGTTATTTTAGGCACCATGTCTTGTTAAATTCTTTTAAGTTTATTTTATTCTCTATGTACATATAAGGTAGTATACCTGGTACTCTAAATAGTATTTATGCAGTGCATTGTGGTCTAATAAATAGCCTTGATTAACTTTTATCTCACTTGTTGATTTCCATAGCTTTGTGGATTGCTTACCTTATCCTTCTTATCCCCATTTTACTGATGGGAAACTTAATATTCAAAATGTTTTCAGTGATGTACTTAAATTATTTGACTAGTAATGGTAGACCACTCTTTCTTCCTTTTAACTATTTCTTTTCTATATTTCTCCACTTTTTGTAATATCTGTTTTTGTTCCTGACTTTAGTTTGTACTTTTTTTTTCTCTCTAGGTTGTTTTCACTGCATGTAGGAAATGTAACTTATCTACTTTCTCCTACCATCCACTTTTATTTTCTGCTTTTGCCCACATTTACATTTTTTTAAAAAATTGCTTACACATTGCTTTACTTTCATATTCTGATATTGTCTCTCTCTGTCTCTCCCCAATACTTTCCCTATTTTATATTTCCCACTTATTAAGTGTTGTTTTAAATAGTTTTATTTTTTCCCACTCATTCATGTGTTGATTATTGCATTTACTTGTGGGTTACAAACTGAACATATTTGTATAATAGCAGGAGGTAAGGGTCTAAAAGTATAAAGATTATATCATCCCATTAAGGTGAGAGGGATATAATTGATAAACTAGGGTTATTGTTTTTGTTCTGCAGTGTTAGTTTTTTTTAAAGAGTTGTAGAAAACTAATAATTGGCCTGTGATTTCAGTAAACCTAAGAAATGATAACCAAGTTTGATATGCCATTATTGAGAAGCGCAGACCCTGGTGTGCATGATTTAGGAGTTGCATTGTTTACTGATTGATTTACCTAAGTCTCGTCTTGATTCTTGTGTATGGAGTTAAATAGTTGAAATGAATTTACCTAATCAGGAGAGAATAAGGGCATTTTCTAAATCTGTGACATCTGGGTTCATGAAAAGATTCCAGACATTTTAAAATTGTGTATTAATGTGCTTATGAACTGTTTATTCCTAGTTGGTTTAAGAAATCTTAAATAGAAAGTTACTAATGCAGTAAAACTCTTTGTGTGTGTGTGTGTGTGTGTGTGTGTGTGTGTGTGTGGCATTACCTAGTTTTTGTGCATTAGAAGGGATCTCTATGTAGATGATTATAATGTCACTTTCTGACCTTTGCAGCTTGAATAATTGTAAATCATTGCTTCATAACGTGTCAGAGAATGTCTGTACTAGGCAATTAAATGGCAGAATATAATAGACCAAATTATTGCCTGTCATGTTTTCAACAACACAGTTAGTATTTGAGTTACACTTAATCATTACGTGCATTAGCAACTTCATTGGAATCCAGCTTCAGGCTGAGCATGAAATACATTACATTATTTAAACCTCTAATGGTACAAGTCATTTATTTGTGTTGAAGTGTACAACATGCAGAGTTTCATAAAGCAAGGAACACTTGAGAGCTTAATTTATCCAAATCAAAGTCTAAATGCAGATAAACACAAGTGGCAAAAATTAGTAATTTTTATAGGCTGGAAATATTTAAAAATACATGGTTGTGGGTAATTGTAGGCAGCAGGAATAAATTAAAATCACTATTTTTAGTCTGCTGTGAGAACTAAAGCTGTGTATACCTAAATCATTAAAAGCACCATGGAATTGCATTTTTAGCTGAACAATTAGTTACACCCATCATATCTACAGATATATCCAAATAAAATAAGTATTTGGTTTAGCTGGTTGTTTTGGTTAAAGAGATATAGATAGGAAATGTTTATTCTATAATGTGGCATGAATTATGCTTATAACAGTATAAAGTGCAACATCTCTCAGTTTTGTAAAAAATATTTAGATTAACATTAAAATGCTCTCCCATTGTAAATGATACGTTATATATTTTATCCATATAATATTTTAATATTTTTTGTTGAATATTTTTGTCTTTAGCTTGAAATTTTAAAAATGCTATGTGATGATTGCTGTCTCTCTACCTCAGTTAGGAACAAAAAATTAACATTATTTGTGTATTCCTCTGATGTTAGAATCCTTGAGATACCTTTTATGTACTGAATGAACATTTACGATTTTTAAAACTGTACAAATGACTTTATTATGGGAAAGCCTAGGAGTGATCTTGGTTATACTATTCACATATAAAACTTGTTTTCTCAGATATCATCCTCGTGTATTTTCCAGTGAACTGTTTGGTGAAGCCGGGAGAGTGCTGGGGTGTTAGGACAGCAGAGTGGAAACTGAGGCAGCCCCCAGCTCCTCCTCACAGGGGAAGGACAGCTCTTGTCTCCATTATATCCTGGTTTATTTTTCTGTGGTAGTGGTTTTTAAAATTTTTGCCACAGAAGGGTGGGGTCGTAGATGTATTCCATGGCCAGTAAGTATGATCAACCTATAACAAAATAGAAATAAACTAAATATTATCATTTCTTGGTGTAGTAGTTGAAAACATTGGCTTCTGTGTCTAAAGTCTTTTCCAGTGAAACAATCATGTTCTAGTGACTTAACTCGTTGCTTCTTCTTCTTCTTTTTTTTTTAAAGTGGCTTCCTTGTGATTTTAAAATGCAATTGTGATGGCTGGATGTGGTGGCTCATGCCTGTAATCCCAGCACTTTGGGAGGCTGAGGTGGGAGAATCGCTTGAGCCCAGGAATTTGAGATCAGCCTGAGCAACATAGGGAGACCCTGTCTTTACAAAAAATAAAAATAATTAGCTGTGTGTGGTGGTGCATTTCTGTAGTTCCAGCTGTTTGAGGGGCTGCAGAGGGAAGCTCTTCCGAGCCCAGGAGTTTGAGGCTACAGTGAGCTATGATGGTGCCACTGCCCTCCAGCCTGGGCAACAGAGCGGGACCCCGTCTCTAAAAAAAAAATCTTCTTGTAGAGTCTCAGGATTCTGTAACCTTCCTGATCCCCACAGTAGAATATTAGGTGGGTAGCCATTCTCCTGATTTCCTTTGCCTGTTCCGTATTTTTTTTTCTTGTTAACCTTCCTCTCCCTGTTCTGTTTCTTACAGTCCTTTACTTTGTGGGTACTTTTGCTGTTTCTTTTCACAAGAGCTGGATGAGAAGGAGGTATGAGAAATGCAGATAGAAGGGAGGCATAACTGCTGATTTATTATTTGTTTATGATTTCTCATTTGGCAGATCCTCGTGTTTTCTTTTTTGTGTGTGGGCATGGTGACAAGGTGGTGCCCGGGCTGTCTGTGTTGCGGAAGCCACTCTAGGAGAAGGAGCAAGGCTGAGTGAGAACACAAGGCTGGGAGGACGAGCTCTGCTGAGGAGCAGAAGGAAAATCTTTTCTCACAGGAGGGTTATCTTTGAGTTGGGTCTTAAAGGATGAGGGGCCATTCACAAGGCACATTTGGACGTTTTTAACAGAGCGAACATGAGGGGAAGTACAGAGATTTGGAAGAGCACTGCAGGCAATTTCTGAAGTGTATGTGACTAACTGGGGGAAGTGAGGATTAAACAAACACCTGTTGGATGTCAGTATATGCCAGCACTGTGTTAGTCTTTAGGGTTAAAAAGGTCAAAACGACACCTGCCTCAGATGGAGAAAGCTTAGGTCAAGAAATACCAAGTCTCCCTAGCTGCTTCAGAAAACACTTCCTTGGGCTGGTAACATTTGATATGCAGCAAGTGGAAGTTAGGCAGATTAGCAGGGGCAGCCCATTCCAGGCGGGGGTTGCAGCAGGATCAACCATGGCGTGCGGGATGTGCACGAACTACAGGGCAGTCAAGACTTCTGGAGGCTGGATTGTGAAGCCAGGTGGACAGTTCCAGGGACAATTGGGTGAGGTGGGCAGGGGTCAGGTCACAGAGCTGGGCCATGCTGAGGTGTTGAATGCTGGCCTTTCCCTCTGCTTTCCATCAACTCGTTTTTTCGCTTGTCTTTCTTCCCAGTTTTCTGGACTGTGTGTAGGCAGTGAAGAGAGAAGTGGAAAGCCTGGTGGGAAGTGAGTTACCGCTTCAGAATCAAGGGGCATGGGAATTGGTCAGGGAGAATTATTTTAAGAGAATTTCACTATTTATAATTTTAATTAAAGGTGCTATTGATTTTGGACAATTGTAATGAAAACAGGTTGATAACTGATCCATATAACTTAATGCAGCATAGTTCCAAATAATAATTAAGAGGACATATGCAGTTACGTAGCCGTGCTACCTATGTCCACATGTAACTAATACCATGGTACCAGATGCTGTAATTGTTTCCATACTTGATCCTCTGGATGGGCAATTTCAGTTGGGACAGGAAACCATTAATTTTTAAAAAGTATGTACTGTGTAGTAATCTACTTACTTTCCTACATCTTAGTCCTGGGGTACTTGTCTTGTTTCTAATCGCTTCCGTGGTCTGTGTTTCTGGAGTGTTCTCCCTCCGCACCCTTGATCCCCTGTCACTTTTCTTCTGAGACCCTGTCTCCTCTTTCCCCTGCCTTAGCATTAGTATACCAAAGTCTGTTGTCTAAGTAGCAAAGTACTGAGAAATAGCAGTTTCAAGCACTGTAGAATATGCTACTATCTAGATATACAAATTTTTAGAAAGTTATTTTTGGTTTGCTATTTCCACTCAATTTTAAAAAGTCCTATTTACTGCTGAGGTACTATAAGAATATATTGAGCTGGGCTCAAGGGATGGTTGTTTTTGAAGGACCAATAAAGTGTTAATTTGCATCATAATTACGCTGTCACCATTACATGTGTTAATGGGGTACTGGAAAATTCTTATAAAATCTGGCTAAATGTAAGATGGTCTCTAGTCTATTTTAGAAGTGCTGCTGTAAGTGAAATAGGTGAAAGTGGTCTTATGTCAACACATCTGGTAATTATCATTATAATATTAGAAAATAAGTATGATTTTTTACATTGTGGCTAGGGACATTGATAGTCAAATGCTTCACAACATAAATTTGTGCTAGTCTGAAAAATTGGAATGTGTTTAAATATTAAAGACATTTTAGTATTCACCACTAAAATTTATTTTAAAAATAGGGTTTTAGAACTTACACTGTTGCCTGGTCCAATCCATCTAGTGGACAGGTAAAGAAATTTGGGTCAAGAGCTTAAGTGACTTTTCACAAATGGAGACAAGAACCCAGGACTTGTGACTCTCGGGTCAGGGCTGTTTCTATTTTATCCCACTGGCATTCTAATTAGCTTTAATGTAGCTCTTAAACTTTTCAGTCTCACTATTTTTAGCTACCATTCTTTTTAACAAGGGAAATAATGGACACAGGTTTAAGCAGCAAAGTTAATTAATTGATCAACATTCGTCCATTCATTTTCAAACATTTTCTGAGTGCCAAACGTGGGAACTCTAGTTTCAGTAACCAACAGTGGTGAATCTATTATAATTCCTTTTGAGTTTAGATGGTCACTTCTATCAAAGGATAGAATTAACTATTAAGTGATGAAGATACACAAGCAATTTGGGTATTCATTGTGAGGCAACTGTTTTCTCTTTTCCTTAAGATGATAGAACATGGGCAATGTGAATTATATCTAAAATCAGCTGGATTGTCAAAAATAGCATTTCACTTTATTTTGTATTAGGAACAAATAATCGAAAATGTCTTTGTCATAGTCTGTTTGACTAGTGCCCATTGGCAGAATAATTTTATTTCCCCTGCCACCCCTCCCTGCTGTCTCTTAGTTCTTAGCTGAAAAGTTCCTTTTCAGCTAGTATCTGATGGACTATATGGTCTCTGTGCATGGTATCGTTTACAATTGTTGGTGCTTACTTAGTCTGCATCATGTAGCACTCCTGCCTAGTCACTTTAAGGGATGCAAAGACTGACAATTTCTTTGTTTTGAATTGCTGCAGTACTTCAAAAGAAGCCCCATTGAGATTTAGAGACTTGTAAACATTGAGAGAAACGGAGCACCTTTCTGCATCCACAGACAAGTTAGGTTGATGACTGCTGTGTTGGTGTAGTTCAGCAGACATCCTGTTAGTCACTCTTTCTAGGTAGTTTGGTTGACAGGGGTCTGCACTTGGTCATACACTTTAGGGTGGGCTCATGTATGAAACAGGCAAACTCACAGACTTTGCAGGTTCTCTTTGTGAGAGAGACAGAGAACACTTACATAGGGCCTAGGTGGCATTTTTGAAGTATTCATGGAAGGGGTGGGCCACGGGAATATTGTTTGTTACCCCAAAGAACACATTATCTTAAGGTGTAGAAAAAAATTTACTGGCTTTATAGTAATGTCATAACAGTTTCACTGTAATTAAATATTTTTGCACTAATGATTATACTGTGATAGAGAGCATAATAAATTATTGAGAACTACATTTCCATTTCTGTAGTGGAGGGGGCAAGAAATTGCTATATATGTGTGTGTGTGTCTATCTATCTATCTATCTATATATAAATATAATATTTCCCCCCTTAGCTTGGTGGGACTGTAGCTCAAGGGTAAAGATAGAAATTTTGGTGTTTATGTTACAAAATTATTCTTAAACAACCCATTTAAGTCTTTCTGGGTTGTTTTAGTCTTGATGTGTTAGAGAGTGATAATTTTATGCAAGTTATGATTAAAACCCTGTTACTGTCATCCTTAAAGAGCACATTAAAAATACCCTGTTTGGAAAATGACAGTTTTAAAAATAGACAAAATTATATGTTAGTTATGAAGAGCGATGGAATTTATTGAGCCGAAATGTTTTGAAGGAGATTTAAGAATCTTGCACTTTGGGAAGAAGTTAATGACTGATTAACAACAGCAATTAAAAGATGAGGAAAAGGTATATAATTAAAATTGCAGTACTTGCTTTGTCAAGTACGAGTGTCATCTATTGTGTACTTGTTAAAAGCTGAAGAAAAAGAAACCAGCATTTAATTTCAGCCCGGTTTTGAAGAAGAGGCCGATAATTTGCCTGTAGATGCCTGCGTGAAGGTTGTAACTCATGTTTAAGCGAGACTGTGTCATTAGAAGTTCACAGCCATGTATTTTCTGTTGACAGTCATCGACAGAGAATATTTGGCAGTCAGAAGTAATTTAACTTAATTAATGGGATGCATATTTGATGGAGGAATAAAATATTCAGGCTCAGCAAAGTGGAAAAAAGGAAAGATTTAGTGGGAGTAAAAGGTTGAAGAATGTAATTTGTGCATTCATTCTGCTGCTCAGAATTATGAATTGTCTTGCAGAGATATAAAGCCGAGGTGATCCTTAGATGGAAATGTGCTGTCCCTCAACAAAGAGAGCAATCAAGATGACAGTTCATGATTTAATTGATGCCAGAGTGAACTTGCTCTAACAAATAGGGACATCACATTATTTTGAAAACTCTGCTGGAGTAGTTAGTCGTTGGATTGTTAAATATTCATTGTAACTTCAATGTTATAGCATTGCTGTGTCTATACTGAGTACAGACCAGTGAAATCTGTCACAGAGCCCTTAATCTCTCCTGTCAGATTTTAATTGACTTCCTGTAGGTAAAGATGACTTCATGGAAAGTTTGCTCAAGAATTTGATATCATCAAGTAGAGCAGCTTTTCCATTCAAGTACAGTATAGTCCCCCTTTTTTCTACCCTTTTAAAGAGGCTTTTGAAAATATTATTCAGAGCTATAATGTAGGAAATCACTTAAAATTACAGCAGAAAAATATCTAAAGATCAAAGTTAAGTACCTTTTTATAGCGTTGCCAAAATATTCAGCATATTTCTGTTTCCTATCATTATCTAAAACACATTTGATTGTTGGAAGACAGCAGTATGATTATATTTCTAGAAATAAAGGGTTTTAATACTTGCTAGGGTTTTTATTCATCGAGCAATTTCAAAATACATCGTAGCCTTTTCCTGTTTAAACTAAATATAAAATAAAAATATATATCATGGAAACGTTACTGTGGAACTTACGGTATTTTAATCTTTATTATTTGTTTTTGCTTATTACATGAATATTGCTTAT
Organism: Homo sapiens; assembly: GCF_000001405.40. NCBI lineage: Eukaryota > Metazoa > Chordata > Mammalia > Primates > Hominidae > Homo > Homo sapiens. Next base: position 74,652,509 of record NC_000018.10, read on the forward strand.
ATTTTCCCCCCATGCTGAGAACTTAAACTAAGGCAGTTAGATGTAAAAATCATGAAGGACCAGCAGAGGGCAATATTATGTTACTCTAACACTTCTACTGGGGTAAGTTTTGTGATTGAAACAATACAAAAGGTTTTCAGGGGTGGGTGCTATATTTTTCTCCATTAGTTTCATATTACAACTTCCCGAGGTGCTTCCTCCCTTGGTCTGAAAAATCAAAACAAAGAACTATTGGCAAAACTTTCCTAAGTCAGAACCAATGCACATAACACAGTTTAGTTTCTCCTTCGGTAAATTACATTTTCTCAGTTTCAGTCACCTCTCACATATAGGGTATGTTAGGTGTTTATAGCTGATCATTAGTGAGTTTGGAATAAATTTAAGCTTGCATTTCAAATCAGTCATATAAGCTATGACTGGACATGTTCCATAAAAACAAGGGAGGTTATTAGCAAAGCTTGCTAGATGTGGATTGGTTGAAAAACGGAAAATTCTAGAGATTTGAAATTTATTAAACAATTTATATTTGACTCCACACCCTATGTTCTGTATTTAGATTTTGTAGAATTCACTGAACATGGTTTGTGTGATGTGACATTTTGTTGAACCAAATTAAGCCTATCAAGATAGCCATAGATGTCTGTGGTAAGGAAATTGATGTCATTGCAGTTCTCTTGGATATATGGTTTTCCAATCAAAATATCTAGTTGCTATGAAGTTTTCTGTTTGGCTATTGTAGATTATGCTGTTTTAGTTGCAGGGATTTCAAGTTGAATCTCTTTAAAAGTTTATTTAAGCGTCATATTCTCAGTTGTCTATATTTTGAGTAACAAAAGAATATTGTGTCCATTAAACCTGCCATTTGCCAACTGAAGTTAGTAATAGTAACTTAGGTTTAAACACCTAGAAAATGATGGGCCTTTTTATGTCTATGGTTTATAAAATTATAATTTTGTAATCTCAGTATATTATTAATATATATTTGCAGAACTATTGTGAAATATTACTAACCATAAAAGTTGAATCTATTTTTGACTCAGATCTTTAGTATAGGGACAATGGGTTTTTAGCAATTAAATGCTAAATATATTTAACATGTATCGATATGCTTATATTTATTGAATCTTCATATATTGATTCATAGTGATTAGTTTCAATTTCAGTAATGTCTTTTACAAAATAGCGATACTACAAACTAACATGTTGGAAAAAAGCTCATGCTTATACATTATTTAAAGCATCAGTAGATTATCAAAAACTAACGTAATTATGCACACTTAGTGTTTCCTTATGATAACTTATTGAAATGATGTATGCTATTTGAAATAAAATGATGATTTTAGCTATTTTTTAGAAAAAAATGAATTGACATTGTTGGCTTATGTGTTATCATGAACATGCTAATATATTATTCATTGGACTCCTTTTTTTGAGTGAAATTTATGTCCATCGATATAATTTTAATGAGTGCTCAATTACAGACTTTTAAGTATCAATACTTCAAAATATTTAGTTTTACATTAGCAATAACAGACATGAAATCGTTGCATTGACAATCGTAGGTCTTGATAATTCAAGGAATAATTCTGCTGCTGATCATTTCTACTAAAAAAGAGAAATTGGTAGTAGGCATACTATTAGAAATTTGTTATTGAAGGACCATTTGAGGAAGTATAAAATACAGGATAATATTTTAATTTCTTGACATCAAGAATGACCTTATTATTTACCAGTAGGTATAGTTAGTCCTATTAGTCTCCCTCTAATCTGATTAAGGCAGTAAACATGGCAGCACCTCTGGCATTTAAGTAGAATTATTATTTTTAATGGTTTTTCTGACAGAAAAATAAAGGCAATGTTTTGGCCAGACTTTAAACAAATTTCTTTGATTTCATTTCTATGAAAATTCTTTCAGTGCCAAACTGAAAAATATAGTGCAAACACTGTGGTTATACCTCTAGTTTATAATTTGGTAACTAAAGGAACTCACTTGCCAGCTAATTTAACTTAAAACTTTTAGTAATTTTTGAATTTGTGTAGCTACATGATTTAAGAATGTGAGACTTTGGAAAAGTAGGATAAGAGACCAAGAAATTTTCTTAATGATAGAAAACTATAAGTAGAAAATTTATATTAAAAATAACATGTTAAACTACTACATAATATATCTTTACAAATTTGAGATCATGAGGCTGATATAACAAATTAAATTTATCTTATATGTAAGATTGTTCATTTTTCTGGTCTGCTATATTAAGCACAAAGAATACTGGTTTCTTAGAAACATATTAAACATTTGCTTTAACTGTTCATTTCCAGTAGATGGCTATAGTTCACTACCAAATTGAAGTTGTAATAGATTTTTTACAGTAACTAAAAAAGAAGATGAAGGTTGAATTACTATAAATGAGTTGCCCTGTACATTTTTCTTATTTCACGTGCTTAGTCATCTAATGTTATTTTTTAAAGAACGTATTTTAAAAATGACTAAAAAGTGGTATTTTACTTTTTCCTCTTTGATCAATGTCTGATAATGCCATTATTTATTTTAGTTTGTTCCAAATAATTTACTCTTAAAATTTCTATATTATGTGACAAATATTTTTAATTATTAAACTGTGTAGAAAATGCATTATTATAAGAATCCTTAATATATTCTGTAAGTTACTGCATCTCTAAATTCAGTCATTTTATTTTAGCCTTTAAGTTGAAACACTGTGAGTCATTAACACTTGTGTTGGCTAAGTTTCATGGCTTCTACTAAGCATTATTTCAAATGCAACACACAAATATACATATATATTAGTATATATGTCCTTCACTAATCTGGATCCACACCTATTTTAGAACATAATTTAATCAAGTTAAAATAATATGGATACAAATTTATTATTTGAAAAAATATACATTACCTTATGGAGTACTTAAAATCTGCCTTGCAACTGGACTGGTATCTATCCACTAGATTATAGAAATCACTTGCACGCATAGCATGGATGATAAGTACCAGTATTGACTCTTATCCCTTATTCATAAATATAACTGTATGATGTCTGAGTAAATGATTCTGAATTTATTGTGTATGTGTGGGTTTTGCATGCAACAAAAAATTGGAAAGGGGCTAAACATTTTCCCCTCTCCTCAGACTACTATGTAATTTGTCTATCTACTTTCAGTGAATATTTGTTTTTCTTTATTTGAGGTGTGTGGGTGTGAGTGCACACACATGCATCTGTTCATGCTCACGTGTATAAAACTGATGTGATTTTTATGTCCTGCAGATATTGGTACAATCAGTCGGTTCAAGGTTTAGCTTGTTTTATTTTACAAATGAAAACGTCGGTTTTGTGTGATACGATGAGACTGCAATATTAGATCCTTTTAAAATCAACTGCCAATTTATATGGCTGGCTACAACTGCTTATTCTATTATTAATAAGCATTTTTGCTCAACTATATAAATTATAAAAATAATGCTAAGATTCTAGGAGAATTTTATATTTATAATTTGTATAAAAATTTTATAATTTCTTGAAGACAAATGAATTACTTTTGTATTTTTTATTGCTGCTTCTGTATACATTTATCATTATAATAGAGGCAGATTAGGAAATGGGCCACAATTGTAACTAATTAAAAGAAATTTTACTCACACATTTGTTAAAGGATAGTTGAAATATTCAGATGCATCTTTGTGAATCAAAGGACTTACAATTCAAAACTTTAGTTAGGTTACTTTACATAAAAATAACTGATTTATTTTTCTAAGACACTAACATATTAATGTGAGGGATTTTTTGGTGTGCAGTTCATTTTTTGGGGGTATATGTTAGCGTTCACATACATACATACGTACATACATACATTTATACACATTAAAAGAAAATCCTTTTTTTGTTGAAGACCTTAAAGGACAAAGGATTTTTGACCCCACCCTGAGACTGTGCAATGTAAGTTTACAAAAGGATCAAGGAGCACAGATTTTAATAATGCAAACAATATTAGTCCTGTCCCCTCTGGCGTCACGAACCTGGACATACTGATTGTATACTTTGATTCTTAAACCATGGAGATGTATGAGATGCCCTAGGGAGCACCTGGCCAGGCTAAGAACATTTCAGTGATTACAAGGATAGTGCCTAGAGGGCAATTAAGGGACAGGGCAGGAGATCTACAGTAATGAGTCCCTGTAGCACCTGATGAACCACAGAAAGGGAAGCAGAGAATTAGGATCAAATGTAGCTGAGTGAGGAAGATTGTTGAGTAATGTATAGATTATTTACCAAGAATAGGATTTTTATACTTTGATATTTATGTAATCAGGCAGATTAAAAAATCCCATCACTTAATGTATTTGACATATCCCTTTAGGTGAATTTAATAATTTAAGTTTTATGAATAAATGCCATTGTTGTTATCCTGTATTGCTTATTACTGTGCTTAATACTGTGTTGTATTGCTTATTACTGTGATATACTTCCTTTGAATGAACATTTTATTTTTCTCCCTATTGAGTTTGTAGGTGTGTTTTTATTTTACTAATATAAAGTAATTCCAGCCAAGTGTTGAACTAGTTTTTTTTTTTTTTTTTAATTTAAGTGTCTGTGTAGTCTTCCTGTTTGCTTACGTATTATTTTTCCATAGTTGTTTGTATCTACAGTGGAAGGCACAGTTTTCTTGATTTAGTTCAAGCCCGTGGAAACTAAAATTGAGGGTAATTTCTTGAAATATTTTTTGTATAATTATGAAAAAATGATAGTAGAAGGAAAATTTTGTATAGTATGTATAATTTACACAGGAGTCTTAAATAGATTTAAAATCAGGTGATTTCACTGCTGAATTTTCTGACTCATCTTTCTTAAAAACAGATTAATGGCATAATACACATATTTGTGTCATTTTCTGTTTGTCCAGAAAATGCATTATTGTGTAGGGAAAAAAAGAGAGAGTGAAAAGGGAAACTGCTTTGAGCGTGAGATTTGATGTGATAAACCTGGTTACTTAACCATTCGTCTCCTGTAGCCCTGCTGTTGTGTACAGGTATTAATGGATGGGCTCTCCTACCTCATTGATCTTTGCGATGGTGTATGCTCAACTATACAGATGAGAGCTGAGAGAGAACTAACTGGCTGTAAAGTGTTCACCTCCACGTTGGTTCCTGGCTTTCTTTCCTCGGCATTGTCTGAATCACTTCTTATACCCCACTGCAGCAGCAGTGTTTACGCTGTACTTGTTCCATGTTCCATCAAATACTGTCGTCCACCCTGGGAGGTCTGCAGTGCTGCTGCTTGCGTGACCACGAGGGGGAGTCAGGGAGTGTCCCTGGAATTCCTCCCCATCCTCTCCTTCCTCCCTGTCTTCTCAGCCTCTTGCTCTCTACTTCTCCTTTTCCTTTCTTCTTCTTCTTCTTCTTCTTCTTCTTCTTCTCCCTCCTTTCTTTTTTCTCTTTCCATTTCCTCCTCTTTCCTTTCCCTCCTTTCCCCCTTTCTTCCTCTCCCTTCCTTTCCCTTCTCTTCTTCATGTGGAACTGAAAATATTATTGCTATCTTACATCCTTCTCCAATTGAACATCACTACAATAGAAGCAGCAGTTGTCTTTATTTATTTATTTATTTATTTTTTGAGACGGAGCCTCGCTCTGTAGCCCAGGCTGGAGTGCAGTGGCATGATCTCAGCTCACTGCAACCTCCGCCTCCCGGGTTCCGGTTCAAGCAATTCTCCTGCCTCAGCCTCCCGAGCAGCTGGGATTACAGGAATGCGCCACCATGCCCAGCTAATTTTTGTATTTTTAGTAGAGACAGGGTTTCACCATGTTGGCCAGGCTGGTCTTGAACTCCTGACCTCGTGATCTGCCCACCTCGGCCTCCCAAAGTGTGGGATTACAGGTGTGTGCCACCGCGCCTGGCCTTCGTCTTTATTTTTTAAAGTTGTTCAGTAGATGTCATATATTTTCCTAACTACTATTTACATAGATATAGGATGGCAAATTTTACAGGTTTAATGGGTAAAGAACTCTTAGAGGGAGTGTGACTACCTAGATGAATACTGGGTTGGGTTTAAAATAAAGAAAAACTGTGATGTGTAAAATGCTCAATATGATTACTAGAAATGATGTATCTAAAAATAACCATAAAATAATTCTTTACAAACTGTTTCAACCTACTTTTGTTTTAATTAGAATAACTCTAAGATTGGGGATATTCCTGAATTGTTTCTTCCTAATTAAAATATATTTAGGAGTGTCTGACTTGGGTTGATGTTACGTGATTTTTTGCTTGGAGTGTTCTCATAAAACCAAGTAGACATTTATTCAACTATGATAGTCACTAACTTTGGCTTAAATATCCGTAAATATATATTTTAGCTTTCTCTAAACTATTAATGTAAATCTCTGAAGGAATTTAAAACATTATATATCTATCTATATATATATTCTTCAGATTGTGTAATTAAAATCTATTGTATACACATGGTGTGTTTTCACTTTTTTTATATTCCATCTAGGGACATGTGAGTGGACATTGGTATTCTCCCCCAGATTTACATTCTCTGGGTATTTAAAGCTCATGGATTTTTTGAAATAGATGAACTACATAGATAACTTAATACTGGTGTGTTTTGGGCTTGCTTTCTGATTTCATAATACGTAAATATATCATTGTGGTTTAGATTTTTATTTTTCAAAGATTGGATTTTGATGATTTCATTTTTATCTTTGAAAATTCTTTTGTGTTTGATGAGATAAATCCATTTCATTTTAATTAAAAATGCTTAACCTATGTAGAGCTGGTTGAACACCATGTAGGATGCTAGTGATTACAGAATCTATGCATATAAAATATATCTATTTATGAAATTGAAAACAATTATGAGGTAAAAAAGATACATTTATGTTTAATTTTGAAATTGACCTTTGACTTCAGTTTTACTTAGCTAAAATTCGTGGCTAAATTTGTATATATCTGAATATTCTAAGAAGTTTGTTTATATAATTGAATGGTAGAATCATCTTAAAATTACCCTGACAATGGTTACTGGAGCTATGGTCTGTGATTGTGCTTGAGAAACAAATAGATAAAACATTTGTGACTCTTTTAATGATTATATTTCTTGATAGCTTTCATAAGAAAGCACATAATTTGTGACAACTTCAGTAAAAAGACACAGCAGCAAAACTTTTTGAGTTAGCGGCAAAGTAAATGGGGCAGGTTTTGCATTTTGAACAGAAATGTTATGAGCTGTGATTGAATTTGTCGTGAAAGTGTGTCAGTATTAATAAAAGTATTTAGGTACAAGTTTTCTGGGCTTTGTAGCCTTTTTAAGGTTAAGGATTGGTTAACGTGAAAAGTCACTTCTGTGCATTTGGTAGTATACAGAAAATGACAAATATATTTCTATGCATTTTGGATTATTATGCCATTTCTTATTTCAAACCCTTTTTGTCAGGACACCGGGCAAAACAATGATGCTTTGAGGACGTAATTAAAGATATTGTTCAAAGAACAACTTTCTGCATATTTGAATTATTACTGTCATCAAAATCATACAAATATGGAAATATGATTGCCAGAAGCACATAAATCAATGATCAGCATGGCCTCAAAATCCAATAAATATGTAGAGTTAAATACTTTAAAATGCAAATTGCATCTGATGATTTGCATATGGTAGAGTTTAAAGGAAATTTGTTGCTTAACAACCTCTAAGGTAGCAGTTAGGGCTGTGGGTAAACATAGATTTTTTTTATTCATCATTGGTCAAGTTGCAAGATTTGATAAATGATGGGAGACTGCTTTTCTTGGTTAAAATGACTGCAATCTTTACTGAATCCTAAAACTGCCTTGAAGTCATCTGAATAATTAAGAGTTAATTATTCTTCATCCATCTAGATCAGAAAAGGACAGATTTAGGGAAGGAATTTATAATTTTTGCCTCACGTCCTGTCATGTCGTAATGTGATAAACTAAACTGACTCCAAGTAATATCTAGTGACCTTATAGTAATTATGCCTCACAAAACATTTTTGTTGCAGTTTTTTAATTGCTTACATCGATTCTAGAAACTACACGTTAGCAGACTTAGAAGTTTAATTGTCTCCAAAGAAAGCAATATAAAATTCATATTCCTTTCCTATGTTTTAAGTTCATCATTGTGGATACACAAAAGCACAGCATATAAGTTTGCATGTGTTCTTTTAGAAATAGCAAGCAATGACTCCTAAAATGTTATTAGGGGAGATTATAGACACACTGGGAAAAATTATTTTAAGAAGTTATTTTGAAAGGGCAATGAATCTTTCTTTACCTATTTTAATTTGAAATATTAAAATAATAAAGCTGTTTCAAGAACTTCATTTTTAAAAATTAATCTGGTGGAGCTGATAATTCTTGCAGATTTACCAATAATGCACATTATTTTAGGAGACTGAAAAAAGGCAACTGAAAGTTAAGAAACAAGCTGTCTCACCACCTCATGCTATTATCTATTAAAAGCGGATGTCATAGAATTCACCTGAAAATCCAGTATCTACGTAGTGAATTTTTTACAAAACGATTTTCTTTGAGATAAGAGTGTTTTGTGAATGTTTACTGATCACAAGAAGAATTGTAATAAAGAAATCAATATGCATGATCCCTTTCCATGTAGTACAACAGGGTTACACTGTTAGGTTAAATACAGGCAGCATTCCTTTTCAAAAAATCAATGTGCTGTGTAGCCTGCAATAGTCAGTCTCTTTGCACAGAGTCATTTTATGTTGTACACACAGTAAATTCTGTATTGGCACCTTCAAATAGTATTGACTTCTAAAAGGCTGTAAGCTTAGTAACCTGACTTTAAGAAGAAAGGCCAAGTCCCTGAATAATAAAATAATTATATATATATATATAATATATTTATAAGCATTTTATATATATGTTATTTCTCTTTTATATTTAATCACATACAAATCATTAAAAAATTCATTACTTGGTTTTCATATTTTAGTAGAAATGCCAAATGTGATTTTAATGAGAAATATAATTTTTATGTTTATTAATGATATCTGTTTAAATTTAAGTGTTTCCACATTTCCAAGTTAGCTGCATTTCTCAAAAGCACATTTTTTTAGGCTAAACAGCAGTTGCTCCTTAATTGAAAAGTTGGAGTAATTTGAAAAGATGAGATTATTCTATAGTTTCTTTGTCACCTGCCTCCATTTTAAATAAAACAAAAACTATTTTAGAGAAAAGTTTACTAAATATTCAAAGCTACTAAGCTATATGCCTAGGGAAAATGTGTGAAAACATGTTTTATTTTTAGATCTCTTTACTCCTCATGCTAAATTTGGCTGAGAGTGCTGCGGCCATTTTGATATAGCTGTTTAATGTAAAAGGCCAGCCCCCTTTTCGTGGCCGTATTTGTTTGAAGTAGTTCTTGATGGGCCCTGCCTCTTGCATTTCTTCTGTCTCCTCAGTTGTGGGACATTCGCGTGCACTCTGATCCAGCTGAGTGCCTGCCATGCGGTGTCTGTGCTTAAATCATAAAGATGGGATTTTTTTTTTTTTTTGGTATGATCAACTGGAATGCAGCAAAGCATTATGCCATCGAGTCTTTGCATTTTTGTGAGGTATATTTATTTTTCCTGGACCCTATTCATTCACTGATTCTGTGAAACCTTTTCTGTTTGCTGCATGCTTCTCACATACGATTTTGTTGTTGTTAATGAATATGCACATTTAAATGGTAACTCAGAAAGGGCTTTAACTTGTTAAATTGTACTCTGACTTTCTAGTAGAGTGATATGATCCATAAGACTAGGAATATAAAATAAGTAGACAAAATATTATAAGTGATTTTGCATTTTAATCCCTCTGTTATCATTATACTATCACTTACATTCATGAAATCTTTATATAAAATGGATGTTGGAGTGCAAGAGCCGATTGCCATGTGAAATGCTTTAAAAATACAACATTAGGCTTGAAATAAGTTCATAAGCATAAGGAGAAATAAGTAGGTTTTAGCTAGGCTGTATATTTACCCATGTTTTAAATGTTTATAGAAACCTCTAATATTTTAAAAATAAATCATCACATATAAAGTGAGTTTACTCTTTCAGAAAAACACTCTTGTAATAGGAACAAAATTATCCAAATAATAGTGTAAACCAAGCCAGGCATAGCAGCAGACAGAAAAATGCATTCAACCAGTAGGATCATGGATTTGTTTGATTCAGATAATTGAAAGTGTTTCATACTATTATTGCAACTTGAAGGCTTGTTTAAGTGTCTAACTGTCAGTCACTTTAGAAGGTGAAAAGTATTCAATTGTCACTCTGTCAGTCAATAGAGATGAGAACTGTCTGCCTAATGGATTTCTTTACATAGATGTCTGCATGGAGGTAGAAGTAAAATCAATGTGTTGTCATGTGTGAGTATGCCGCATCAAACTGCCAGGTGAATTGCAACTGTATTTCTGTAACATCTACATTCTTGTATTGTTTGTAGAAGGCAGACGGAAGCTCTGCATATATAGATATTGAGATACACAAGGTGGAAGCTTGTGTTTGGGGAGAGCATTTTTTGTATCACCTGTGCCCAGGAAAGCAACCATTGTAACCTCTAGAAAGCAACCTAGTTTTTTTTTAAGTAAAAACAGTCTAGTTTTTACTTAAGTTACAATGAATGGGGGACCTTATAAAGGCATAAGGGCATCGTGCTTGGGAACGTCCATTTTAGATGCTTGTCCCCGGGTAGCTCTTATTTATGTGTACCACATCTAAAACCAAATAACACTTCTGTATTGAAAGTTACCTACAGTAGTGGTTTCATTTTTTAGTAAAAGTATTATCAATGTCTGGGATAAGGACATAAAAGGCAAGTTTATCACATTTTTAATGACAGAAACCTGGGAGGGATATATCATAGAGTAGATGACCATTGTGATTTAAAATTATTTTTAGAAAAATTTGGGGCCGAAACTAAGGAAAGAGTAAATGTAAGGTCCTATATTTCAACTCAGAACATCAATTAAGAATAGAACGCAGGTCCCGGCTCGACACCACATATTACGTGTGGGGAACTGGGAAATTTCACGATAACAAACTGCGCATTTAGGATAATATTTCAGGAGTTTAAAGGCCTGCTGCATTTTGCTGTGTTCAGATAATGCCTAAAATAATTCAGCCAATTCTTGGAATGTCATAAGAACTTCAGCTAATTAGAGACCGTACCAAGAAGGTGACAAGATGCTGGAAGAACTCACATCAGATGAAGATCTATTGAGAGATTTTAGAGAGGACCGAGAGGATTAGACAAACGGAGGTACACACCGTCATTGCATCTTTGAGACTTTAAAGGCCTGTCATAGGCAAGAAGGAAACGTAAATTTCCAGATGACCAAACTACGGCCTGGACCCGGAAGGTAGAGAGACGCTGATGCCTGCAGTTCCACATAGCAGGAACTTTTGAACCATAAGATGCTGTGCCACAAACTATAACTGGAAATGTTTGTGCAGAGGCCAGATTAGAAGCTGTTAGCAAGAAGTGCAGGAGGACAAGTTGGCCAGGTGCAGCTCGCCATTCCCAGATCTGGGAATTGCATGGCCAAGTAGTGTGTGAGAAGACCAGCTTTGGGGCCTGCAGCAGGCTATACACTGCGTCTGTTCCAGTGAATACCATTTAACCAACGACAGCTATCACCACAGTCTCTTAAAAGAAAGGACATTTTTTGGCTGGGCGTGGTGGCTCATGCCTATAATCAGCACTTCGGGAGGCCGAGGCGAGTGGATCACCTGAGGTCAGGAGCTCGAGGCCAGCCTGGCCAACATGGTGAAACCCCATCTATACTGAAAATAAAACATTAGCCGTGGTGGCAGGTGCCTGTAGTCCCAGCTACTAGGGAGGCTGAGGAAGGGGAATCACTTGAACCAGGGAGGCGGAGGTTGCAGTGAGCCGAGATTGTGCCACTGCACTCCAGCCTGGGCGACGGAGTGAGACTCCGTCTCAAAAACAAACAAACAAACAAACAAAAGGACATTTTTCTATGCCCAAACCACTTCACACATGAAGTATTTTAGTCACTTTAAAAAAGTGACTTTAAATCCAATGGCTGATTTCTAAAATAGTGCTTAATAAGTTGAAGAAATAGCCTTAAAAATCCTGGTATTGGTGATTGCTTTTTCCCCTTCTGCTGCTCCTCCAGCTGTCTCTCTGTCTCTCTCTCTCTTTCTCTCTCTTTTTTTTTACTTTCTGCATTTCTTACCCTCTCTTATAGCATAGAATCCCAGTGCATCTGTTTTTGGCGCTGCGTATCTGTGTGTTGCTGCTCATTAGCACCAGGCAGTAGGAATAGACAAGATCATGCCCTGTTCACAGAAAGGAGCCTGGTTGATTGAGTGCAAAATTTCAATTTTGGTGTAGAAAGATCAGGAGACCTCGGTTTATTGAGCCTAGGCTTGAGTTCGGGTTCTGCCAATTTCATGTAATTATAAGATCCCAGCCACTTTATTTCACCAGGTTTCACCTCTGCTTTCTCCTCCGCAATAAGGAGATTGTTCAAGGAGTAAATCATAAAAGGATTTGAATTATTTAGCACTTTGCTAAGCAAATAGTGAACAGTAAATTCATTTTTTTCCTGCCTATTGTATTTTTAAGTTTTTCCTCTGTTAGTGTTAGTTTGGCTACACAGAGCAGAAATACTGATGTAAAGTGGCTTTAGTGTACATTTATTTCTAGCTCCCATAAAATAATTGTGGAGTTACTCAGAGTTGGTCTGGTGCTTCTTAGTGTTATTAGAGATCATTAGCCATCTTTCTGCCCCACTGCCCTCAGAGCAGGGCCTTCACTTTCCACATTATCTCATGGTCCAAGGTAGCTGCTGGGGAACCAGCTATTGTATCTGTGTCCTTGGCTGAGAGCATGGTGGTGGGGCAGGGAAGCGATCACCTTCCTCCCTTAAAAGAGCCCATGTGAGAGTCCCATACAATACTTTGGATTACAGTTCATTGACCAGAGCTGAGTACAAGTTACAGTGGTGATGAGAAATACGTGTTTTGGCTGGTCACATTGCGCAAGTTTCAGTTACTAGAAAGGAAGGGGAGAATAAAATTGGTAGGCACCTTATAGTCCCTGCCATCTTCTTAATGTAATGTCAATTTTGAATTTTTTGTTGTGATATATGATGCATAAGCAAACCGTGTACTGCTTAGAGAAAAATAAACTGACACCTGTGTACCCACAGTGCACTTCAGGAAGTGCGCCGTTCTACGCCTTGGAAGCCCCCACATGCTGCCACCCAGACTCACCTTTCTTTTTCTTCTCACCTGTAACAACTGTGTGACTTCTTATGTATTAATCATTCACTTGGTTTTCTTCACAGCTAACCATCTAGGTATATATTTGTAAATTATGGTATTTAGTTTTGAGAATCTGAGTAGCAAGCACATACATAATGTTTAAAGAGAGGGCAACGTTGCCACCGTTAAATGAAGGCTCCCAGGAGGAAGTACCTTGAAGAGCCCTAGTGGTGACCTGGCCCTGGCTTGCCTGAGAATGGAAGCCAGCTCAGACAAGTTCCAGAGCAGGATCCGAAGGTGCATGGTGACGTGGTGCAGTGGGAGCCTCAGCCTGACTGCTGTGTGCACGCCCCGCAGAAGCATAGGTTGGAGGGTGAGGGCGCTCTGTGTGCCCTGTGTGCCCCGTTTTCAGACTCGCCATTGGCTACCATCAGCTTGCAGATTAGGTAGGAGCAGGACATTTCTGTGGGCCAGGTGAATGTCTTGAGCTTCTACAGGCAGCAGCCAGTGGAGGGGAGGGCAGGATGTAAGAGTCCAGACAGGCCGGGGACAGAGAAGTGGGTGGGCCCGAGGTTCCTGGGCACTCTGTGTTCAGGTAGAGAGGAAAAGAAAGCCACGTGGGACTTGTGGTGACGAAAGCCTTATTCCCTCCCTTGCTTATCACACTGCCTCCATGGAGCCCAGTTGCCTTCCGTGTCTGGAGCTCCTGTCTCCTGTATCCTCCCGCTCTGCTTTGTTTTGATCCTTGGTTTACCTCCTTTGGATGGAACTATCCTTCAGTGAGTTCAGAATAGGCACACAGGAAGTAAGCACCTTGAGACTGAGTATGTCTGGAAATGCCTTCATTCTCCCTTCCTAGTGGGTTGATAATTTGGTGGTGTGTTAATTAGTTAGCTCTTGCTGGGTAACAAACTCCCACAAGCTGACAGCTTACCACGCACCCAGTTCTGTAGGTCAGAAGTCTCGGCATTGAGGCTCAGGTGTGAAATGCGGTTTCTGAATGTTGGGTTTCCTGTGAATTACATATCATAAATCTGGGAACTGGCTTCATAAAGATGCTAAATTGTATGTTGGAACCCTGTTTCCCAACACACTGAGCTGTGTAGAGGTCCTGTTTTTGGTCACAGAATATTTCTGTGTGAGTCTCGTATTGCTTCAGACTGAGTTGAGGCAGTTGTCCGCCCCGCCTTCATCTTTTCCCCAGGGTTCTGCTTTCTGCTTTTGTGGGCAGCTGTGTCTCAGTTGTCTCAGTCTTTCCTACTTTCTCTACTTTGTCCATCACATCTTGTCACTTGATGATCTGTTGGTGCCTCACAAGTTCAAATGTCTTGAACTGTTTCTGCACCCTCTACCTGTGTCCAGCTCTCGTCACACCCTTCTCCACCTGCGTCTGTGCTGGGGCTGCTGCCTCTGCTCCTCGTCTGTTTCCAGTGTGTGGAGTCCGGTGTGCTGACTGTTGGTGGTCACTCAAACTGTGCTTTTGCCATTGCCGATCTTTGACTGCAGAAACTAAAGTGCTTTTCATTTGTGTGTTACAGTAGGTCTAAAATATTCTGCCAATTTTAATTGGCCTCCAGTTTCCAATAGTACATACAGCTTTAATAACAAAATGAAAATCATAGTCACAGGTACAGTCCCAGGTACAGTGCTTTTAATGATAGACAGTTTATGGTAACAATGACAGCAGCAGCTGTTGCTTTTACTGAGCATTTCTGATGTCAGGTTGCGTACTCGTCTCTTATATGTGTTACTGCACTTAATCCTCACAGCAGCTGCATATGGTGGGCACTACTATCTCTAGATTAGAAGAATGGAAACTCAGACTTAGGATAAGCGACATGACCAAGTGTGCTTGTAGCTCATTGAGGCCGGGATTCTACTCCAATTGTAAAGCCCATAGGTCTCCCCATCTAAGGTCGTCTTGACAAGGTGTGGTCAAACCCTTTTATGAACTGTGGTAATAGGCCAGGTACATGGGACATGCAGGCTTCCATATAGTTACAAAGGGTAGCGAGAAAGGATCATAGTACACATACATCTGAAGGGGCCATTTTCAGTTTTAGGGAGTTACTTTGTTTTTGATAGAAACAAATCATGGTTTAAGTGCTCTAAACTGAAAGATTTTTTTTTTACCTTGAATGTGTTATTTTTTACAATTTTGTTTACTTTGAGAAATTCACTGAAGCAGAGTTTAGGAGAGTGCTTACCTTGTTCCTTGCAGTTAGCATCTGTGTTCCTTCCTGTACTTTGGAGCTGACCAGTTCATCCGTATGGGTAGAGCATCCCTAACCCAAGAACCTGAAGTCCGAAATGCTCCAAAATCGGAAGGTTTCTGAGTGCCAATATGACACCACCCGGGGAACATTTTCCACCTAACTTCGCTGGACTGGTTGCAGTCCAGACACTGTCCAAACTTTGTTTCGTGCCCAAATTTACTTTGCATAATGTGTGAAGTTGGCTTCAGGCTATGTGTATAGGTATTTGTGAAACATAAGTGAATTTCCTGTTTAGACTTGTGTCCTATTTCCAAGATACCGATATATCTTATTATGTAAGTACAAATATTCCGAAACTGGAAAACATATGAAATCTGAAGGGATACTCAGCTTGTACTAAAAAATAAATAATTTCTATTTTCTTGAAGTTTATACCTAATGAATTGTTCTGTTCATCACAGTTACGTCTCCACAGCCTTTAAAGTTTGCGTGTATAACCCAGTGTTCAGAGTGTTTCTACATCTGTATTTATACTCAGAATTTCCAAAATGGCTTTTCTGCTTTGTCGAGACCGTTTTTCTTACTGCTCCCAAATGTAATTTCCTTGTTTTTAATAAACTGGTATTTGTTTAGCACATTTTAAGCACCTAGCACTTATTATAGACTTAGAATGGATGAGATTTACAGTTGAAGTAGACAGTGTCATGCATGAATATTGGATCTTTATACGTTGTTAATGACTTTTTTCATGTTGATTTCTCTGCATGTGAAGTATCTTTTTGAGGGCTTTGCTGAAGATTCTTGATGTATTTTCAGTTTCATAGAACTTAGGTGTTTCTGTGTTGGCTTAGTATGTATCATTATCCATTCATTTTAGTTCTGAGTGTTTGATGTGTTTAGGATATATCATTAAAAAAAACCTAAGTCTCTGTTCTCATGCGTGTCACGTTCTGGTGTGCTTAGCTCCACTGGCCATGATCTTATTCCATGCTTGTTCCGGGAGCACACGTTCCCTCTACCCAGGCACACTGGAGCTGCCTTGTGAGGAGCCCCGTCATCACTGTCTCTCTGTTGTCTTTCCTACTTCCTGAACCCTTGACTCAGGTGGTTGGCGTCCTCATCCACAGTTCTCACTGACCTCTAAGCTCCAGGAAGGCAGATCTCACCTCTAAGCCTTCACATCCTTTGCTGTCACGCTTGTGCCCACAGGTTTCTCATTGGCTTTGGTCAGCCATGTGCCAGTGTAGACAGAAAGCCTGGTCAGAGGACTCGGCTTTCTGACCAGGGGCCTTCCCATGGGGCCTTCCCTGCATATGGGGTAGGACCCCATGGAGAAGGGCTGCTCCTCTCTCCTTCCTGCTTTCCTCTGCCTCCTTCCTTTCTTCCTCAGTGGTCCTATGGATCCACTACCAGCGGTGGTGGGAAGGTACTCCCCCACCCCTCCACCTCCATTCTTAGGGTAGCGTTCCCAATCACGGTGTTTGCCTTTCTCTCAGGCTCTCCTTTTGGGGGCATCCAGTGTAGAGACCATTTGTTGTTTTGTTTGCTGTTTCATCATATGCCTGGTACTTAGTAACTACTTGGAAGTTAGTTATTGACCAGGGGTTGGACAATGGTGCCTCAGTGTTTCTGTGTTTCTCTGGCTCTCCACCTCCTCCAGCTGAGCCTGCAGCTTGTGTGCCTGGCCTGTGGCACGTGCTCATCTCTGTGAAGTGCTGACCTGGACCTGGACGAACTGCATCTCTGTTTTTAGTCCTCTCAGGTTAGCCTGGTTAGAGTAGAATTTTCAGAACGCTCCTTGTGGGGAAAAAAAGAAGTAAAGTTGTTACAAAAATAATTGAAAAACATCTAAAGAATTGTGCAAAGTAGAATTCTCTTTTTTGAGGCTCAAACACAGTTTTTAGATAATTTAATTGACAAAACCCGTAGACTCCCTGTCCTTTTTCCTCAACCCTCTCTGAGGAGAGCCCATTCTGTGAGAGAGCGATAGCTTCAGGCTTAGTGGGATCTTCTCCCACAGCCTAATTTCTGATGTTCTCTGTAGTCTGACATGTAGTCTTTATTCTGTCCCAGGACTACAGTGATAGGAACCAAGTAACATGTTCACATCACCAGAGTCTGATCACCGTGCCAGGCATTGGGGAATATTTTTGAGGGAGTTCCTGACAGTTGGACTGGATGACATTAAGATTTTTTCCAACACAAAGATTCTAGGATTCTGTGTTTTTATAACCCCCAGTTAAGACCAGGATGCTCTTGGACTTAGATTAACATGTTTATTTAGTTTAAAGAATCGCATCATTATTTTCTTAAAAAATTGGTGGAAGTTAGATGATTTAATGTAGCATATAAATAAGAGCACAAAATTGGATGTCTGAAAGATCTTAGGTTAGATCCCATCTCCAGCACTCATTAGGATAGGCTTGGGATGAATCTGCATGGATGATATGATTCGAATAAGCAACTGCTTGAAAAGAACAAAAATTCACAGCTTTTAAGACTAGTGAATACATGGTTCTTCTAAGTAGATGTTTATATCTCTAAGGAATAAAAAACTATTCCAAAAAATAATTATTGAGTCCTGTTATGATTCTGCTGTGACTTAGGATAAGGAAATAGAGGGTTTTTAAATATATTTAATTATGGTAAAAGATGCATAACATAAAATTTATCATCTTTACCATGTTTTATTTTTGAGACAGAATCTGTGTGTGTTGCTTAGGCTGGAGCACGGGGGCATGATCATAGCTCGCTGCAGCCTTTAACTCCTGGGTCCTGCCTCAGCCTCCTAAGTAGCTGGGACTATAGGCATGTGCCACCACATCCAGCTAATTTTTAAATTTTTCATAGAGATAGGGTTTTGCTGTGTTGCCCAGGCTGGTCTCAGACTCCTGGGCTTAAGCATTCCTTTCATTTCTGCTTCCCAGCTTGCTGGGATTACAGGCGTGAGCCACCGCTGTGAGCCCATCTTGACCATTTTTGAGTGTGCGGTTGCACTAAGTACGTTCCCATTATTGTGCAGTCATCACCACTGTCCATCTCCAGAACTCTTTTTATCTTGAACAACTGAAACTCTGTACCCGATAAGCCCTGAGTGCCCGTCCCCACCTCCCCACAGACACTGGCAGTCACTGTTCTCTATTTTCTTTTTCCATACATTTGTCAATTCTAGGTGCCTCATGGAAGTGGAGCCATACAGTATTTGTACTTTTGTGACTGGTGTATTTCACTTAATGGGATCTCTTTAAGGTTGGTCTGTGTGTCAGAATTTCTTTTCTTTTTAAGGCAGAATAATATTCTGTTGTACGGATGGACCACTGTTTTTTTTTGTTTTTTTTGGCCATTACAGGTAAGTTATTTTTATATTTTTAACTTTTAGGTTACGGGGTACATGTGAAGGTGTGTTATATAGTTAAACTCATGTCACGGGGGTTTGTTGTACATATTATCACTCTGGTATTAAACCTAGTACCCAACAGTAGTATTTTTTCTGTTCCTCTCCCTCCTCCCACCCTCCACCCTCAGGTAGGCCCCCAATGTCTTTTGTTCCTTTTTTTGTGTTCCTGAGTTCTCATCATTTAGCTTTCACTTATAAGTGAGAACATGCAGCATTGGGTTTTCTGTTCCTGCTGCGTTAGTTTGCTAAGGATAATAGCCTCCAGCTCCATCCATGTACCCACAAAGGACATACATGATCTCATTCTTTTTTATTGCTGCATAGTATGCCACAAAATCCCTTTTGTGTGCTGTGAGGAAGCATATTCACAGGTTCTGGGCACTGTGATGTGGACACCTTTGGGGGTTCATTGTACTGCCTCCCACAGACAGTGTGCTTGTCACATTTAGATCACCCATGCATTTCTTTGGGACCATAGCTTGTCAGTACGTATTTATTAAAGGGTTAGCTTTAGTAGAAAAATTCTGGTGTAGATGTACACGTTTTCTTTATCCAGTCTGTCACCCATGGGCATCTAGGTTGATTCCATGTCTTTGTTATTGTGAATGGTGCTGCAGTGAACATTTGTGGGCATGTGTCTTTATGGTAGAGTGGTTTATAGTCCTCTGGGTATATACCTAGTGATGGGATTGCTGGGGGGTAGTGCTGATTTTAGCTCTTTGAGGAATTGCCACACTGCTTTCCACAATGGTTGAACTAACTCACACTCCCAACAGTGTATAAGTATTCCTTTTTCTCTGCAACCTCCCCAGCATCTGTTATTTTTTGACTGTTTAATACAGTTATTTGACTGATGTGAGATGGAATCTCATTGTGGTTTTTATTTGCATTTCTCTAATGATCAGTGATACTGAGCTTTTTTTTAACATGCTTGTTGGCTGCATGTACGTCTTCTCTTGAAATGTGTCTGTTCGTTGGAGCACTGTTTGTTCATTGGAGCAGTGTTTGTTTGTTGGAGCACTGTTTGTCCGTTGGAGCACTGTTTGTCTGTTCATTGGAGCACTGTTTGTTCATTGGAGCACCGTTTGTCTGTTCGTTGGAGCACTGTGTCTCTGTTCGTTGGAGCACCGTTTGTTCATTGGAGCACTGTTTGTTCATTGGAGCACTGTTTGTTCATTGGAGCACTGTTTGTCTGTTTGTTGGAGCACTGTTTTTCTGTTCATTGGAGCACTGTTTATTCATTGGAGCACTGTTCGTCTGTTCATTGGAGCACTGTTTTTATCTGCTCATCCTTGGGTCCTTGGGTTGCTTCTACTGCTTGGCTGTTGTGAATAATGCTGAATAGCTTTCTTAAAGGAGAAAAAACTTTGGGAAAGTAAATATTTTTTAAAACATGTTTTGATCACTTTTAATGAACCTATAATACCTGCAATAAAAAAATGAAAATATACAGACATTTAATTTGTGCTCCCTACCCATTATGTTCTTCGATCAAGCCTCTGTTAGATTATGGTATGAGAAGAGTAGTAACAGAAATTATGATGGATTCTTACCTTCTTTCCTAATATGTGTTACTGACTTTTTTTGTGTGGCTATTCTGCATGCATTGGAAGAGACGAAGTTAGTATTTACTGGGAGGTGCTGGGTATTACAATGGCTGCTATCTCTTAAATTATCCCATTTAAATTATTTCAGGTATTTGCTTTCTGCATTCAATTGACAGTAAGTGAAGACTCTATGCCTTATTGGTACTGACAGGATGGCATAAGGCAGTGTATCAGTTTCCTGCTGCTGCTGAACCAGATGACCACAAACTTAGGCCTTAAACAACACAAGTTTATTATGTTATAGTTCTGGAGGACAGAATTCTGAAGTCAGTTTCACGATTTTAACACCAGTAGGAATCAAGGCGTCAACAGAGTTGGTTTCTTCTGGAGCTCTAGGGCTCAGTCCACTTCCTTGCCCTTTCCAGCTTGTCCAGGCGTTTGTGCTCATTGGCTAGGGTCCCCTGAAATCTCTCTGGTTGTGACCCTACTCTTCCCTCTTTCACTCATAAGGACCCTTGTGATTACATTGTGTCTGCTAGGATAATCTGGGGCCGCAGAAGAGCAAGATCCTTAATTTAATCGCCTCTGCAGAATCCCTTTTGTGTGCTGTGAGGAAGCGTATTCACAGACTGTGGATACTGTGATGTGGACATCTTTGGGGTTCATTGTACTGCCTCCCACAGACTGTGCTTTTCACATTTAGATCACCCATGCATTTCTTTGGGATGATAGCTTGTCAGTAGGTATTTATTAAAGGGTTAGCTTTAGTAGAAAAATTCTGTGTTAAACATACACAAGTGCACACACACACACATTTCTTTGTTTCACTGTAATTTAAATATCTCTGCATTTTGTATTCACCTTTGTATCTATGATTCATTGTTATTTACTTAAAGTTTTACAACAGCGTACATAGGTAAATTGTTAGTTAAAACACATGGTTCTAAATATTTACATATATCATCAAAGCCCTCTGACCTACCATTTAAAGAAGCTATTAATGTATTCTAGAAAATATGTACCTATAGTTTTAAAGGTATAAGCAATGCTCACAGAAGCTAAAAATCTTCTGTTACACATGGATTTAATGAAGAACTAAGTATGATGCATTTTACGATTATTTTAAGTTTTGATGCTTCGTCTCATTAATATGGAGATTTAACTAGTTTTGTTTATTTCTGGAAAATCTAAGGCTTTTGTTTTTAACCCTTCCATGGTTGCTACCTTCACTCCCTCACCACTTAATGTGTCCTTTCTCAGGCCTTTGCCTGCCACTCCGCTGAAACCAGTGCTGTGCTGGAGCTGGAGCATATGGCTGTGGTGGCTCGTGAGAACCACTTGTTAGAGATCCAGGACTTTATAGCTTGAAATTGGGAGTGCTGACATCATGAAAGTTGTCAAAGTTTGCAGATCAGGTCCCTACCTCTGTCATCCTGTAGCTGGTTTACAGCCCACTGTTCTCTGAAAATATATTAACACATTACCAAATATCTTCATCTTACCAAATTCTCTGTTATCAAGTGGTCAATGATCAATACCTTTGCCCACTTTGTCCTTAAAATACTTTTTTCATGGCTTCTCTGACACCATAGTATCCTGGTATTATTTTGGTTTTGTTTATTATATCTCTCTTTGTAGTCTTATTTTCTGCTTCTTCACTACCTCTACCACTATCTCTACCTAACTTGTAAATGTTGAACTACCCCAGGGCTTGGCTCTGGGATCCATCCCTTGTCTGCTTACACCAGGGATTAGTAAACTTTTCTGACAAAGGCCAGATAGCTCTATTCCTCTAGTGAAACAGCAATAGGCAATGTGTAAATGAGTTAGTGTGGCTATGTTTCTGCTTACGAAGATGGGTGGCTGACAGGATTTGGCTGAATGTTGTAGTTAGGTAATTTCTGATCCATACCCCCTCGCTGGGTAGTGTCCATTAATAACATGGCTTTAAAAAGTGTCTCTGTGACTAATCACCAAATGTATATCTCTAGTCTTGAGTTTTTTTCTTTGGGCACCAGACTTGTGCATTTTATTGCTTATTTGAAATGTTGGTTTGTGTTTTCTGAAGATGTCTCAAACTTAATATGGTCCAAATAGAATCCCTTATTTGTGTCCCAAAACTTTTCTTGCATTTCCTGTCACTCTCTACTCACTAACTGCTCACTACTCTGTTGGCCTTATCTGTCCCTTGAAGTTGCCAAGCATGTTTCTGCCTGAGGGGCCTTTATACTTATGCTTTCTCTGTCTCTGCTGGCTCTTTGTTAACATTTGGGTGTAGGTTCAGTTGCCTTTTCTTGACCAGCCACTCATCACTTAACCTCTTATGTTTCTTCATAGATCACTTACCGAAAAAGTACTTTGTATATTTATTTCCTTCTTTATTGTCAGTCTCTCCCACTTGAGTGTAAGTTCCTTAAGAGTAAGAACTTTGTGCATTTTCCTTTCTTTAGCCTCTTAAGCAGTATCCTCCCTCATAGTAAGCTTCACTTACTGTTTGTGGCGAATGAATAAATGAATGTATTTTTTATGTGTTCCAGATATTGGGAAGAACACACAGAGACAGGCATCTAAAATAAGTAGTAGAGTCAAACAAAGAAAAGTAATATAAAGCAGAGTATTGTAAGAGGACGTGTAAAAAGGAGAGAAAGCTTTCTGTCTTTTCTGTGCTGTCTTTCCTTTTTTGCCTTTTATTGCATAGCTTTTCTGATTTTAGTTCCTGTTACGCTGTTAGCTTTGAAGTTATATACCCTTTTTGGTTTTAATGGTTACCCTAGCAATTACACCATTATCCTTGACTTATCCATGTTTAATATTAAGTGGTACTTTTACCCTCTTTCCGACAATTCGAGGATCTTGAACACTTGAATCCCACTCATTTCCCTCCCAGTGACTACACCATTGTTATCAAGCATTTAACTCTGTAGACCTTTCAAACCTATAGACGTTTAAAGCCTTCATTGTTGTTGTTTTCCTATTAGAATTTTTATTTTATATATAAAAAAAGTTGTTTTACACATCATTTAGGTAGTTTAAAAATATATTATGCTTCTGCATGTATAAAAAGAAAATAAAACAAGTCTACATTCAAGTTCTACTACTTCTGAATCACTTTTCAACTTACATTTTTTTGATGCCTGTGCTTCCTCTTAGAATTTTTTTTTTTTGGAGATGGAATCTTGCTCTGTCACCCAGGCTGGAGTACAGTGGCACGATCTCGGCTCACTGCAAACTCCACCTCCTGGGTTCAAACGATTCCTCAGCCTCAGCCTCCTGAGTAGCTGGGATTACAGATGCATGCTGCCACGCCCGGCTAATTTTTTGTGTTTTAGTAGAGACAGGGTTTCACTGTGTTGCCCAGGCTGGTCTCAAACTCCTGAGCTCAGGCAATCCGCCTGCCTTCTCCTTCCAAAGTGCTAGGATTATAGGCATGAGCCACTGTGTCCCGGCCTAGAATATTGTTTTCTTTGCCACCAAGAGAATGGGTGATATAGCATTTTTTTTTTTTTTTTTGAGACGGAGTCTCGCTCTGTCACCCAGGCTGGAGTGCAGTGGCGGGATCTCGGCTCACTGCAAGCTCCGCCTCCCGGGTTCACGCCATTCTCCTGCCTCAACCTCCCGAGTAGCTGGGACTACAGGCGCCCACCACCGTGCCCGGGTAATTTTGTATTTTTAGTAGAGACGGGGTTTCACCGTGTTAGCCAGGATGGTCTCGATCTCCTGACCTCGTGATCTGCCCGCCTTGGCCTCCCAGAATGCTGGGATTACAGACGTGAGCCACTGTGCCCGGCCAGTATTTTTTAAAAATAATGATTCACTATGTCTTTGGGGTATTTTTCCAAGCCACTGACACTCTTGTGAGGGCTTATAGCGTAATCTGAAAGATTATCAGTTTATCCAAGAAACTGTCTTTTTGTCTTTTCCACAGTTTAGTAAAATGGACAAAACAGTTACCTTCATGGCACTCGGGAGCAGAGGCTGACTGAGCAAGGCAACAAGGCCACTGCCCCCGTCTTCCCTCCTTCTGCCCTCTCCTCTTCATCCTTTCCCCACCTTTTTATCTTGGAGATTTTGGACCCCTGCAGCTGGGACTGTTGTTTTTTCTGGTAATATTCATTTACATTTACCCATGTGTTTGTCCTTTACTTTCTTCTATTTTTCTTTTTTGAGATGGAGTCTCACTGTGTCACCCAGGGTGGAGCACAGTGGTGCAATCTTGGCTCACTGCATCCTCCGCCTCCTGGGCTCAAGCAATTCTTGTGCCTCAGCCTTTTGAGTAGCTGGGACCACAGGCATGTGCCTGCACACCAGGTTAATTTCTGTATTTTTTGTAGACATGGGGTTTCACCATGTTGGCAGGGCCGGTCTCGAACTCCTGACTTCAAGTGATCCACCCACCTTGGCCTCAGAAGGTGCTGGGATTACAGGCTTGAGCCGCCCTACGGGGTCATCTTTTAATTTATTCTAAATCTTTGAGGTATTTGTGATAGAATTCCTTCTGCCCTCAAAATATTCTTTTATATTTTGATTTATATGTTCCTTGGGTGATGAGTTTATCTCATGTTTTATATTTGTCTGATAGTATTTTCTTTTTTTTTCCCCTCAACTTCCTTTTGAATGATATGTTTGCTGGATACAGATCTCTGCACCTAGAATTTACATAGTTGTCGCAGAGACCTAAAATACTTTAGGCAAAACTTAAAATACTTACCCTCTGTTTCTTTTCAGATACAGTTTACCAATCTCAGTCCTTGAACTTTTTTAAAATTGTTATTTTAAAGTTTGTTTTTGATAGTTCCAATATTGAAGCCCCTTTGGGTCCATTTCTATTGCCTGTTGTTTCTCTTGAGTTTTGTTGATTTTTTTTCTCTCATTTTATGCTGGCCATTTATTTATTCGAGACGGAGTTTCTCTCTGTTGCCTAGGCTGGAGTGCAGTGGCCGATTTTGGCTCACTGCAACCTCTGCCTCTTGGGTTCAAATGATCCTTATGCCTCAGCCTCCCAAGTAGCTGGGACTACAGGCACATGCCACCATGCCTGGCTAATTTTTGTATTTTTAGTAAAGATGGGATTTCACTATGTTGGCCATGCTCATCTTGAACTCCTGACCTCAGGTGATCCACCCACCTTGGCCTCCCAAAGTGCTGGGATTACAGGCGTGAGCCACTGCACTCGGCCTCGTTATTTATTTTTTTAATGTCATGGACATTTTGTTAGCAGAATCATTACAGTAATAACTTGAGATCTTCTTCCAGTGAGGATTTATGTTAACTTCTGCCAAGTAGCTGGGGGTATTAGCAGTTTAGGATCATCTCAACTGTATTGCATATATTAGTACAGTTTGAAGCTGGGCAGGACTTTGAAGGCCCATTTACTTCTGCATTACCCTTTTACTCTTAGAGTACATCTCTTTGGGTTTCAACCTAATGTACATTGGGCTCTTAGGATAGCTTCTCCCTTTCCTCTCCTTCCAGGCCCCCACATTGGCCTGCCTGCAACCCCATTTTCTGCGCACCTAGGCCCTGATGGCTGTTAGAGGTACCCATCAGCCTGCTGGCTGTCCTCTCTGAAGTGGCAGAACCCTTAGGAAAAAGGCAGTTCAAACGTCAGTTTATCTTCATGATTTTCTTTGATTTTGCCCAGATCCTGGCCACATAATTTCTCACCTTTTTGTTAACTCTTCAGTGTCTTCAGTCACACATTTTAAATAGTTTCTTCAGTGTTTCTAGCTGTCCTCAGCACGAGGGTTGGTCCAAATTGCCTCGTTTGAAATTAACAGAAGCTCTTGTGCAATTTAAACTTACACAAATTCCAGTATTTTGGAAATCTGACTTAATTGTGAAATACAGTTTTCAAATGTTAAGTAGAATAGAAAGTTACCTTTCTTTTGGTGGATGAGAAGTTGGGTGAATACAAACTAAAGTAGATATAAATATTATATGTATTTACAGGATGGCAGACCAGGTGATTGTGTTTAGGAATACTTAAACAAGTGCTGTTGGTAAGCTATATAGTAAAATGGGCCCACCGAGAGATGCAGAGGAGAAAATTTCAAAGCCTGTTTACACCAAGTTCTGGAAAATGATGGGTAGAGTAGGAGATGGGGAAATAATCTGTGTGGGGACTCAGCGGTTAAAAAAACCATACCCTCTTTTATTGTCAGCTAAAAGAATAGTCTTTGCAATGACCTCATTAACTGATTGACTAAAAATTGTATTAGAACCAAGGGCACAGGAAACGTTAATTCTAGTTCTAGTTTTCTGAAAAACGTAATTGCCATCCAGAAATGACTAACGCTTAAAAGTTTCAGTGGCATAGTCCTACTGTCCTTGTCTGAGCTTTAGGCCCATTTGTTTTACCTACTCAGTGTTTATATTGTGATGTCTTACTGCATTTCAAACTGGACTTGTCCAACATGATCCCGTTCTCTTTCTAGTACTGTACACATCTTGTCAGCAAGTGTATGCTTCTGTACGGGGTGAAGTCTGATTCTCATTTGTGTCTTCAATCACTAGAGCAGTTGCTGGCATGTAGTGGGCATTCAGTAAGTGCTTATTCATTGCATGCATTGAAAAATAATTGAAAGGTTTCTCAGAGACCACTGAGGTTTCTTTTAATGGTGACATAATCTCTTCTTCTGTATCCTCAAGTATCTGCTTAGTTTTTGCTAGATTAGGAATTTGTTACCTCTTAAGGCAGTCCATTCTGTTTTTCAATTATTTCTGATAGTTTTTCCTCACACACAGTTGCTTCTTTGCATCTCCCCATCATATATCTTTTGGTGTGTACACTCAGGAGTTACACAGGACAAACATAATTCCTCTTCTGTAGGATGATCTTGTGAATACTTGAAGTTGGTTGTTACCCACTCTAACCCCACAGTTGTCTGTTTTATAGATTGTATGTTTCAGATCATCAGTGGTTCTTCATGTGGCATGGCACTTGCCCTGTTATGCTTTCATCTCCCTTGGGAAGGGTTTGTTTTTGACCAGTGTTGTGGCTTTCTAGATGGACCCGTTATTATGAATGTGAGTCCTGTTTCTTTTACTTTTCATATTACGTGTACAATGTAGTTGAGAATTTTCATTGATAAAGCTTTTCAGACAAACCATTCAGCATACATGTTTTTCTCATTTACATTTTCATTCATGATAAGCCAGAAAATCAGGCTGGGGTGGTGGCTAACACCTGTAATCCCAGAACTTTGGGAGGTTGAGGTGGGCAGATCCATTGAGCCAAGGAGTTCAAGACCAGCCTGGGCAACATGGGGAAACCTCGTGTCTACAAAAAAGAAAAAACCAAAAAACAAAAACAAAATTAGCCAGGTATTGTGGCACACACTTGTAGTCGCAGCTACTCTGGAGGCTGAGGGGAGAGAATCACTTAATCCCAGGAGGTAGAGGCTGCAGTGAGCCATGATTGCGCCACTGCACTCCAGCCTGGGTGAGACCTTGCCTTAAAAAAAAAAAAAAAATAGAACCCCCAAACAAGCCCAAATCAGGGAAAAAAATTGAAGGTGTTTTCTAAAGTCACCGAGGATGTCTTCTCAAAACTGATAAACACAAAGTTTTAGTGGTTATAGAAAGTGAAAAGTGCTTATTGTATGCGGTTTATTTTCTTTGACCATCAAATACAACTCCCGCCCCTCTGTTTTTTTGTATGTGTGGTTAGGAGTGATGGTTGAAGCTGGTTTATAGGAATGAAGGCTTAACGTCAAATTTACAACCTTGAGTAGATGTAGTATTTTTCTTATAATTTTGAAGGGAATCTGAAGGCTGAACCTGTATCTCTTAGTGTTTACCTCATCTCCCTGGCCTTTCTTTTTATTTCCAGAACTAATAAAAAAAATTCAGTTGAAATTTAATAATCTTAAATATACGAAAGTAAAAATATTAGTTTATACTGGATATTTAAAATAGAAACGTGGGTTTTCAGTGCTCACCCTTTTAAATGATTTTAGATGGTCATAGTATAAACTGTATAAAATTCAAAATTTTAACAATTTAAATTCAGTACATATTGACAGTCAGTAGAGCATTGATTATATCTTTAGCACTGTGCTTGGCCCCGGAAATAAAAATGTGGAGAGACAGAAGTTCACCATGAACCAATAACTATAATACCAGGCAGGTGCTGTTAGAGAAATGTACATAAAGGTTCTGACAAGAAGAAAGAGGAGATTTCATTTCGCTTTGGGTGAGGGGTAGGACAAAGCCAGAGGAACCCCTAAGGTAAAGATGACAGCACCTCTGCCCTCTTTATTCATTGTTACATCTGTTTTTCTTGACTGATTTTTTTTTTTATTTTAAATGAGATAGTGTCTCCCTCTGTCACCCAGGCTGAAGTTCAGTGGTGTGATCATAGCTCACTGCAGCCTTGAACTCCTGCGCCTAAATGCTTAAATGATCTTCCTGCCCCAGCTTCCCAAGTAGCTGGGATTACCAGTGCCTGCCACACACCTGGCTAAGTTTTAAATTTTTGGTAGAGACAGGACTTCACTGTGTTGCCCAGGCTAGTCTCAAACTTCTGGCCTCAAGTGATCCTCCCACCTTGGCCTTCCAAGGTGCTGGGATTACAGGCTTGAGCCATCGCGCCTGGCCTGTTCTAGATACATACATTCTGAACTTTTAATATGGTTGAGATGTTGTGTTATAGACCTTAGATTTGTACGATGTCTTTACATTGTAAGCTGTTTCCTGAGGAAACATATGTATGGCATATGCTATTATTGGAATAATTTTACTATTCTCTGAAGTTTCCCATCCTAAATAGAATTTTTCATATTTTGTCAGACAGGACTTGCTACTTTCCATGGTGAGATATATTGCTACCATATACATGGAGTACTTTGAAATTTCCCATTTTGTAAAGTTGCTTTTTTTTCCTTTTAGATAAGAAAATAATCATTTAATGGCATTGTTAGTGCTCCAGAATCATACCACTAGCTAAAATCACAAACATTCAAAAGGGAGTATGTTGAATATATAGTCCAAGGATATAGAATGGCCTTTCTTATGATAGAACCGTGTATAATCACCGTAGTTGGTAAAAGTATTTGGACCTGCTATATTGCCACATCTACCAAGAGGAAATTCATCTAAGATTATGAGCCCTTTATTATTGACACTTTGATTTAAATTCTAAAATATTCTTCCCAAGTTCATTATGTCTGGGATGGCAACATTAATGTTTTCTGACAAAGATGGAAAGGGGACAGTAAACTGAAAGACACATTTCAACTTGTGGGTATTCTTGACTGGATGTCGAGTCAGTTGCTTTAAAGATCCTTGGATGTGTTAGTTAGCTCTATACCAAGCATGTAACTACCTGAAGGAACAGTTGACCCTGTTCTTGGCATTGAAAATTGTGGTCAGAAAATCAAGGGAGTGGTGAGTCCTCTGTGGGTTTCAACAGAGCGGGGCAGCAGGATTGTCCTCCCTTTTTTCTACGGCATTCTTGTGGCGTGGGTGGTACTTCAGCTTCGTAGTAGTGCCATGTCCATCATTCTTTTTCTAAAGATGATAAATTGTTTCAGCTTTTCAGTGTGGTCACACAGCCCTGGTTTAACATTTCTAGGCTAGTTTAGTTTTCTAAGGTGTGTAAGTAGCTGATACCTGGAAGTGATCAAAGCAGTTTGTCTTTTTTGTTTTGGTCACAGCTTACTGCAACTGAGAATTTGGTTGTTATGATTCCATCTTGGATGCTAGCCAAGTCGGTTTTCTTATTTGATGTAACATAAGAACATATTACAATGGCTGTGCTGTTTTTCTATCTACAGTTCTGGGTTTTTTACTTATTTTGGTTTACAGTTTAAAAAAGACAAATTCAGTCTTGTTTCTAGTGGCATTTGTTAGAAAAATCTCTCATGGGTTGGCTTGGTGCACTTTTATGCTGACAGGCGCATTTTCCATCAGGGCGATTGCGCTTTGTTGTGTGTTGTGTGCATGCTTGTGGTGTGCTGGGGGATCTTTCTGTGCATGTATGCACACTTGTGTCTGGAAGAGATACGCGGCAGGTTCTTTTTCTGGTTTTGAGTGGATGGTGCTGGGCTCTAACATTTGCTTCTGCCTGTTCATTGGTTAGCTGTTGTTAGTATGTCCTTGCTAAACTACTGGTTTAGCTTTCTGAAGATGTAATTGTAACCAGGTGTGTGAGGGCAGGGTAGAAAGCAGTTTTATGGAGCTTTTGTTCTAATAGCATATAACAAATCACTGGAAATGTGAGTCATCAGCAAAAGGCTTTATAAAGCAAAAGGTAGAAAAATGTGCAGCATTGCAAATTTTCCTGGGTAAAAAAGTGGATATGGCAGTCAGAGACTTACGCTTTTGATTTGGGTTATTCTTTTATGTATATTTTTTGCAATTAATAATATCTTTTATAGTTTATAGGATTCCATTTTCTTCCTCAGAGAAATAGGATTATTCTAGAACAACAAACTATTAGGTCTGATATTAAATATTTAAAACTAACATTTGCTGTGGGGTGGTTTGTGTTTGGTTTCTTTGACTAAACAGGATTAGAAATGTTTGAATTTCTTCTGTTTTTGCTCTGAAGAACACTTTATGTCTGAATTTTGAGATGCTATGCAATGCTCCTTTTTTCTTCTCTTTCATACTGTTCTTATTTTAAAGCAAAGCCTAACCATGGGCTGTTAGCTTTGTGTCCCTTGTGTGAATGAATGAATCACACTTGTAGAACATACAAACTATTTTTGCTTGAATACAACATTTATGATTTATGGCCAACATGTAGCCCTGATTTTCTGTTGAGAATGATCCTTATTGTCTTTGTATACTAACTCAGTGCAGAAGCACTTGTCTATTTTGAGCTAAACCAGACCTCTTGTAAAAAGAATCAAATTATTTCATCATGTTGAAAATGAAAAGCTATAATTACTTGTAATTAGGCTTCAGAATTTTTGAAAATTGAGGAATTCTTTTCCAGAGGTTTAAGATCACTCCAAATCAGTGCCTTTGAAAAATAGGAAATAATTTTCTGTTCAATTTGAAATTTATTTAATTTATGCCTTTGACAGCTATTTTGCTTTGATATTTTTGTAGTGAAAATCATAGAACTGTGGTTGTTAGTGCTATAATGTTTTCTGTGATATCATATATTAGTATGTTCAAAACTTGGTCTCCTGCTTTTAATAAGTTTCTGTAAAGTCTGGGTTATAAAAGATGCTAAATAATTATTGTTGAGCTCCACAGATTAACAGCACTTAAGGAGTTTTGTAGATCTTTTCAGAGGCCTCTAAATTTTTCAAAAGGAAAAAGTAAGGATTTTTTTTTTCCAGGGTAACAGATTATCCCCCTACCCCACAAGGTATTGGGAAATCTGTATATATTTGTGTAATTTGTATTTTAAAAACAGCTTTAAGGGAAAACATTTTTTTAAAAATTTAATTTCTTAGATTGAATTTCAAAAGTTAAATATAACATCTTTCTATGAATCCTATTGACTAATTCTTAGAATATATATTTAAAAAGATGAATACTTACGAAATAGTAAAGTGCTCTGGATAAATTTTGTTTCATAGCTACTGTCCGGTATTCCCAAACGCACCGAGTCACGTTCAGTTATAAGCACAATTCAGTGGGAAACTTTGTTCTCTAAAGAGCGTTCTTTTTGAGATTTTACAGATTGTAAACTGAGTATCGTACTGTAAACCGAATTATTTGCATGTAATAATTTGAAAAGCACCTGACAATTAGAATGGACTTAGTTTAATCACAGTTCATGGAAAACTAAGGAGTAAACTGACTTTACAGGAAGCTTCTGTGAATGGCAAAGGTTGCCTCTTTGTTTAATGAATTACCTTCACGTGAGTTCGAACTTTAGTTATCTAGTAATTTTCCCTTTGGAAACCATCTGAGCCATCTCCCAAGAACATATCAGAACTCAGCAGGTGGTATTCCTTCTTGTCATTTTTATGGCCT
Organism: Homo sapiens; assembly: GCF_000001405.40. Lineage (NCBI taxonomy): Eukaryota > Metazoa > Chordata > Mammalia > Primates > Hominidae > Homo > Homo sapiens. The sequence goes on from NC_000018.10 coordinate 74,684,882, forward strand.
TTGGAGGAAATGTGTTTGACTATAAACCTACACTTTCTTCACCAGTTTATTTAATTGGAATGCTGAAAAAAAACCTGATCAACTTAACATTATTTATTGTTTTCTGTTTTTTAAACTTAGAGACAGTGTGGCACTCATCATAAACATTTTACTATAACAGTAACTTTAAAGTTGTCAAAACTATATAATTTTTTGTTAGCTTTTTTCTTTTCTTCACATTATATAATTAGTAATAGAAAAACTCAAAGTCTTAAGGATTATAGAAGGTTGTTTTTATTATAAAGGTCAGGGAGATTATGATTGCTGTTTTAATTGTCTATTTTTTTTCAGGGAATATGAAGTATAATGCCTTCTGTTATCATGGCTTTAGGAGGAATTCAGAATTGATATAAATAAGTAGACATTGAAACACCCACGTGAAGAGATGTGGTTATGTGTTCATCTGTACTTTCAAAGTATATTCAGAGCCCAGCTGCTCACCATCTATCCTGGCATCCCCCGGTCCTGGCACTGTCTTCCTTCTCCTATTACTGATATAGGTCTCCTGCTCAATGGCTGACCCTCTGTCCTCCCTCCTCAGCACCATCACAGTCTTGATCTTTTTCAGGCATGTGCAGGCCATGTCACTTCTGTGCTCAGCACATTGTTGTACTGTGTGAAAAGCCAAAGACCTTCCAGTGATCTCCAGGCCCTCCATGACCTGATGCCCCTGACTATTCCGGCTGTTCTCCCGGGACACCCCACCTCACTCACTCGGCTGCAGTCACATGAGCTTTTTGCTCCTTCTTGAATATGTGGCGCATGCTCTCTCCTTAGCTCCTTTACTCTGTTGATGCTCAACTGAGTGCTCTCCATCCATGTGGCTAATTCTTCCCCTCCTCTGAGGCTCCACTCACATGCCGCCTTCGAAGTGCCACCTGGTTGCCCACTCTGTTGCCCCCATCTCAGTGCTCCTGTTTCCCTTTGCCCCCATGGCATTGATTTTCTAATACACTGTGCCATTTAGTTATCTGTACTGTTTATTGTTTGTATTTTTTGTTATTTAGCTCTTCTTCGGGCATAGATCTTTGGGTTTTGTTTGTCCACTGGTTTCCCAAGGCACCTTGAAAAGTGCCTGGTATATAATCGGCGCTTAATAAGTAAAAAATCAACATTTAATTCTTCAATCAAATGCGTTACATATAGGTATGGCTTCCATATAAATGAGCAGTAAGCCAGCCTTCCAGCCACTGTGCGAGTGCCATTGATCTTCCTTTGCTTTCTTTCACTTTGGGTTTTCCCAGTGTTCTAACTTGGGTTCCCCTTTCCCTTTAACATCCCTAGACTTTCTTTCTGGGCAATATAGGTTTAGAACTCCCTCCTTCAATATGTTTTGTTCTCTTCCAAATCAATATACAAACCAAAACTATTGTCATATTCTCTCAAATCTTTTCCATGTTTCCCAGTTCACACAAATGCATCATCTACTTCATAACCCCCATAACTCCTGGTGCTCCTGGTCACCCCCAGAATGAGGTTTTTATCCATTCATGTATCAGTGAAACTTTCCACACTTCTGACTATTCTCTGTGGCACTGCCAGGCCCAGGTCTGTATTGTCCTTTCCTGGCCTGTTCATTGGCTCCTCTGTTCGCTCCCTGATCCAGTCTCTCTTCTCCATTGTTGCAAGATGTAAAACCTATATCTGATTCTGTCTACTTTGTATTAATTCTATGGTGACTCTTCCTTACTTGTAAAGGTAAAAGTTATTAATGTGAAATGAAATCTTGTGCACAAGATGGTGTCAACCTTTTACTGAAAAGATTGTAAACCACTGTTTCTAACTCTGTAGTCATTATTTTGTTATAGATGCTTAGTGAAAGAAGTGATTCATGATAAAGTATGTTTGGAAAATGGTAGGTTAAACAAAGGTAAATTTTTTCTTTACCTTAGACCTTTTAATGTTGCAGTTTCCAATGTCTGTTGTCAAGAAAACAATAATTTATATATACACTGTATTATGTGTGGTACATAAATGTGTAAAATGCTTCATTTAACAAATAATTATTGAGCACGTATTAGGTACCCGTACTTTTCTAGTTGCTGAGGATACAAAAGTGAATAAAACAGACCAAAATGCTGGTTCTCATGGAATTTACAATCTCTTGGGGAATATGCACAATAAACAGAAGAAAATACTAAAATATGGCTGGTGTGGTGGCTTATGCCTATAACCCTAGTGCTTTGGGAGGCCAGGATGGGAGGATTGCTTGAGGCTGGGAGTTTGAAACCAGCCTGGGCAACATAAGGAGACTTTGTCTTTACAAAAAATTAAAAAGTTAGCCAGGCTTTATGGTGTATACTTGTAGTGCCAGGTCCTCGAGAGGCTGAGGCAAGAGGATCACTTGAACCTAGTATTTCGAGGATACAGTGAGCTATGATCACATTACTGCACTGCAGCCTGGGCAACAAAGTGAGACCCTATGCCTCAAACAAACAAACAAACCCCAGTATAATATGTAGTGTAAAGAATGGTGCTCTGTGTTAAGGAGGAAAGGTGTAGCATGAGGAAGGAGCTGGGAAGCGCAGGTGGCGGATGGATGGCTGCAGGCAGAGTGGCGGGAAAAGGACTCCTTGAAAAAGCCTCTGAGAGAAGAGATTTACTATATTATCCTTTAATAGTTTTGGAAATCAGGTAGAAGTAGTGAGTTCTGTGTGTTTTTACCTTGTGAAAAATTGTAGCATTATATAAGGAATTAAACAAAGATAATTCAAGCCACTGTTAAATTAATATCTATATGTCTTTTCTTAAATTAGTGCTAATGGTCAGCATAACTCAAACTATTTCAGATTTGGAATTTAACTTGCACTCATTTATTACAAAGTCAATACTCATCTTAGAAATTAAAAAGAATAGTAATTATAAGGTTTTCAAAGAAAAGTGCTAATGTTATGACCCATCTAACATCATATGGTTTCAAGAATGCCATGAAAATGATTTTTTTACCTTATATTTATAGTTCATAGATAGCTTATGCTTCTTACTACTGTTAATTAATACTTTTGTAGTAATTATAGAATGCTTTAAATATATATTATTCTGAATTAAAAAGATTAGGCTTTAAAAAATTAATTTAAAGGGATAATAGAACTGACCTGCACTTTAGTAAATTCTTTAATAAAATGTTTTTTAAAAGACCATCAAAAGCTAGTTTTCTTTAGAACACTTTGTTTCTCTATGGAATACAAAGTTCCATATAGCTTTTCAGCCTCTATTTTCAAGTAAAATTTGATTATAGTTATGCTCTCAGCAGTCATTGTTTTCCTTAAAGGGTGATTGCCTTTGAGAACAGATTCCCTAGCAGCTTACATCTCAGTTACACGTTGCAAGGTTGAATGTTATGCTAGCTACTGAAAAGAATACACAACAAATAAATTGTAAATAAAAGTACATAATCAAATATAGATGCAAAGTATAAGATATCTCTCTGGATGCATTGGATATAGGAGCCTAACAGATATCTATGGGAACATCTCAGCTCTGAGGTGAATTTCTTATGACTTGACAGTAACTTTGTTAATGAATTGGGAGGCAGATCAAAATGTGATAATTCTGTGACTTGCATTTGTCTTCTCTTACCAATGTCATTGGAAGAGCAGAAATTCTTAATTTTGATGAAATCTAACTTACCAGTTTTGTTTTATGGTTTGTGCTTTTGTTTCTAAAAACTCATTGTCAAATTCAAGATCTCATAGATTTTCTTCTATTTTTAATAGAAGTTTTATTGTTTTAGATTTAACATTAAGGTCTGTGATTTATTTTGAGTTAATTTTTGAAAATGTTGTGTGAAGAATGGATCACTTTTTTAATGCATGTGGGTATTCAGTTATTTTTTGCATTGAGTCTACAGGACAGCTTAGAGGGACTGACATCTTAACAATATCAAATCTTTCAATCCATGAATGTGGTATATCTTTCTTTTTTTTCAGACAGAGTCTCGCTCTGTCACCCAGGCTAGAGTGCAGTGGCGCAATCTTGGCTCACTGCAACCTCTGCCTTCTGGGTTCAAGCGATTCTCCTGCCTCAGTCTTCTGAGTAGCTGGAATTACAGGCACCCGCCACCATGCCCGGGTAATTTTTCTATTTTTGTAGAGATGGGGTTTCACCCTGTTGGCCAGGTTGGTCTTGAACTCCTGACCTCAGGTGATTTGCCCACTTTGACCTCCCAAAGTGCTGGGATTCACAGACGTGAGCCACTGTGCTGGCCTATATCTTTCTATTTTATTTAGGTCCTTCATTTCTTTCATCAGTGTTTTCTGGTTTTCTGCATACAGATCTTGCACATACTTTGTTCGATTTAAGTGGAAGTATTTTATTTTTCTTGGTCTTATTATAAATTGTGCTTTAATAAAGTTCATTTCCACTAGCTGATTTCTGCTATATAAAAATACATGTCATGTGACCTTGTGTTCTAGGATGAATTAATTCTGGTAGCTTTTTTGTAAACTATACTGTACCAACGTTTGAGAGTACATTCTTGTTATTGTTAGCTTGCGAAGAGTCATTGCATTGTCATCCCCTTGCATTGTGGTTGCAGTCAATGAAAGTTAGAAATAATTGATTGCAGCTGCATGGCTATTTAATGGCAATGCAAAGCAACTGTCCATATCTCTTGATTCTGCCACAAATGCTTTATATACTCACCATTTTATGTTTATGTGTTCTGAGTGATAGTATTGTGTTTTAGAAATCTCTAAGCAGTGTTGCCATTTAATCAAATCATTTATGGTAGGATTAGATAGAATTGAAAGCTTCCACTTCAGGATTTCCTTTCCACTGGCTTGCCTCAGGAGCTGAAGTTGCCCATGTCAAAAGGAAAATGTCTTACAAAGGAAGCATAAATCATTATGTTGTTCTGACCTTCATATTCCTTACTTTTTCAGAGATGCGGTATTTGTAGGTTGTGATGGCAGATAACAGCTGGGGGCTTGAGAGATAGGGCAGGACAGGTTCAGGCATAAGTGGGCCCAGGTGGGATGCTGCCATGGTGGGAACCTCATCCAGATGTCATTGTGAGGACACTGGGCACCAAGCTGTGCAGGCAGTATAGGAAAATGTGGAAACAGACACCAAAAGGAGGTACCTCCGAAAACCTAACCTGGGTATGTGAATTTTTTGCTTAGTTTACCTCTAAAAAAAAGCTAAATTGCCAAACGCTTGTGATGTTATCTTGGATCAATACCTGTTAACAGAGATACAGATTCATTATGCTAAACTTAAAAAAAAATTCTCCTATATATAATGGCACACATGGTTTCTTTGTTAAATTATGTCAACTGCATTCTTTAAGAGAAATTTTAGAATTCCCTAGACTCTTAATAAAGGACCCTATGGAAGAATAATTCCTTTACAAGGAAACATGCATAAAATTAACAAAGTTAGAAAGATGTAATTAACCACATGGTTTCTTGAGATCTCAAGGGAAATAATACTAACACAATTAACAGAACCTACCTCATTAGAAATAAAAGAGAAAACATTTTGGGGGAAATGTCATCCAGCTGGATTAGTTTTTTTTTGTTTTTTTGGGGGTTTTTTTTGGTGTTTATTATTTTTGCCAGGAAGTTTAAAACATAATGGCCTTTTAGCCATTATGATATTTGATTATGTCTTATGATTTTGAAAATCAGAAAGAATGTTAGGACAGGTATCCATATCCTTGAGATTTGAAGTATTTGTGATTTCTTTTGGCAGTTGAAGAAAAATGGAGCATAAAGTCAGGAAAATTTGTAGGACAAAGTGGCTTCCAAAATTTAGATCTATTTTTCTTGTATAGTTTAGCTAGCATTTCATTAATATTTTCCTGTATTGCCAAATAATTAGCAAAGTGGTAGTCATTAATTTACTTTGAGTACCCAATCATATATTAGCCTATTTTGATTTTTATTTAGAGTCAAACTCTTGGTTTCAGTTAGAGCTGTTTTTGGTTTATTGTCATACCTTGAGAAGGAATCTCATAATTAAAAATTATATTTTTAGTTGTTCAGCTTTTCAATACTTGTGGAACCAATTTTTAAAAACCAATATTCTTCGTATGCTTCAAAAGAAGCTGAACTTTTTAATTGAAATTAGGAAAGGCCGAGCGCAGTGGCTCACGCCTGTAATCCCAGCACTTTGGGAGGCTGAGGCGGGTGGATCACCTGAGGTCAGGAGTTCGAGACCAGCGTGGCCAACATGGTGAAATCCTATCTCTACTAAAAATACAAAAATTAGCTGGGCGTGGTGGTGTCTGCCTGTAATCCCAGCTACTCGGGAGGCTGAGGCAGGAGAATTGCTTGAAACCAGGAGGTGGAGGTTTCAGTCAGCCGAGATTGTGCCATTGCACTCCAGCCTGGGCGACAAGAGCAAAACTCTGTCTCAAAAAAAAAATAATAATAAATAATAAAGAAAAAAATTATCTTTTATATCTCCAACATTGAGTCTCTTTATATGTAATATTCCTTATTTTATTATAGTATTACCTTTTCTAAAACAGCCATTTATTGTTATCTTTTATTTCAGCACTTCATAGTGTTTGATCACTTTGGCTAAAATTTTTTTTGTTGTTTTTTACAAATTTTATTGATCTTTTCAAATAACTAGCTTTTGGCTTCATTGAGTCTTCTCTTTTTGTTCATTTTAAATTTTATTGATTTGTACTCTTTATTATTCCTTTCCTTGTATCTAATATATATTAATTTGCTATTCTTTTCCCCATTTCTGAGGATTAAAGTCTGAATGATTTATTTTAGACCTTTTTTCTTTTTCTAATTTAAGCATTTAAAGCGACAGAATTCCCTGTAAGCTCTGCTTTTGTAGTATTCAAGATAATTTTTCTTGCTGTTTTGGGTGTTGTGATTTTTTATTGAATCATCTGAGGACCAGTATAGACTGAAGTAAATAATATTTATGGGCCGAGTTTGTCAGCTCACGCCTGTAATCCCAGCACTTTGGGAGGCCGAGGCAGATGAATCCCTTGAGCCCTGGAGTTATAGACCAGCCTGGCCAACATGGCAAAATTCTGTCTCTATAAAAAATAGAAAAATTAGCCAGGTGTGGTGGTGCATACCTGCTGTCCCAGCTGCTAGGGAGGCTAGGGTGGGAAGATCACCTGAGCCTGTGAAGTCGAGGCTGCAATGAGCTGTGGTTGCGCCACTGCACTCCATCCTGGGTAACAGAGCAAGACTCTGTCTCAAAAAAATAAAAAATGTGTGCGTGTGTGGGTGTGTGTGTGTGGAAAAAAATATATATATACATACATATATATATGCCTGATGATGGCCGTATCTCTTCTTCAGTCAAGGCCATTAGCATGGGGCCTCCATTCAGTCTAGTCCGGAGTGGAGCTGTGTTAAGGTTTTGCTGGTGGTACCTTCAGCGTCCTGACTGTAGGTTTCAGCTTCCTTTTAGCTGTTTTTATCCTTTCATCAGTGCAGGAGCTGGTGTTCCAGCTGTTTTTCTCCGTGTTATTGGTTGGCTCCCAGCTTTCCACAGGCCCCGCATGCCTGTGTCTCAGAGGGCTCTCCTTCCATGCTCGTGATCTTGCTTTTGGTCAGTGGCAGTTGGCGGTTGCTGTGCTAGATTCGTAGTTGAAGTAGGTAGGCCCTCTCAGGAAGGCCCTGAGTGCCTGAGCCTCGTGGATGGGGCCTTCTCAGAGTTCCTGCCCTTTTTCCTTGACACCTTTCCTCAGCCTCGTGTCTTTGTTGGTCTTGGGGAGGAGTTTCCTGCTTCTCCCCTAGCGGTAGCTGATACCTCACTTAAGTTTTTGGTCACAGGATGAATTCCTGCCCCGCCCCTGGGGTTAGAGGGTGTTTTCTTCTTCTGTTCTTCTCAAAGATGTAGTGGAACTGCCTTGTGTTCTGGAGCTGAGAGGCCTTCTTAGCTCTCCCCCAGAGACAGGTGGAGTGGCCTCCACCCCTCCCCCAGAGCAGTGTCTTTGCTTTTCCCTGGGGTTCGAGTGTGGTTGCCCTTCTCCTGCTGTGTGAGGCTTTTGCTTTATGGCAGAGAACTGCCTGTGGTAGCAGTTTGGCTTTGTGCCTGTTTCTGCATCCCAGAGGTGGATTATCTCAGTTTCCCCACATGCCCCAGTCTTTCTCATCTGTGCCAGTAGAGGTCTGGGCAAACAGCTGTTGACTGAGTGCCCTGTACTGTGGTGCACGTCAGTTCACTGTTGGCTTTTAACAGTTTGTTACAATTTTAGCTGATTTCTTCCTATCCATTTGTGCAGTGGCTGCACTTTCCTCCGCCCAAGCTGACATGTACATGTATTTCTTCTCCCATTGGAAGACCTTGATTTTATTTAGACTTGAGTTTATGTGGTTGCTTTATGATCTCAGCTTTCTGATGGGCTCGAGAAAAGTTAGACTTTTGCAGATTATCCGACTCTTTCTCATTGTTAGCATGGGAGTGATATAGGTTTCTACATCTGAACATGCATACATGATAATATGTTTCACTTTTATTTATTTCAAAACGTTTTCTAATTTTTGTAATTCTCTTTCTTGGATTATTTAAAAGTGTGTTTAACTGTTTTTATAGTGGGTGTCTGCTGGTAATTAATCTCAGCTTTTGTTTCTCTGAAAAATCACTACTTTCTCTTCAGTTTTGAAGGAAATTTTTGTTAAGAGTTCAAGGTTGAGAATTTGTATTTTCCTTAAATTTGTCCTATCATTTTCTTCTGTTCTCTATTACTTTATGAGAAGTCGTTTTGTTCCTCTGTATATATCATGTTTCTGTTCACTAAGATTTCTCCTTTTTAGTTGCTTTTCAGCAATTAGTATTTCGAAGTACCTTGGTTTGCTTTCTTCTGTGTTCATCGTGCTTGAGGTTTGTTAAATTTCTCTGATCTGTGGGTGGAATTTTTTCTCAAATTAAAAAAATTTCAGGTCATTATTTCTTCAGATTTTTTTCTGTTTACTACCCTATTTACCTGTCTCTAGCCCTTCTCTTCTGGAATTTCAGTTGTGTATATATTAGCCTGTTTGATATTGTCTCATAAGTTACTGATTCTGTGCTCATTTTGTTATCTTTCAGTTATTTTTTTAACTTTCTTTGTATATAGTGACTATTTTAAAGAATATGCTAATTCCATCATGGTATAATCTCTAAATTTATTTCAGTTGACTAAAGTATACTCTTGTTCATGGGTTACATTTCGTTGCTTGTTTGAATCTCTAGTAGTTATTGACTGGAGGTGGATATTGTGAATTTTGGGTTGTTCTGTGGTTCATTTTGTTGTCTTCCTTTAAAGAATGTTGGATTTTTTTCCTGGCAGTTATGTAAGTCACTTGAGAATTTTCTTGATCCTTTGGAGGTTTGTTTTTAAGTCTTTTAGAGCAAGTCTGGTGTAGACTTCACTCTAGGGATAGTTAAGCTCAATGTTAAGGTGTGACCGTTTCGTGTCTCTTCCGAAGTACTTCAGGTGTGTGAAGAAGAAGAATCATTCTGGCTGGTCAGAACTTGAAGATCACTTTATTTGATCTCTTGGAATTTGATCAATTCCAAGAGATATAGCTCCCTTTATTAATTTTTTTTTCTTCTTTTTTTCTTTTTCCTGGCTCCAAGGAGTTTCACCTCATGTATGCATGACTTAGTATGCAGCCAAGGATTCATAGAGTCTCCTATTGTGAGTGTTGGAGCTGTTTGTTTGGGCAGCTCACTCCTTTCTCATTCTCTGAACACCAAGTTCCAACTGATTCATTTTTGTCACATGTAGTAGGTGATACACTGTGCTCTGGCATGGGTCCCTGCACTGTGCTCCTGGGATACATTCAGGGTTGCCACAGGGCTCATCTCCCTTGTTTATCTTCTTCTCGTCCTATTCTGTGCATTGTTCAATTTCTGAAAATAGTTGTTTGCTGTATTTTGTCCAGTTTTCTGGTGGCTTACAGTGGGCCCTAGTTCTCATGACTGGAAGCTTACCTGTATACTTTGTAATTTCTGTACCTATTTCAGTCTGTATTTTCATTTGATAATCAAAAGTATTTTATCATACTATAGAGTTATACAATTCTGTATAATGGTATTTCATATATTCTAAATAATATATGACACTGATCTATTATTGTTATTCTCACTTTAGAGGGGATAAACCTGAGATAGTGAAGGAAGCCATATGAATTTGGTTTCTGGTCTGCAGTATACTTCAGCAACTCTGATTTCCTTTTGAAATTCTTTTTTATGGTTTTTATAAGAAGTTACAGAAGTTGACATCAGAGTTACTTGCCATCTTGAGCTATTGTTGATTCTTCTTTGTCTTCTTTGTCAGATTGCTTATAAGGATTGCTCTTGGATAAGCGATATGGAAGATTTAGAAAAAAAATAAGTATCAATATATGTTGCTGAAATTAGCTGTTTTTTGTGCCTCCTGCATAACATCTATGCCTTTGGACTTTGAGGGAAGGTCTCATTGTTTCTTGATGGGGTGCAATACCCTGCTTCGTTCTTCTCGTAGTCAGGATACGAGCATGTGGCTTGTTAGAACAAGTGCTAAAAATACACTCTGGTGACAATAGCGTTCTGGTTAATGTGCACCAGCTAAGACTATTTTTTTTTCCTTCTTCATTCTTCCAAGCTGTTTTGTTCTAGCATTTTTTATTTTTTATTTTTTTGGCCTGATAGCACAGCCTTTTCCTGATTTAAAGAAAAAAAAAAAAAGCCCTTGATGTCTTCTTCTGTATATGATATCCCAATTGGCTTTCCATTCCTTACACCTAACAACCACCTATGTGGTAGAAGGAATGTCTGATTTGGAACTAGGATCAGTAGTTATCTAGTTACATATATGTATAGATGTATTCATCAGGTCTTCTCTTAGCCTTCACGAAAACACACTTTTCCCCTTTCTTCCCCATGATTTTGTTCTAAGCGTGTTCATCTGTTCTCCGTTTGTGATTGGTTACCTAGTTTGTGAAACAGAGATACAGTAATTTTTCTGTGTCTACATTGTTGGCATGCTTTACAAGCATTTAAAAGAAGAGATCTACATAAATATATTATGAGACTACGGTGTAGTGTTTCTTTTAAGTTGATGGAAAGATGGTCTTCCAGTCAGGATTTCCTTTAAGGTTAGGTTTTTGGTTAGGGTATTTGGTGTTACATGGGAACTGTGCTGCTAGATCATTACTGGCTAGTTTTCCTGGAGAATAGAGTGCTTCGGATTATGACTTACACGACTTTACAGTCCAATCACTGTAAGGACTGCTGTTCAGAAACAATTGCTGTGGTTCTCCTAGAGCACATCTCCAAGAACGAAAATCTAGGTGGACACAACGTGTGCTGGCTGTTGGAGTGGTGATGAGAATAGAGCCCTTGACAGGGAGAGTGGAGCAGAGGTCTGTTAGCTTGTTACTTTTGGTAGTTTCAAAAATTAAACTCCAAAAATAATTTATTTTTTCCTGTTCTCCCAAATTATGTGATCATATAAAGTCAAATAATAAACAAATGCATACTTTGGAACATGAAAGTTTCCTGTTCTCCAGAGAAAATCACTCTAATGTAACCAGTTTTCCTTCCTGACAATGCTGCCAGGCATGCTGGATCTAAGTGTTGAAAATATTACTTAGCAAAATAATGGAAATTTAGATGCAAAGCTGTTCTATTCGGAGCAATGACTGTATTATAGTTCTGCTTCTGGCTGTGAAACCATTGATCTTAAGATGCCTCCACGGAACTTTTCTTAGAGGTTCTGTTTCCCAACAAATATATCATAGGGTTATAATGTGTGTGTGTGTGTGTTTGTGTGTTCACATACATACATAGACAAATACACATACACATGAATGTATGTATGTATGTATTTTATTTTATCAAAACTGGCAGTGGGTGCTGATGAGAGGCTTTGCAATGTGGTAGTAATATGGAAACTGGTACATCATGGATGCTCTTGCTTCCTGGTAATGATGACAGCCAAACATCTACAAGGCTGCAAGGTAGTTTGGAGGCAGGCTGTGATATTACAAGCATCCTTCACAGACCTTTTTTGTTAAGTTTTTCTAATCTCATCATATGGAGGTTGGCACATAAAAAACAAATAAAAACACAGTTAGAAAACATCATATTGAATAAAATAACAACCTGCAAAGTTTATTAAAATATGCTTAAAATTTTTTAGAAGGTCTCCAAATGATAAGGCATAACACTGTTGATTGCTGCTTTGGAGAGCTTTGTCCTGAGAGGCAGCTAAACAGTAGAGCCATTCAGTGTAGCACTTACTGTAATAATAACTTTACAATCTTAATTGGACCTCTCTCCAAACTCATAACTTGACATGGACGTTTGCATTTCCCTCATCAACCTTCTTGATTCTTCTCCATTCACATTAGCTTTTTCATTTTCTATTAGGTGGGCAATGTTGTATTTCCTCCTGTGCTCCTATGAGGAGAATATATATCCTTTGGCACATATGCTAGTATGGGTCCCCCTAGTTTCCAAAGAAAAATAAAATACAAATTAGCTTTTAATATAAGTATGATAGTCCAAAATAGCTGCATTCTTTTTTAACTAAAATTTGAGAGACTGCTTTATAGAGAAAGTGATTTCATTGTACTTTCATATTCAGGCCTTCAGTTTTCCAGGCATTGTCTCTGAGCTTAAATTATTTAAATTTTAATGTCAAATTTAACATGGCTGTTCGTTTTATAGAATATAAACGTTATGATTGCTTTCATATTTGAGATCATAGAGAAATCATATAATACATGCCAGTGTCATGTATTTGTGCCATAGAATTGTTTTATATATACTATGTTTACTGGCTAACATTTAAGCAGAAAGCACATCTTGAAAAAAACCTACTTAATTAAAAATTAAATGATGAATTAAAACTTAGATTATTCAAAACTAATAAGCTACATTACCAAGACCAGCAATTAATACACTACAATATATTCAGGAAAGATGCTAACATTTTAACATTTGTTTTATGTTAGAATTGCAATTTGCAGTGCATGCTGTTTTGAAACATTTATTTTGAAGAGCTCAGCATGTCTGAGTTAAGGCATAAATCAATGACCTAGGATTTTTAATGGTTATAGAATTTATCATAGATTATAATTCTCGAGAATACAAACAGCACAGAAGAAAAAATCCAATTGTTTTTAAATCAGTGGCAACATCATATCAGCATATTTGATTACATTTATTCATTGTAATGTGCAGGTCAACAGTGCAGAGATGCATTCAATTGACATCATCCTAAAAGCGATCTATTATTTTATTTGATAAGATTGTTTTTCCTTTGTTCATGCATAATGGATATAAATCATAATCCTGACAGTTACCAAGGGTTTGAACTTCAGGGACTTTCTACAAATGAATATTAACTAAAACTAAGGACTTCTGCAGTTAAGAAAATATGAGCCATTTAGAAACATTCTATCTAGTGATTCAATAAAGCAGAACTTTAAGTGTACATTTTATTTTAAGATGGACATATCAACATCTAGACTTATAACCAGCATAGCTGAGTTAGTCATTTGTCTCTCACCTGATGGTTCATACCGTTGTCCTTCTGAGCTGGTTGTATGTATAATGAGCTGTTGTCCTTCTGAGCTGGTTATATGTATTATGTGTGTATGTTTGATGTTTGCATCTTTTAGACTGAGCAATCTCTGATGTTTGATAGGAGTACTCCGTATGTGTGTGGGAGTGAGGGGAACCTTCCCAGGTCACCCTCTCTCATTAATCCTTGCAGGGGACATTCATGGTGTGTCAGGTGTTGAGCTCTTTGCTCCACACTCAGCATACAAAGAACAAAAAGGCTCATTGGGCCTTTACCCTCAAGAACATATGATTTTAGTAGAGAAAGATGTAAACTGAGAATTGTAGCATAGTATGGTGAGATTATTCCTGGAAACATGCCCAAAGTTTCTTGAGGTCACAGAGGTAGCACCTGAGTAGCCGGGGGAGGTATAAGTTGGGAAAGAGTATACTCACTGGGCCATTAATGCTCTTAATTTGTTCCCCTCTTATTTCCTCCCCCAAGCAAACAAAGAAATAATAAATACCAATATTTAGAGGAATTGGCCATTTCCATAGTATAAAATAATTTTTGGAAAAATTCGAATTTGTTGTTTTTGGTAGTGTGCCCTTTAAAAAGAGATTTTCTCTAATCGAAAAGCAGTGAAGAACACCTAGCATTCCCTTCTCTCTGCTTTCATCCCTTCCCGCTCTCTCTCCTTTCCCAGGTTTTTTCTGATCATTTATTAACCAATTTTTTTTAACGTTCTGGCACTGCTCACATTTCAAATATCTTTGGGTCCAATTTCCTGTGAGTAAACAAATATTTTCTTCTGTATTTCATTGCAAAGATAAGATCTGCTATGGACACACTTCAGTGCAAAGTGAGCAGATATGCAGGGATGCCTCCAGGAAACATGATGATATATGCTTTTCCTGGTACAGGTTTTGTTTTTATCCTCATTTTTATGAAAACATTCTTGTCAATGATAAAAGTTGGTTTTCTGTGTTATTAAAAAACCCAGAATTTAGGGGAGTGCTGGGGTCTGATAACTGAAGGGTACTTGCGTATGGGAGCCCAGAGTAGCTATTTTGGAGAAGATAGTTGTAACCTGAGCTGTGTCTAAGGGATTTTAGACAGTTTTGAGACTTTAAAAATGTCTCCTGGTACCGGTGTTGGAGTGACCAGTTTCATTTGTTGGCAGAGGAGTGGAGAATTAGGGAGGTACACAAGGATGAGGCGAGCTACTCCAGTGAGTATTTTACAAGTTAATCCTTACTGTCCTGCTTGCTGGCCTTGGTCCTTAATTTGCTAGATTTGGACAAATCTAAGCAGACATTTTCCATTTGTTTTATAGGTTTATGTTGAATCGTTTTCCTGTTTTGTGTGGGATTTTCTACAGTTAAAATATTAAAAGGAATATTAAATCATACTTTAAGTAATAGGTCCAGTAGTATGACATAGATTTTCTAACATCTTTGTAATACTTATTTTATTGAAAAACTAGAAATAATTTGTGAGAGTTGGTTCTCTGGAGACAAAATTATATGCACATGTTTCTCTTAGTAAATTAAAGTTGCCCCTAAAATGTGAGTTTGTATTACTTAAATGATCATTGCCCTTGACATTTACAATAAGATTAGTGCTGTGTTCCCATAGCATAAATATGGTTACCATGCTTAAAAAAACACTTCAAACTTGTAAACTTATTTATACTTTACAGTCAGTTCTTTTCCTAAGGACATTTGGATAGTAAACTATGTTTCGTTGAATGGAAAATATTTTGTTCTACTTTGTGAGGTTTATTAAATTTAATATTCTGCTATTTTCTAAATCCTCAAATTATCGCAGAGGGAGGGTCCATGTGAAGTAAGTTTTAAAATACATTAGTATACCTACATTTGAAACCTTTCACTTTCTTCGGAGAAAGTTCTAGATAAAGCCACCTAACTAGTTTACGGTGAGCAGTTTCTACACTGCCACTTATTTGGCATTTTCTTTAGGTCAAGACTGTCTTTACTGCTTTCTAATAAGATGGTAGAAAGCTGCTGAACATGTGCTTTTCGCAAAGAGTATCAGAGGTGTGATGTCACTGCATGGTGATGCCAGCACTTTGCACTTTCCTCCATCAAGGGCAGGTGGAGCTAACTTTATTATTTCATTTCCTCTAGTCTTCTCCTCAGTTCTCTCTCCCTTGATCCCCACCTCCCCCCAATTCTAGATCTCAGCTATAATTTCTCGATTAAAGTTCATTCTTCTCAGCCTTAACTTTATTCTATAAAATAGTTTCTGTGATGACAGAGGAGACTTAGTCCCCAAACTCTGTTAGTTTACAGTGGTAGAGATACTCATTTTAGGAGAGGAGAGAAGTATAATTGGGACCAAATGTAAATGTTTTTTGTCTAGGAGTTTAGCCTTGGTCATCTTAAAGATGAAAGTACTGGTTTGCTTCTGGAACCTGTTCTTTTTTCCATTAAGATTCATCTGTCAAACATTGGAGCGTATTTATTAGTATTCCGGTGGTACCAGACATTTAGTGGGAGCTCTGGACTGAATTGTGTCCCTGAAAAATTTGTAAGTTGAATTCTTAATTACCAAACGTGACAGTATTTGGAGATAGGGCCTATAGGGGGTAGTTAAGGTTAAATGAGATCTTAAGGGTGGGGTCCTCATACTGTAGAATAAAGACAACAGACAGCTGTCTCTCTCCTCCTCCGCATGCACACTTGTCCTCACATGGCAGAGAGACCAGGGTTCCAGCATAGTTGGGTTCTGGTGAAGGCTCGCCCAGGCTTGCAGATGGTGGTCTGGCTCCAGAGCTGTGAGAGTGTTAGCTTCTGTTGTCTGAGGCTCCAGGCTGTGGTGTTCTGTTAGGGCAGCCCGAGCAGACTGAGACAGTAGGCAATTATCACCTGTGCTGTTTGGCACCAAAACTAGCTTGCCCCTTGGATCAGTGTGTTGAGCATCTCATCGCAAAGAAATAACTATTATTGCAAACTGTGAGTTAGCAACTTCTTTCAAAGATTGGTCATCCTGTGATGTTTTTATTTTCCTTTATGTAATATTTCCGACTACCTATAAGTTTAGCTCTGGAGTTGAATTCTGTGTTTCATGCTATGTATGTATACCATAGACAGACAGGCACAAGTCATAAGGCACCTGGGATCAAGAAACAAACGAGTACCAGAAAGCTTCTCTTGCTTCCTTCTGGTAATCACCGAGGCCTCACTTCCCCCAACTACCATGGAAGGTAACTATTACAGTTAATTTTTTATTCAACAGTTTTGACATTGGTTGTATTTCTTCCACATGATGGTTTTTGAATTGAATCTAATCTCAGACCCTGATTTTTGCCTCTTAAAATATTTTTTTCTTTCATTCTAGCTGCTTTTATATTCTTGGCCTTTGAACTGTTAATAATTTAGGCTCGCCCTGTCACCCCTTCCCCCAACATGCAGTTTGTGCATTGCATTGTAAAGAGAGACTATTTTACAGATTTTAGGAAATCGATTTCATAAGCCCTTATAAATAAATAAAATGTTTGCATCAGCTTTATTTTGTGAATCTTGAATTTCAAACTTAAAAGTAGAGTTTGTGGTTTAATTTGCTTATGTTTTAGCTTGGTATGCACATAGTGCTCTGTGGGGTGCCATTTCAGCTACCATTATTATACTGAAAATATCTATAACGGAGACATGCCTGCGAATATTCTATTTTTGAATGCTCTTCTAATGAGGTATTAGATCAGAGGTGGCATTACATTTTGGAGGGGCTGCTGATAACTGCAGTTTGTATATTATAATATTACATTGCCTTTTCAGTTGGTACCCACTGATAATGACAGTAGCTCACGGTCAAGAAGGAATCTTAGTTCTGAGTTAAGATATGGGATGAGAAGGATGTATGTGTTTTATTCATGCACGGGTCAGTTTTTCCAATCAAGTACACTTTTGGTGTTTACAATGGAAGTTACCCAAAATATATAATTTAATAGGGAAGTAATTCATCTTTTATACAATAGCTGAAGAATATTGACATTTATAAAGTGAGATAAATATATATGATTATCAGTGTTTATACTGAAAAACACATATTACAGTATTATCAGTATTTTTCTAAATATAGATATTTTACTGATTCTTCTAATATAGTGAATATTCTGCTTTGAGTAGAAAAAGACTGTAAGGCATGTGGATATTTTTGAAAATATTAAATATTTTGAGTTCTAAATTGAGATACATTTAGTTCTTCTATGCATTGTTTCCAGTGCATGTAAATGAGTTTTATATATTGGTTAAATGGTTTATCAATCAGAAGCAGCATAGCATATACTCACATTTATTTATATATAAATACATATTTCCCTATAAACATTGATATGCATACGTATATTCAGGCACACATAGATACATGTACATATACACTGATACATAGACATGTACATGGGTATATTACAAGCAGTTGGCTATACGCAGTTGTATCTGTTGGTCAAGCAGTCTTTCTAAGACTATTTTAAATGCATGGGAAGAGGAGATATTTGGAACACAGGGCAAGAACAAGACCAAGTGGAACCCACAAGCATGACCTGGAGCCGATGAACATGGGCAGAAACCCATGTCTGTTCTTACTGCTTCAGACCCTGATGGTATAGGTTTCCATAGAATTTGGGGCTCTTCTTCCAGGAGCATAACTTACACATGCCTGGTCTAGTGGTTGGAGAAACTCCTGATGGAGGTGGAGCAGTTGCAGGGCTAGCCCCTGCTCACCCAAATGAGGTGACTCAGCAGAGAGGCGAGGTGGTGTGAGAGCTACAAGTGACTGCTGCTTGTAGCAGCCTTCTTCATTTCTCACAAGAACCTGCCTCATGTCCCACCCAACTAGATGTGTAAGGAAAGAGAATTCTGAGAAATGTAGTTCACAGCCTAGATGAGACGACCCATTACAGAGCTACCACAGAGAGTTTTAGATCTCTCTCTCTCTCTCCCCATGTGTGTCTCTGTCTCTGTCTCTCTCTCTCTCTTTTCTGAGATGGAGTTTCACTCTTGTTGCCCAGGCTGGAGTGCAATGGTGCAATCTCGGCTCACCGCAACCTCCACCTTCTGGGTTCAAGCAGTTCTCCTGCCTCAGCCTCCAGAGTAGCTGGGATTACAGGTATACACCACCACACCCAGCTAATTTTGTATTTTTAGTAGAGATGGGGTTTCTCCAGGTTTATCAGGCTGGTCTCGAACTCCTGACCTCAGGTGATCTGCCCTCCTCGGCCTCCCAAAGTGCTGGGATTACAGTTGTGAGCCACCGTGCCCAGCCTAGATCTCTTTTATGGGCTATGAGATTGATTTTTTTTTTAACTGAATATGGTAATGTTTTTAATACATCATCAACAAGTTCTATTAGTGTGTTCTGCCCTATTAGCAAATGATCTACTAACAGAAATCCCCAGACTCTTTCTAAATATACAGTTTTGTTGATTAATTAATCATTTAATATTCTTAGGTAAGTTGAGATATGAGGTGGTAAATGTCAATTTGTGCAATTTCTTTACATCATCAAAATTATTATAATATTTTTGTTGGACCACTGGAAGGATCTCTTTTTTTTTATTTTTTATTTTTTTGCATCTCACAGATAGTCATTCATGTCATGAAGTTAATGACATAGAAGTACAGTAATGTTCCATATTCTCATCTTACATGTAAGGGACACCGACATTTCATCTCATGTGTCCTCCAAGTAAATCTGGTCAGGCATGGCCATGAGGAGGCACAGACCCATAGCTTTCTTCTTCTGTCAGCACTTCTGATTTTGTAAATGATGAAGCTCATCAGCTCCATTCCTCCCTAAATCTTCTGGTAAACCAGGCCATCGCTGCGCTTCGTGGGCTTCCACACATTTTCAGTAATTCTTCGAAGCATCTTGGCACAGGACATGGTGCAGGCTACATCAGGGTCCCATAGCCAACAACTAGGGATCTCTTTTATAGAGCACTTCACTCAATCAGGACGTGCTGTTAAACAGGATATAATGAAATACAGGTACAACGGGGAAAATGAAGGGAAAAAGGCCGGTTCAGTAGAGTTTAACTGTAACTATCAGGTCTGTGGAGCTTGACACAGATCTGGGCTCATGGCGAGAGGGACCTATAGAGAGTTGATAGATCAGTTTTCTTTTTAATACATCACCTCAGTAAAGTTTGCAGGTTTATAACTTCATAAATAAATGGTTCTTTTATTCTCTTAAAAAATAGGTTATCACAATTTAATACTAAAACAATGTCGGCATGGAAATCATTTACATAAATGACATCTTGATGGGAAGCATAAGTTTGAATTTTGTCGCTTAAGTTGCGTGCTCTTTGCATTAGTAGCTTTAGCAAGATGTTTTCTTGCATTAGAAACACTTAGTGTTTCTGCAATAAGTGTCTTGGTGTTTTTTAGAGACAGTGAGGGAAAGGGATGGGTGTTGGCATGGTACTAGTGAGTAGCAGATAACACCCATACTATCATGTATTGAGCCTTGGCTCCTAACAGCAAAGAAGGCAGAAATATGTCTCATTAATAGTAGGCTTGTATGCTTTTACATGAAGATTCGGTTTCTCTTTATCCCACATAGACCCCAGTATTAGGATTAGAAGAGTGACCCTTCCCTAGTTGCATTTTAGTATTGTCTAAATATCATTGCATTTAATATCTGAAATATATTCTGCTCAAGTTATGCCTTGCTGAGTTTCTTCCACAGGAGGTTAATGGAGGATTGATAAATATAGACATGGTGTTTTGACTTGAGAAAAATACATTTTTTTTTTTAAACCAGAAAGTCCAACAGGCTGATAAGGTACCCTTGAATTAAGCTCAGGGAAGGTAGGTAGATTTCACTTTTTGTCTGCTTCTACTTGTTGAGGTGACTGAGTAGAGACTGTTGAGAGAGATTCTGAGGCTGCCTGTGATGTCATGGGGACAAAAGCCCACGATAAATCAGTGGCAGCATGCACACTGACTGGCCATCTCTGATTTGGTTGAATAGGACTGTCTTTGGAAATTTGATGAAAATGCTGAATTGTGCAGATGCTGTTTATTCTAGAATGGCTCCTTAAACTTATTAGATGCCTTAAAACAACTTATTCAGATAGATAATAATTGTAATTAAAACGTCTTGTACCTCTATTCCACATCTATAGCTTTATGAATATGTATTGGTAGATTAGACTTTTTGAATATAGCTCGCTCTATTTTGAATGTAGTTTGTTTATAAAAAACATTTTTTTAGTGTAGCAAAACTCAGAATTTATGTTGATGAAATTGGATTTTTTGTCCTTTATTAACGATTAAATAAGTAGGGATATATTTAAAAATTAATAGCATGTGTCTTGTAAATAGAAAACAAATACTGGACATTTTTGACAATATGAAAATTAAAAGAAACAGGTTAAATAAGGTCTTGGTGTGAGATGTGAACTTTCTTTTGCAGGTGAGAACAAACTATGCATATAAAATACGAAACTATGGTTACTATGTATAGATCAAAGAGCGGTCTACATTGTATCCTAGTACTCTATTTGCACTGAATTGTCTATGAGCCAGTGTCCTTGTCAGCTACTAAAGATCATTTTCTGTTTTCCTTTTTCAACTAAAGATTAGGGCTGAAGTAGAGCCAAGTATCTCATTCTATTTCCTTCTCCACTGTCTCTTCCCCCTTCTTAAGGGTATTCATATACATATCAGTGCACTGTGGTTAGTCATTGTCATGGAAGTTTTGGATATGGTGTGAGATGGTAATATGTTGACAATGAATTATGCAAAAATGAGAATTCTACCGCAAAAATTCTTTAATTTCAAATTGTTGCAGAATTTTTATAGGATTCTTCACCTTTTTCATTCTAGTTCACTGTCTTTTCTGCTATTTACTAGACTTTTGTTCAAAGCTTTCACTTTTGTTTTGGAAAAAACAGGAATCGCTTTTATTATTGTTCTTTGAGAAATGTTGTATTCATTGTTCACCTATCTGTAATAAACTCTTAGAATTAACTGCAATTGACAATGATTGCCTTAAATCCTGGTGGGTGGGATGATCCATGTTACCTGGATTTGGTCAGATGGGAATAATGTGTATTACCCCATGAATTTGGATGCTCATTCGTTTGTTGTTCATTCACTCAACATGTATTTATTTAGGGCCTCATTTGTTTCAGGTGTGTGGTTCAGCTCTGAACAGCACTGACCAAGTCTCCACCTGGAACTCACCTTCAAGTTTAGGGGTGTCAGAAAATGAGCAGCAGCAACAAAAACAATGTGAGAGAATGTCAGGATGTGATGAATGCTTTGAAGAAAAATAAAGCAAAGGGATTGAGAGTGATTGGGGATAGGGATGGTTCTTATTTTGGGTAGGGTACTTGTAGAATTTGACCTTCATAAGGCCTATAGAGGCAGGTGAGAGCTCACCTTGGAAAGATCTTCCTGCCTCATTCTCCGTGATGGACACAACGCTTCAAGTGCTCATCAGCTCTTCCCATGTCCTGTTTCTTCTTATGCACTTTATGGCTTTTCCCTCAGCTGCACTGTTCATTCCACAGGGGCAAAGACAGCAGCTTTTTTTTTTTTTTTTTTTTTTTTTTTGAGATGGAGTCTCACGCATTGTCGCCCAGGCTGGAGTGCCGTGGTGCCATCTCAGCTCACTGCAGTCTCTGCCTACCAGGTTCCATGATTCTCCTGCCTTAGTCTCCAGAGTAGCTTGGATTACAGTTATACGATACCATGCCTGGCTAATTTTTATATTTTTAGTAGAGACAAGGTTTTACCATGTTGGTCAGGCAGTTCTTGTACTCTGGACTTCAAGTGATCCGCCCACGTCGGCATCTGAAAGTGCTGGGATTACAGGAGTGAGTCACCGTACCCAGCTAGCAGTTGTTTCATTTACCCAATACACTCTGTGTACATGTCAAAGTGGGTTATCAATAAGTAGTTCCTAATAAGTGAATTAATTCTTTAGTTACCTTCAGTTGTAAGTACAGGCTGAGCATCCCTTATCCAAATGCTTGGAACAGAACTGTTTCAGACTTCAAATTTTTTTTGGATTTTGAGGTTTTTTTTGAATTTTTGATTATTTGCATTATGCTTCCTGGTTGAACATGGCAAATCTGAAAACTCGAGATCCTTATGCTCCAGTGAGCATATTCTTTGAGTGTTACGTTGATGCTCCAAAAGTTTCGGATTTCGTAGCATTTTGGATTTCAGATTTTTGGATTAGAGATGCTCAGCTTGTATTTCAAGGAATCAGGTGTTCATTACTTTCTTTAGAAAGACTTTCTTGTCCCATTAAAACCATCTGGGCTTTTTCTTTGGTATTAGTCTTATACTTTAAGCACTATTACTCAATGTATTATCTGTTGATTGGACTTTTTCCTCATGAAATCTTTGTCTACTTTTTTGAGACTGAGGTTGTTTCTTCTTTACCCATCTGTATCTCCTACATCTGGTGCTGTGCTGCCACAGGTGATGCATTCAAAAAATATTTATTGAATGAACACAATTTTAGTGATGTAAATTATAATAGCAAGTAAAATGAATGTTCAGAAACAGTACAAATTGATATCTACTGGGAAAAGCTTTTTAGTAAAACAAGTGTTAGTGTAAATATGACATTAATTTTTACTGGCAGAAATCTCTGTTCTTCCTAAGTTTGAACAATTTTCTTGTTGGTAAATTACTATTGTGCATGATGTCATCTAAAAATAGCAGTTAGGATTTCATCATGGTTAAATAAAAGAAACAACAAATAAAAAAATCCCAAACTGGGTACTGTCTATATATTTATATTTGTTTCAGTACAACTATTACAATTATGTTCAAAGATAGAGTTACTGCTTTTGGTAGTTTGGTGTGCAAAATTAAATTTATATGCCAACAAATAGGAAATATAATGACTTAGGCTTATAATGTATCATTATACTATACTGAGGCATATGTAGTCATTACATCATATCACACACAGGCATGTATAGGTTTATACCATATAATTTCCTGGTAATCCCATCAGTTACTGTGTTTTATGGTTGAAGGTCTTTCTTCATAGTTCCTTGTATCCTCTGCTATGTAGCCTATTTATAACTTCATTCTGACTTCTGCTCAGGATAACTATTGTGCTTTTAAGCAGAAGAGAAGCATGTTGCTTCAGGTGTATTCCTGGGACTAG
Organism: Homo sapiens; assembly: GCF_000001405.40. Lineage (NCBI taxonomy): Eukaryota > Metazoa > Chordata > Mammalia > Primates > Hominidae > Homo > Homo sapiens. The sequence goes on from NC_000018.10 coordinate 74,708,544, forward strand.
TGAAGACCCAAAGAACTGTGGCCAATCAGCTTTCTGCTTGCTGACCTTTTTCTGTGGGGCTCCTTGATCAGTTTTGAAAGGGAGAGCTGGCTCCAGCCCTTTCTGGGGGAGCAGCCTGGTGTGATGGCAGGTCCAAGTCAGGCCAGGAATGTCTTCTCATCCTTCCTTGGTGGGGTCTGCCAGCTTGCTGTATGGCTGCCACAACAGGAACCCCGCACGCGGCTTGATTGGTGAGGATTTACATGTGTGCTAATTAGAGTGGAATAAATGATTGGCTGTTTGCTGCATTGCCATAAAGGGTGCCCAGATGTACACACTACATGAACATAATGTGCCCAGGCATGGCGCATCAAAGTTTGTCAGCTGCATTGCCTCAGCAGGCTTAGGGCCTGTCGCAGAGAATTTGCTGATAATCGTCCCCTATGATTTAGTGTCTTACTTGGTGAAAGTGAAAGACCTCAAAATAATGCCTTGGCAACAGAATTTTTGATCCTTTAGGAAAATAACAAAATATGCTTGAACTTAACTGGGAGTAATGAATAGATGACTTTAAGCTATATATATTCAAATTATGATTTCTTATATTTTGAAATGTTTTCCAGTAAAACAAATAAAATATCAAGTAAATTGGCATAATTGAATAAATTGAATCTTTAAAAATTGCATACGTATCAGTCTTTTAGGTTGAATTAAGCCATGTTAAAACCACTCATGCATATATCTGATAGAAGATGTAACATGGAATTATTTCATTGAAATTCCAAAAGCACACTTTTCTAGAACTTATCTCTATTATGTGTATATTTAAAAATCCATAATGTATCTTCTTTGTAAAGGTACAGCCACCACCCAAAAATCCTTGTGTTGCATTTATGCTCAAAATCTGTAATATCTGATTACTTTGACAAGTAATTTTGTAGTTACATGTTCATAATATTGATAATGTATTAATGTACAATGATTAAATGGTTAAGCTGCCACATTAAAGTTATGAGTAGGAACATTTATCCAGCATGGCTAGGCAGGAACAAAGCCTGTCCATTTACAGATGGCGTTATTCAATCTCTGTGCTCCTCTGAGATGTCAGTGCGATAGCATTGATTCTTAGGTTTGATACTGTGCCGCACTTGAATGACCCAATACAGTTCAGTGATAAGGTTAAGTTAATTACTGTATCTGTGCTATGCAGCTTTCACTTGATTACTGCTGAGAAAGATTTTGATGCCTTTTGCTTTAATTAAGCAAAAGGGAATGAACAGATATAATTGGTTTTTGAAATAATCCTGTCACTATCAACAAGCATCATGTGTTTCCTCCAACTTTGTTATATGTACTTCTAGAAGCAACATTCTGTGGAGGGAATGAAGTTTTTACATTATATTACACTGAAATGTTACCATATTTCATTAATGTGAATTTATGAATAGTTTAAACAGTATATTTTTAAAAGAATTTTGACCTGAAAAAAATGTCTGTTTGTGACTTCTGATAATTATTTTATGTGTTCATGTAAATACACTAAACATGTCACTTTCGATACATTTTAGTGCTTTGGCATTTCAGAAGTCTTTTTAACCCGGTTTTGAATGATGGCAGATAAATTTAGCTTTAAAACAATATTTAAGTTTTCATGATTTTTGCACATTACCTCTGTTATATTTAATTGATTTGACTAATCCTGCAGGGTTTATACAGATTAATAGAAATTAATAGAAAAGTAGAAATGAAAACCTCTCTAGTGTAGCATGAGGCTTCTCATTTTTATTTTTTCTCATGTAGGGGTATTGACTTTCACTTTAATATTTTCACTTTAAGCTTTTAATTGAGATTTTTCTTACTGTTTGACTAGACATGCATAATTGCACATGTTCTTCCTGTGCTGCTTTTTAATGAGCATATCTAAAATACGCGAGCAGTGTAGTTTGGGAAAATGTTATAAGGTTTGACTGAATGTAAGTTCTTCCCCCTAGCCTTTCTAGGTACCTGCCCATTCCTTTTCCCACAGATACTGGAACATTGTCAATACTGTCCTCATGGGTGTTACAGCTGTACACATCATGTCTGTGGGATCGTCCACATCACCCATCTTCTCTGAGTAATATGTTTGTAAATACACCTCACAGTGATGCTAGATTCAAATGAGATAATAAGAATGCTTTTTTTTCTTTAAAAACTAGCAGTAAAGGGCTGCAAGTTTTAGTAATTTCTTCTTAGTATCTAATACATGTTTTCAGATCTTCATGAGTTCCCAAGTTAATCAAATGAACTAATTGTTGCGTTTGGCTTTTGTTCTCTCTATTTTAAGTCAATGCAGTGAATCTGAATGGAGAATGGAAAAACTGGCTCTGTGAATAGACGAGTGAGGCTGAGCTATTTCTCTAATGTCCTGTCAGAATGAGACAACAGTTTAAAATGAATGATGAATCAATTCACTCTGTCCATTCTCCATGGATGCTATTATCAATTCACTCTGTCCATTCTCCATGGATGCTATTATCAATTCACTCTGTCCATTCTCCATGGATGCTATTATCAATTCACTCTGTCCATTCTCCATGGATGCTATTAATGGGAGTGGGCTGGGGAGGGGCTATTAAGCTTCAAAATAAGTCGCCTAAAATTTAGATTTTAATTGGTGTCCAGTTTTAATCTTGGTTATTTGGGTTGGCAGAATAAAGCACCCTCCCCTCACACTCCCCAAAGAGTGTCCATGTCCTCATCCCCGGCACCTGTGACTACATTATTTTGCCTGGCAAAGGGGAATGAAAGTTGCAGTGGAATTTAAGGTGGCCAGTCAGCTGACCTTAAAACAGAGAGACTATCTGGAGGGGCCCAATGTGATCACAAGGGTCCATAAATGTGGAAGAGGCTCCGTAAGAGAAGGTATGATGACACAATGTGAGAAGGACTTGATTCCGCATAGCTGGTTTCAAGATTGAGGAAGAAGGGGCCATGAGCCAGCAAGTGTGGGGGACTGTCATCCCTTAGAGGTTCCAGAAAGGAGTGCAGTCTTACTGACACCTTGATTTTAGCTCAGTCATTCCTGGGCTGGACTTCAGAACTGCAGGTCTGTAAGATAATAAATATGTGTGTTTTACTAAGTTTGTAGTAATTTATTACAGTATTTCTAATACCATTGTTATCCAAAGTGAAGTTATTCATTAGCTTATTTTATTTTATTTTTTGAGATGGAGTCTCTCTCTGTCACCCGGGTTGGAGTGCATTGGCATGATCTCAGCTCACTGCAACCTCCGCCTCTCAGGTTCAAGCGATTCTCCTGCCTCAGCCTCCTGGGTAGCTGGGATTACAGGCACGTGCCACCACACCCGATTAATTTTTGTTTTTTTAGTGGAGAGGGATTTCACCATGTTGGCCAGGCTGGTCTTGAACTCCCAAACTCAAGTGACCCACCCGCCTCGGCCTCCCAAAGTGCTGGGATTACAGGCGTGAGCCACTGCCTCCCGCCCTTATTAGTTTATTTAAAAGTAAACCTTTTTATCACTTTGTATTTATTTTTTGTTGTGTCTGATTTGGCCCTGGCGTGTGTCATATATGTGTCTGACTGATACAGGAAGGCCTTGTGCTTGCTCATTTCAGGAGTTGGTGTTCTGGGACCTTGTCTTTGACAAGGTCCAAATTTAAAATGTGGCTATTAGCAAGGCAATTGTATTTAGAATTAGAAGTCTTGGGTTCATGTCCTAGCGCCTATGTCTTAGTTACTGGAAAATGGGATTAGTTTCTTCATTTAAAATTAGAAAAATGCTGCTTCTTTTGGGTAATTGATGAGACAATATGTGTATATGTGCTTAGAAAATATAAAATGCTATTTGAGCCCAGGTTACTATTAAGATTTCAACCTTTAGTTCCAGCCTTAATGGTTTAGGCTGTGGTTTAGTGTGTGGAAGGCTTTGAGGAGCATGTGCTTTGGTTAGTCCTTTTCCCAGTAGTCATGGCGAAGCCATCCAAGTGGTCACATCTCCCACCCCTGAGATTTGTATGTGAGAAACAGAATTCATTTTCTGAGGCTTTCCTGTGGAGGCCATGAGAGGAGGCTGTCTCCCTGGAGGCAGGGAGGCTGGTTCTGAGGCTGACAATCTAGGCAGGGTGTGATGCATGTTGGATACAGGTGGGAGGAATAGAGAATGTAGAGGACTATTGGGTAGATAGCTGGACTGGCTAGCTGAGCAGGTTCTGCAGTGGGGAAAGAGTATGAATTTGTAGAAGCATTGAGGTTTTGCTGTCAGTTGGCTATCCAGGAAGGGCTGGTGAGATCAGAAGTGGTGTTAAGGCCAGGGAGCATAGGCTGTGGGTCACTGGTGTATGGGAGAGTGCTGGAGCATACAGAAGGAAGAAGACAGGAAGTCAGGGTTTGGTGGGAGAAAAATAGCAATGCATGGGACTTGGGCAGATTTTTTCTTAGAAGATGGCTAAAATGGCATCTGGAAAGCTTGTCATTCCCTTTTAAGTAGCAAGGGTTGGAACATAGAGGACCTGCCAGTCAGGGCCTTTTGTTAGATACTTGGCCTTATTGATACCTGCATTTCAACTTTCTGCTTCAGTTTTCTGAACGGTACAGCTAGCGCTTGGGTAAGTGATCTCTGAGCACACTGGCAGATGTTAAATTCCCTGTCTCATGCCTTTGCTCCACATTAGGAAAGGAACACACCAGGGGTTTGGAATAAAGGAACTCCAAGACTCCTCCAATCTTTAAAATAAATGACATGGGCAATTTATACATTAAAAAATCAGCATTTTTCTATATTTATTAAGGTACTGAGTAAAACTTACTAGATTTACCTGGAACATTTTAGCATCTTTTTTTTTTTTTTTTTTTTTTTTACATATCTTGCAGTGACAGTATATATTGTGTTAGTATTATGTGATTAAAACATAGTTTCATTTAAATTTTAAATCATTAAATAACAGAGATTTAAAAAATAGATTTTAAATAATTATTTCTTAGATATCCTCCTTCAGGAGGCAAATTTGACTTAGGCATTTGGAAAGCTTGGCCAGTTTGTTTTGTGCTGATGATACATTAACAGTCAAGAAATAACTCTTTTGGTTTTATTATGGTGAAAGTTTATTAAAAGAGAAATGCCCTCTTATGTGTCATAATGAATAAAACAAAACTATAATATCTCCCAAATTTTGTAATACGTGTACAAACAGACCGTGCTATAGAGAATAGCCTATATTCCTTACTGTTTTTTTAAATTACTATTGGGTATTTGACAGTGATGCCATTACAAATATTTTAAATTCAGAACTCTGTAGGTAAATTATGTGCAATAGCCCTTTCTTTCTAAATGACAACTAATGGACTTCTTTGAATATTATGTTTGGCATAATATGGCAGAACTAACAGTAGTGATTAAAAGGCTTATGTTTGTATGTGACATCTCCTAGAAGGCTTGAAATAATTTGGCCTTGTGTGTTAACATTCAGAAATCTTAGTTATGCCTAAATGTATTAAGCTGCTTATCATTTCAGCTGAGGTGTAGTAATTTTTACTTTGGGACATACAGAAAAGCTATTTGAAAAGTTACTTTCTTATATCAACTGAAGCTTTTAAAAATGAATTTGAATCGCTTATTATAAAGAATATTTTCTTGCCTCTTTTTAATAATGTAGAATAGTCATAAGCAGTAGCTTCATTTATTGTTGGAAAAAATGTAATTGCAAAAATTAACTTGTCATACACCATAGCTCAGCAAAGTCACTTCTTATAAGTCTGTGGTCACAGTATGTTTTTTGCAGTTCAGCATCTGGCTCTGTGGGATACTGATGGCTTCTAGGAAGCAAAGTACCAGGGTGAACAATTAAATGCAAAATGACAGCATAAAATATGCTTGTGGTTATATGAAAGACACATTTATGAATTTTGCAGATCACTGTCATTTTTGCATTCATATTTTCTCTTGCTTTGTTAGCTTAATAATTTTAGTATAATTTATTTTTCCTTTTTAGAAGTGAACAATGCTGTTTTGATTTTCCTGGTACTTGTTAATATCTTCCTTGTTTGTCAGTTTTGAAGACTAGTAACTCTTTTACTGTCTTCTGGCATGATGCTTTCAACTTTATTTTTAAATCAAAGAATTTTTAAAAATTGCATAGCCATTGTATTATTGGTAAAATTTTTTATGATTATTAGTATTATCATATGTGGGTTGAACAATATTCACCACCTGGAAATAAGATTTGTCAGCACTTAGTTTTCTCATAGTATCAGGTAATGTTTTGAAGTGTTTTTTTACAATGCCAATTCTCAGATTTCTTGGGGGGTAGAACAGTCTGACATAAGGAGTCAAATAGGATGTGCCCAAAGTTGGTAAATTTTTTTTGCTTTTTCTTGCATAAATCTCCTCTGCTCACGGTGGAACTGGTGGGAGTTCTAGACAGGGCGTCGCTCTGGATAGCCAGGTTCCCAGGCAGCCTTGCACTGCTCCATTGTCTCTGCTCCCTGGGTAGCCCTGCCTGTCTGCCTGGACTGTCTACAGTGCTTTTCCTTACAAAACCTACACGTGAACCAGTTACCTTTACCAGTCATCTTCCACGTCCCGCTGCCTTACTTTCTTTTTACTTGTACTTACAGTATCCCCTTTTCCTGGAATACTTCCTAATGATTTGGGTAAATCCACTCTGAACTTGAAATGTGGTTCACACTGCCTGTTCTCTGAAGACTTTCTGATCTCTCAGCAGTCCACGGTAACTTGTGCTTCCATGTCGTATTTTGTGGATCTATTATTGTTACTATCCAAATGTGCGTATTTAAAGAAATCAGTTCACATATTTACTGAAATGTGACTCTACGCTGGGTATTGTGCCAGACTCTGGCATATTGTGGCGAAAGGTATATTTCTTTTGCTCAAGAAAGTCATGCAGCCAGTGGAAATGTGATGCAGTGCGAGCGGTGGTGGAGGCGCTGGTGACTGGAGATGCCTTGGCAGAGCAGCTCATCCCATCACAGGATTTTCAGTGTGGATGCTTGGGGAGCTGGCACTCACTGGAGGACAGCCACAGAGTGTTCCAGAGGGCCTCCTGTCCCAGCAGTTACTGAATAGATGGTTTGTTGAATTGAACTACATGCTCGAGGGTTACCCATACAACATTTTTTAAAAAAAATTAATTATTTCACATGAGAATCTTTGACAAATTAACTTTGTAGTTTTCTGTTTTTGGAACTTCCATACAAGATGATTTGAAATTTTCTTGATGACTCAGGATTATCATTTTGTATATGTTATCATGCCAAGCTCTAAAAAAATCAATGTTCTTAGCATATTTTGACCTGGAGAAGGCTGTTTTCAAATACCTGCTTGCTCCCTGATTACTTTACATTTTCGTAATCCTGTCTGCCTCTTGTTTCTTGTCTCTTTTCCCATTTTACACTATTGTTGATCTTGTCTGTAGTCATGCAATTGCTGTCCATTATTTCCCATCCGTAAGAAGCCAGTGAACCAGCTTTAGCAGTATAGATCAGGAAAGGGTGCTGGGTTTGAGTAGAGTAGGGAACTTAGAGACTCTCCCTTATTCAGAGTACTGAAGTGCAAACATAGTTTTTTCAAATAGATATTTTGCTGCTCCAAGCCCTTTTGGCAGGTTTTTAATTTTTAGTTGTATCTTGAGAGGTGATGCTGCTACATTCGTGAGGTTTTGATAGCTGAGAAGTTAATGTTTCTCTCAGTTCATATTGTTTCAGTTGCTCTCATGACATGATGTGACCTGTTTTGCCTTATTGTGGGAATGTTTTTAGGTGGTTTATGTTTTAACAGTACACAAGGCTTATTTTATTCATTTGTTCTTATATTCCTCTTATTTCTAGTATCACAGCAGACATTTTGTGTGTGTGTGATTGACTTTGAATACATTAAGGTACATCAGTTTTATTTATTAATGGAGGCGGGTTCACAAATGCTGAGGTTAGGAGTCAGTGACACCCTGTGAACTAATTGCTCTGTTTATCTAGCAGTAAGGCAACTCTAGGACAGCCTCAGCAGTCAATATTTAACTTATCCGTGGAGTTTTACATGTAAAACTTAAAATAACAGTAAAAATAACTTTTGGACCCTACCCTTATGAAACTGAAAACCTGCTTGGTGAAGTAAACAACACAAATTTCTGAAGTTAAAATATACTATGGTAAAAATTAATAAAATATGAGAAGTGGTTCGAAATAATCAACAATAAATTACCTCTAATTTATGACATAAAGAAAGCAATGTATCGGTAATGTTTGTTTGTAGTTCAGCCTACTTATGTTGATATGTTAATTTCAAGTATGTTGAAATAGATCGCATTTTAAAATGAGCATTACTGTCTTCATTGTTGTGATTGTTACTGCCTACTTAATGCTTTCTGTTAAATGGCCTTATACACGTTCCAACTCGAACATTCATAGAGAAACTGTAATCGCAAATATGTGTACCATGTGTAATGTGTTTATATACAGAGAGAGTGTGGTATAGTATGTGTTGTTATTAGTATTCTCATCTTTTAAAAACAAAAAATATATATACGTATATGAGAGTGTGTATATGTGTATGTATGTGTACGCATGTGTATCTTTTAGCATTTTCAGATTGGCCCAGGTGATTCTGACCTAGCCATTTCTGATGTAATTTTAGAAATGTAAAAATTATGTGTAAAAATGACAATAAAAGTCAAGTTATTCTGTTTCATACTGTGCAATTAATTATTTGTGACAAGTCCTGTTAAGGAGGAGGCTGTTTTGCTCAGCATTGGTTTGGACAGAAAGATCATAAGTCAAGATTGTACTCCTGAGTCCGATAGTGGCACCTTTTTTTCTCTGCAAATACTGTAATAGCTTTACATCCTGTGATTCTGTGGAGAGTGCAGAGACATGATATATTCAAAATGAATCAAACTATAAAATTCACTTATTTCTCACATGATAACTGTTGCTGCCTTCAGTAATAAAACTGAATTATGTATACAGATCTAAAAACAATCTGTGAGATATGAGATCAGTTTCTTTCGATAGCCATAGGTAAACAATTTGTGTGATCATTGTTTATAGTAAACCTGTTAAGATTTTATTCGCTTATGTTTGAAGCAAATTTAAGGCTTAAAACAAACAAACAAAACACCACCCAAACTAGAAACTTTAAAAAAAATGTAACTTGCTTATATAAGTTGAATGTCCCTTCTACAAAATGCTTTGGACCAGATGTGTTTTGGATTTTGGATTTTTTCAGATTTTGAAATACTGGCATTATATAATATACTTACTGGTTCAGCATCGCTAATCCAAACATCTGAAATTTGGAATGCTCCAATGAGCGTTTCCTTTGAGTGTCATATCTGTGATAAAAAAATTTCAGATTTTAGAGTGGTTTGGTTTTTGGATTTTCAGATTAGGGATACTAACCTGTATTTGCAAATTTTTTCTCATCTGTTAAATTTTATTTTAATTTTAGACTGGTGGATAAAGCTAATTTATTTTTAAACCCTTGTTCATTCATTCAATTTTTTTTAACTCGGTGAATTTATTGCAGAACAATTTATATGCCATAAACAGCATCCTTTTAAAGTATACATTTTGATGGGTTCTGACAATTCTATACACCTCTGAAACCATTGACGAATACAGATAAAAGAACGTTCCTGTTTCCTCAAAAGATTCCTGTGCTTTTTTGCAGCCCCCCCCCTCCCCTTCCTGGCTGCCAGAAGGAACCAGAGATTACTTTTCGTCACTGTTAACTTATTTGCTAAAATCATGTGGTGTGCACTTGTGTATAAGAGTCTTTTTGTGACCAGCCTGAGCAACAGAGTGAGACCCTTTTTTTCCTTTACAAAAAGGAAAAAAAAATAGCTAGTTGTGCTGGTGCGTGCCTATAGTCCCAGCTACTTGGGAGGCTGAGGTGGAAGGATCACTTGAGCCCAGGAGTTCAAGGTTGCAGTGAGCTGTGATCATGATATTGCATTCCAGCCTGGGTGACAGAGTGACACCTTGTCTCAAGAATGTGGGGTAAAGGGAAGGGGTCTTTGTGTGGATGTGTTGCCGAGGTTGGCCTTGACTTCCTGTGCTCAAGTGATCTCCTTGGCTCAGCCTCCCAAATAGCTGGGACTCTAGCTGTGTGCCACTGTACTCAGCTTTGTTAAATTTATTTTTGCATTATTGTAAATGGAATTGTTGACTAGTAATATTTTCAATGTAATTGATTTTTGTGTATTCACCTTGTATCCTATGACTTTTCTAAATCTACTTATTCTAGTAGCTTTTTAAGACTCTTAAGAATTTTCTTCGTTAAGTAATTTCGTATCTCCTATGAAAGGAAATAACTTTATCTGTATCTTATCTTTATGCCTTTAATTTGCTGTTCCATTTTATTTTTAATAATATGCTTTTCTTAAAATCTATTTTGTCTGTCATTAATATATCTTCTCTAGTCTTCTTGTGGTTACTGATTGCATAGAATGTCTTTTTGAGTATTTTTTAATTAAAAACTTTTTATAGGATATGACTTGTTGCCTTTATTGTATTTTTTAAATTGACATATTAATTGTACATATTCTTAGGGGACATTAATGATGCTTGGAAACATAAAATGTATAGTGATCAGATCAGGTTAATTAGCATGTCCATCATCTCAGACATTTATCATTTGTATTGGGAACATTCAATATCCTCCTCCTAGCTGTTTGAAAGTGTATAATACATTATTGTTATCTTTAATTCATACAGTGGTGTAGAACACTAGAAAGAGTTCCTCCTGTCTGGCTGTAATTTTGTATCCTTTAACACATCTCTCCCTATTCCTCCCTTCCTCCTACGCTTCCTACCCGCTAGTATCCTCTGTTCTACTTTTTACTTGCTTGCTTACTTACTTACTTACTTACTTATTTATTTAGAGACGGAGTCTTGCTCTGTCGCCCAGGCTGGAGGGCAGTGGCGCGATCTCAGCTCACTGCAAGCTCCGCCTCCCGGGTTCACGCCATTCTCCTGCCTCAGTCTCCCGAGTACCTGGGACCACAGGCACCCGCCACCACGCCCGGCTAATTTTTTTTTGTATTTTTTAGTAGAGACGGGGTTTCACCGTGTTAGCCAGGATGATCTCGATCTCCTGACCTCGTGATCCTCCCGCCTCAGCCTCCCAAAGTGCTGGGATTACGGGCGTGAGCCACTGCACTCAGCCCTACTTTTTACTTCTATGCGATCATCTTTTTTTAGCGTCCACATATGAGTGAGAATTTAACTTTCTGTTTCTGGCTTATTTCACTTAACTTAAGTTCTTCCTGTTCCATCTATGTTGCTGAGAATAGCAGGATTTCATGTTTTTATGGCTGAGTAATACTCCATTGCGTATATTCACCACATTTTCTTTATCCATTCATCTGTTGTTGGGCACCTTTATGTCTTGGCTATTGTGAATAGTGGTCCAGTAAACATGGCGGTGCTGATGTCTCTTTGTTAAATGCTAATTTCCTTTCCTTTGGATGAATGTCCAGCAGTGGGATTGCTGCATCGCATGGTTGATCTATTTGTATTTTTTTTTTGAAGAAGAAGAAGTTCCTTATTGTATTCCATAGTGGTTGTATTAGTTTATGTTTCCACCAACGGTGTATAAGAAATAGTTTCCTTTTCTCCACATCCTTGCCAGCATTTGCTATTTTTTTTTTTGTCTTTTTGAGAATTGTCATTCAACTGAGGTGAGATGAGACCTCGGTGTGGTTTTGATTTGCATTTCCCTGATGATTAGTGATGTTGAACAGTTTTTCTTATATTTGGTGGCCATTCATTAAAATGTCTGTTCAGATCATCTGCCCATTTTTAAATAGGATTTTTTTTTTTTTTGCTATTGAGATGTTTGAATTCTTTCTATAAGTGGTGATTAATCCCTCGTTGGATAAGTAGTTTACAGGTATTTTCTCCCATTCTGTAGGTTGTCTTTTCACTCTGTTGTTTTTTTTCTTTTGCTGTGCAGAACCTTTTTAGTTTGATACCATCCTATTTATTTTTGCTTTTGTTGCCTGTGCTTTTCAGGTCTTACTCATATAATATTTTCTCAGACCAATGTCCTGAAGCAGTTCTCCTATGTTTTCTTCTGTTACTTTCATGATTTTGGGTTTTACATTTAGGTGCTTGATCCATTTTGAGTTGATTTTTGTGTAGGGTTAGAGGTGGGGGTCTAGTTTCATTCTTCTGCAAATGAATATCAGATATGCAGTTTTGCCAGCATCGTCAATGAGTGTTCTTGAAGTCTTTGTCAAAAAAATCAACTCTGTACATATGTGGATTAATTTTTGGGTTCTCTATTCTGTTCCATTGGTCTGTGTGTCTGTTTTTATGCTAGTACCATGCTGTTTTGTTAGTACAGATTTGTAGTATATTTTGAAGTCTGGTAGTGCGATACCTTCAGCTTTTTTTTTTTTCTTTTTCTTTTTCTCAGGATTGCTTTGACTATTCAGGGTCTTTTGTGGTTTCATTAACATTTTCAGAGTTTTTTTTTCTATTTGGGTGAAGAATGTCGTTGGTATTTTGATAGGGATTGCATTAAATCTGTACATTTGCTTTGGGTAGTATTGTCATTTAAACAATATTCTTATGATTTATGAACAGGAGATGTCTTTCCATTTGTTTGTATCCTCTTCCCTTTCTTTCATCACTGATTTGCAGTTTTCCTTGTAGAGGTCTTTCACCTCCTTGGTTAAATTTATTCCTAGGCATTTTATTTTATTTTATTTTGTAGCTGTTGTAAACGGGACCACTTTCTTGATTTCTTTTTCAGCTACTTCACTGTTTGTGTGTAGACATACTTCTGGAACAAGACAACGATGCCCACTCTTACCTCCCATATTCAAAATAGTAGTGGAAGTCCTAGGCAGGCAACTAGGCAAGAGAGAAATAAGTGGCGTCCAAATTGAAAAGGAAGGAAGTCACATTGTCCCTGTTTGCAGGTGACATCATGTTATATTTAGAAAAACCTAAAGACCCTGCCAAAAAATCTTGTAGAATGTATAAGTGAATTCAGTAAAGTTGCAGGATACGCAGTCAGCATACCAAAATCTATAGTGTTTCTGTGAAAAATTTTTTTTTATTTTCAAAATATTTGTCTCTAAATGTAAAGTGAGTCTCTTGTAGCTAGCACATACTTTGGTCTTTTGATGCAGTCTGAGAATCTCTTCTTTTTCACTTAGTGTTTATTACCATTTAATGTAATACCACTGGTTTGATTTATAGTTTCTGTTGTACTCTTTACCTTATGTGTTTTGCATTTGTTCTTCTTTTACTGCCTATTTTGTGTTAATATGAATTTTCTCCACCTTCTTTATTTGGGTATGTCTTTACTTCCCCTTTATTATTTAAATATAGTTTTGCTGGATGGAGAGTTCTTGATTGATACTTTGACCGTGTTATTCTTCTGACTTCTACCTTCCATTGTTTGTCATAAATCAGCTCTTAATTGTATTTTTTCTTTATATGGTATGAAGTTAGCTGTTCTTGTATGTGATGAAACTTTTTTGTTGCTTGTAGGATTTTCTCACTGTCTTTGTCTGTTTTTTTTTTCAGCAGCTTGATTATGATGTTTTGGGTGAAGATTTCTTAGTGTTTATGTTTCTTGATGTTGAACTTTTATCTGTAGATTACTGTGTTTCATCAAATTTGAGGAACTTTCAGCCATTAATTTTTTTTCTCTACTGCTTTCCGTATTTCTCGTAGGATCCTTACTGTACTTTTATTGGAATGCTTTAGATTTTTCCATAGGTCTCTCCGGCTCATTCTTAAAATTTTCTCCTTCTGTTTCACCTTTTTAAAAAAAGTTTTTAAAATAATTTTTGCGTGGAGATCCTCTCTAGTTGTCTTACTGGTTTTTCATTTATAGAATCTCCTTGCCACATTTCTTGCTAGCCTGTCAGTTGCTCAAGCATGGCTCACACTTCTGGGGTTGGCTGTGTGTCAGGATTTCCTCATTGGCTTTCTGTCAACTTTGTTACTTTTAGCTGACAAGGATGTGGGGTTTTGCCCTCACCCCAGATTTCTTCCTCCCTTCCTCACCTTGGCACAGAGCTCCAGTTTTTTGTTTCAGTCTTGTGTCAGTAAAATTACCATTCTGCCTCTCCAAGTTGAGGAGTTGGTGGAGGGAACTGTAACATCCCAGGCAGGCACCCCTCCCACCAGCTCTCTTACCCAAAACTCTAGTAGTTTTTCAAGATAAAGTGCTTTTCAATTTGTTGCTTTCATTTGATTTTCAGAATGTTGAAATTGTTGCTGTTGACAATTTTATGCAGTTTTATACTTATTTTTGAGATCTGTTGACCTCTTTTTGTGGCCAAACCTGCACGTTTCTCAGTGAGCCATTACCTCTCCCAAAGTTTCTTTTGTCACATTTTTCTTTCCCCTTTTCTGTTTTTCTACTTGAACTCTTTAATTAGTTGACTATGTGTTAGACCTCTTGTAATTATTTCTTAGGTACCCGAGCTTCTCTTTACCTTTTTTAGTCCATTTTTCTCCGTCTGTTCTTCATATTGGATGATTTTTATTGATGTCTTCAAATTTATTGATTCTTTACTTTGTCATATTCATTTAAGTATTAAAGCCCTTGTAAAACTTGGTTATTTTATTTTTGTTTCTAAAATTCTCATTGGACTTTTACAAATATACTTTTTTTCTTATTTGTTGAGATTTTCTTTTAAGCATATTTCCTTAACTTCATTAGCTATGATTATAGCATAATAGTGGCTCTGAAGTCCTTTTAAAATAATGCCAGCATTGTGTCATTTTCATTGCTCCTTTTTCCCTTTGGGATTTGGTCACATTTTTCTGGCTCTTGCTATGTAGAATACATTTGTATTGCATCTTGAGCATTATGAATTTTATGTTGTACGGACTCTGGATTATGGTATATTGTTTCAAAGACTGGGTATGTTTTCATTTTAGCAGACAGTTAACTTGATTAGCATCAAATAGCAACTGTCATGTCTGTAGAAGTCAGCTGCTTGTATCTCATTTCTGATAGTTAAGCTTTAATTGCCATCTGCCTTCTCTCTTCCTTGTTCCTACATGCTTTAGGTGTTCTGAGTTTATTCCCAGAATCAGGGCTCCTTTGGCTCTCCTTTATGGCTCTCTTTTACTTCTTATTCTCCCATGTCTGTTGTGTTGGAGCAGTTACCCTCTGATCCAGGAGTGCAGCTGGTTTTTCTGTTGTGAAAGGCTTCTTTCCTGATGCCTTCTCTCAGACAGTTCCAACTTTGGACATCTTCAGGATAAAGCCATCAAATAAAAGTGAGGAGGGTTTGGATATATTTGCATCATGGTTTGCTTCATGGTTTGGTTCTACTCCCAACCTCCAGCTTTTGTTTAATTTCCAGGACCTTCATACAGTTATTTAAAAAAAAATTTGGTCCAGACTTTTTAGCTCTTCTGGTGTGGGGCGGGGTGGGGGGGGTTTGTTTGGCAGAATCTCATTACTTCGTACCAGAAATGGAAAGTCTCTAGTATATTTATTAAAAATAGTTCTCACTATTATTCCCAAGGCATTATATGTTTATTGTGAGAAACTGGGAGAAGCTAATAAATTGCAATGAATATGAAAAAAATCACTTAATCTACTTTAAAAATTTTTATATAATTCTTTTGGTATTAGACAACTGAATGTATTGTACATAAAATTTTATTTTATTTTTTGTTCAAATTTATTTTTAATTGATGTAATAATTGTACATATTTGGGGATATAGTTTGATGTTTAAATACATGTGTACATGGTGAAATGTTCAAAGCAGGGTAATCAGTAAATCCCTACTTGAAATATTTATCATTTCTTTGTGGTGACAACATTCAGAATCTTCTTTTCTAGGTATTTTGAAATACACTATTATTAACTATAGTCATTCTCTTGTGCAATAGAACACCAGAATGTATCCCTCCTAGCTGCTTTGTACCCATTGGCCAGTCTCTTCCCATCTCTTCATGTCCTCCCCAGCTGCTGGTTACCACTTTTCTGCTCTCTACTTCCATGAGATCAACTTTTTTTTAAGATTTCTCTCTCTCTCTCTCTCATGCACACACACGTGAAATATATATGTGAAAAATATATATAGATTTAAAATCTGCTTTTGCACTACATTATGTGGGAAGTGCTTTCCTATGCCATTCAATATTCTTGGTAGATAGTTTTATGGCAGTGTAACATTCCATCTGTATGGAGATGACAGTTTATGACCATTTCTTAATGCTTTCCATGTTGGTTGTTCACAGTTTTTTGCCTTTATATATGACCAGTGGAGGACATCTTTGCATATATTTTTGTGCTCTTTTCATGTTATTTCATCAGGATAGATTCCTAGAAGTAGAATATTGGGTTTCAAAGTTAATAGTAATGTTTAAAGTTGTTATTACACACAATTAAAATGCTTCTCAGAAAATTTGATCAATTTAACATCTGTGAGGCTTCAACCTTTCAAGCTTTAACTTTAGATTTTTTGGCTTTTTCTCATTCGATGTGTGGGAACTCTCACAATCTGTTTTTGATTAACTGTTTATGTCACGCATGTTCCTACAGTTTTTTGGGTAAATTTTTACATCTCTTCATTTTCAAATGAGCTGTTTGTGTTCTGTACCTATTAAGTATGCCTTTTTTTTCTTTTGAGACAGAGTTTCACTCCTTCGCCCAGGCTGGAGTGCTGTGGTGCAGTCATGGCTCACTGCTACCTTGACCTCCTAGGCTCCAGTGAGCCTCTCAGCTCAGACTCCCTGAGTAGCTAGGACCACAGGCACACACCGCCACACCTAGACAATTAAACATAAAAACAGTTTCTAGAGAGATGGGTCTGCTGTGTTGCCCAGGCTTGCCTGATTGTTTTTAAAAATCAGCTTTTAAAACTATTTTATATAGATTCACAAAATTAAAAAAAATTAAAAACTATTTTTATGGGAGACGAGACAGAATCTATTTTCATGCAATTATAAAAGTAGTTTCTTTAGTATATCACTTTTTTTGTTTATCTCATTGAGTATCTTCATGTGTGTTACATCTTGTCATCTGCCTTGCAATCCAAAGTTTGTAAAAACTGGTGGAAAGTAACCAATAGAGTCTATTTTTATTTATTTATTTATTTTGTTAACAGTTGAACTTGGATTGAACCTTAATTTCAGTCTCTTAGAGTTTTTTCATATGGCTTAGGTCATTTTTTAAACTATAATACAATATGAAAAATTGCTTTCTTTTCATTTTTATGTTTTCATGTGTAGCTTGACATTTGAGCAGGTGATGTTATGTATCTGAAAGATATTTATAATATATTAAGCAATACTTGTTAATGTTTGGTTAAAACACGATAGTCACACAAAACTGATGCTTTCTCTATTATGCAACTTCTTTTTGTGGATTGGCCTATCGACATCCTTATTGGATGTTGATTTTTGCTTGGATTCTATTATGACTGTGTAATGTTTTTGATATTGCCTTGAGAGTTAGGGAGAATGGCAGGGAGATTTTACTTCTGTGATATTTCTGTAGACACATTGTGCCCAGCTATTGTAGGGGGCGATGGTTAAATAATGGTAATATACTACATATAGTGTATTTTTAGAGCCACTTTCTAGTTCAGTGACATGAGTTGCAATCTCTTTTTTTTCCCTCTTTTATTCAGCTGTCCCCTTCCACTCAGCTCCCACTGAAGATTCGTTGCATCTCAAGCTCTTAGATGTATGTAGACTGCCTCTATGCTTTCTGCATTGGATAATTATGGCTGAGAGTCTAGTTTAATTACAAGACCCCATGATGAATCATCTTATTAGATGTGTGCTTCCAGTTAATCCCTCACATATATTTACTATGTAGAGAACTGTATAGGACTGACCATCATGTCTGAATCATGAGAGCCAATAAGTTATGCCTAATATACTATGCATGGAAGGAATAACTTTACTTTTGATAATAAAACTGTAAAACAGAACAAAATATTAAGATGCATAAACCAATTTACATAGAAATATGAAACAGCAATGTATTGGGAAAAATTTTGGAATATGTATATATGTATTAACCTCAATTTACACATGAAGGAATTTCATTAACATGCCTTGTTTTGCTACCAATGATTGTTTTTATCCTATCTTGTCAGGATATTGTCAATTATGGTGTAACCTACATGTGGAGTTAAAGCATGGCCCACTAAGCAATCCTAATTCAGCTAGACATTGAATTATGAATCATAGGTTACTAAATTAGTACACATTAGTTTTCATCTCCATAGGGAGATATTTAAGTTTCAATTCTGCAGAAATCTAAAGATCCTGGATTCATTATGCTCAGTACTGAGTGCAGTGCTTTGGGGGCAGTGTCAGTTGTGGGGGTGTCACAGAGTCTTGGGCATGTGCAGTATTTCGGTGCATCTTATTGGAGGTGAGAAGATCTTTAGACATTTTCTAAGATAGTCAATCTGTGGACAAGTATAGGGCTTTTTTGCATTTTTTCCATGTCTTAATAGGAAACCAGAATCATTTAATAAATCATTCATCAACAATTAAGATTAATTTACTCAGTTCAGCTCTACAAATGTTGGGTTTCTATTATGTGCCAAGCACTTAGCTGGGTACTAAGATAAGTAAAGTGTGGTTTTTGATTTTCTTGATAGAACATAGAAAAACAACATTTAGATCATCATGAAAACGGTGAAGGATTCAGTGAGAGTTTTTAGACAGGATGTGTGAACCGAGGTCAAGTTCTCCTGTAGAACGGTGGTGAAGAGGACAGTAGGAAGAGAGTGAAGGAAGAGAGTGAAGGAGTAGGAAGAGAGTGAAGGAAGAGAGTGAAGGAGTAGGAAGAGAGTGAAGAGAGTTGAGCCCTCTTCCACCACAGCATCTCTCACTCATCCAGGTCCCTCATCCAGGTTCTGCTGGTTATTTGTTTTTTGGGTTTTGTGAAGATTATATATCGTTTGCGTTGAGTATTAGATAACAGTAGGTGGTCTCCGGGACACAGCCTGTAATGCAGTACATTGCTGTTTCTCTGGCAGCACAGGTGCGTGTTCAACACAGGGGCTCGAATGAAGTCTCCGAGTAGCTTTATGTTAGTGTTTTGCCACCAACTGATTAAACTTTGCATTTTCGTTACTTTTCAACTTTCAGAATTGTGAATAAGGGATTATGAACCTTCCCCGAATATATGTTAGGAGGGAGATGAGAGCAAAGGTATATGCAGATAGCAAGTCGCCATGCGCGGCAGGTAAGGAGTTTAGGATTCATCCTGCAGGTGATGGGGTTATTGAAAGTGCCGTCTGATGGCAAGCACAAAATGCATTTGAAGATGAAATCATTGAGCGTTTTGCACAGAGGAGTAGAGTGGCTCAGACAAGTCTCTTTTAAGAAGATACTTTAAATACCTGTGGTATCTAGGCTGGATTCGGACAAGAAGACAACAGGTGGAGATGCCAGTGATGAGCTTTTTGCTTCAGTGTGCTGGGGAGAAGGAGAGTGATGGAGGAGCGCCCTCTCCTACCGCAGCCTTCCTCATCCAGGACCCTTGGGGCAGATGTGGTTATTCATAGTTGTTGTTGTTGTTTTGGGTTTGAGAAAGGCTATATATTCTTCTAATATACATTAGAAAAAACTGCAGGATTTGGCCATAAGAGGGCTTGGATAAGAGTATAGCAATGGGGATGGAAAGAGAATATGACCTTGAGAAACATCAGAAGAAACTGCCGAATTTGACAATGAATTTGATATACGAAGTCACAGATAAACAAATTCAAGACAATCTCAGAGTTCAAAGTGAATAATTCAGAGACTGTTTCAGAAGTTAGTAGTAGGGAGAGAGATGAGGGTGTTAGGTTTGGGCTATTTGATGAATGAATAGTCACTTTCTGTGAGATGGACCATAGCCCAGATAGCCCAGAATGAAGGATGTGTGCTGGCAGCATGACACAAGGAAGAGTTTGTTTGAAACACAGGCTCTGGGGTTAGCCCTGGCAGTAACTAGCTTTACCTGCTTTTTACCTAGCTTTTTCACCTTAAAGATTATGATGTGCCTGCTGAGATTCCTTCTAGTGTTGATTGCCAGTGTGTTCAATCAACAGATTGAGGTGTTGGTGGGCCACCTACCTCCACCGAGGGAGAGATGTACAGGAAGCAGCCAGGTAAGTGCCTGAGGCTTGTGAGGAAGGTGCGACCTGAAAGGCCTGTGTGCTTCTGACTCTCTTAGATGGTGGCGGAAGGCTTGGCAGTGAATGCAGTTACCAGTGGAGAGCGTGCTGTGTGGAAAGGAGAAGCCATGGGCAGTGCTGGGGAGGCTCATCACAAGGAGGGCACAGAGGTGAAAACAGGAAAGGCTTGAAGTTGAAAGAGAACCACTTAAGTGCCTGGGGAATTTTAGAGACTAAACACTAGCCAGCAGTATTGAGTGGTACGGTTGTTTTTAAAAAAGAAGGGGCTCCTTTCCACTTTTAGTCACTGTTATGTCAGCAGCTGCTGTGACTTTTTTTCTCTCTGTGATGCTTAGAAGACAGGAGCATAACCAGTGTTTTCCAGTTTTGGTGCCAGGACAGGTTTGTATCTGACTATAGAATCTACTCCAAATTACTGGTTCATTACTGTACCTTTCAGTATCTTATTTTTATGGTCAGTACCCAGTGCGTACTTTAGACATAATTTGTTGCTTCTACTAAAATGAGGGGCAGGTAGTACTATTATGGAGTGATGGTCCGTGGAAGAGAACAATATACTTATTACTGGTTACTGTTTATTGAACATCTACTTTGTCCTTGGGGGAAGTGCTAGCTTTCAGCAAAGGAGGAGAATTGCCTGTGAAAGATGAGAAGTTACCTAGGCAACTTCTTCTTAGTCACTCTTGTAGTTAGCTTGATTTCTGTTATTTTTCTTGTCCATTGATTTTTTAATAAGCCTTTTCTCCACTAGAGGAATGGTTTAC
Source organism: Homo sapiens (assembly GCF_000001405.40). Lineage (NCBI taxonomy): Eukaryota > Metazoa > Chordata > Mammalia > Primates > Hominidae > Homo > Homo sapiens. The sequence continues at coordinate 74,729,437 of NC_000018.10, forward strand.
ATAGTATGGATTCTCATGTGCTAGATGCTCCAGAGAAGAAAGGTCAAGTGTGGTTTGTGTGTGTGTGTGTTTTTTTTTGTCTTGCATGTTCGTTGGTTCCCTCATTCGTTTACTGTGAATTTGTTAAGTATTTGTGAGGAGCGCTCAGCATATATAAAATATGCTGTGTTCTGTAGGGTAGAACATAGGTATAAGTAAGTTCATTCATAAAATGTGTTAATAAAATATCACTGGCATACAAAAGCAACATACACAGGGACCGTACACTTGGCTGGTAATCCTTCTGAATTTAATTAATTTAGGTCTGGAGTATTTGCCTTTATTCAGTATAAATATAAGGGGAATGGAAAAATATTTTTCATATTATTTTCAGAAACAGTTGCAAGAATAATAAAATTGGAAAAAAAAGACTATTATCTTGTGACAGTTTTGGCCGGCAATATAGACAGAGGTAATTTGATCATAGAATTTGGCAGTGATGCATTATATAGTCAATAACTTGAAGTATTGAACAGCTTCTTAAAAGGTGACACTTTTTAGATAGTTAATTGTAATCTCGTCCAATAGCGTTGGAAAAGCACGTTTGTTGTGTAATGACTCAGTATTCATTCAACAAACGCCTGTGGAAGGCCATGTGCCAGGCGCTATTCTTGGTCCTGTGGGACAGCACCAATGAGATCATGTTCATGATCATGGTACCTGCTCTTCAATGCTGTGGAAGGAAATTGTGCATGGAAATTGGTTTGGAATTTTCAGTGTCTGGGAAGCTCTACAGGTTACTTGTAGTTTTTAATATTCTAATTAAGGTTTCTCAGGTACACTTTTTAATATTCTCCCTGTAATGGCTTCTCTAGCTTGAATGATTTTTAAAACATAGATTCTGTTACATTATCAGTCAAGATTAAAATGCAAGGAATGGCCATCCTCTTTAAAAAATTAGCACGATGACAGGTCATTTAACCCCTTCCTGTTGATACTTGGATGTTTCACTTTTCCTCCTGACTGGAGAAAAGAAGCAATTGCTGCCTTGTGTCCTGTCATTACCCGAAGTAGCTACTGCCCGTCACAAATGCTTGTGTCTCTGTAAATCTTCATTCTCTTCATTTATGGTTCAGGTCGCTGCTACTTTTCCTTTTGCTGTCACTGGTAACTATTTCTTGGTGTTGCCCTTTAAGGGTATCTTGTTCAACATTGATTACACTTAATGGGTTTAACCATCACCCTGTACAATTCTTCGAAGACCCTTGGCAACCTTGACCTTTGGCTAAAATTATTGTTAGTCTATAAATGTATTCATTTTCTCACTATTTTCCAAAGTGGCTATAGGATTATAGAAAGAATGATGTATTATATAAAAAGCTTTTCCAATGTAGAAACTACAAAAGGGAAGGTTTAAATGAGCATTTTGTTCAGCTGGTCATGAAGTAAAAGCATAAGGAGGATATAAAAGTCCAATCATCCCCCTTAAGAATTTTTGATGTTGAACAATATTTTAGGTTTGTTTTTCTGAATAACTTGTACATTAATATCTTTAAATTGAAAAATAACTTTATTAAAAGGTATTCACTGACTGTTCAGACTTACACTTAAATCTTAATTATGAGATATTCCATCTCTTATTCTGTTATTTTACTACCTCTTTAGAAGGAGAGAAGAATATTTTTTATCTTGATTTTTCTTGAAACTCTGTAGGCTCTCCTGTGTTTTTGGCATTGATTTAGCAATTTATGTAAAAATAATGGAATTTACAGATTTTGAGTCAGTGTAAGTGGAACTGTATAATAATTTGTCCAAAAGGGAATGGGCTAATCTACAATCATAAGCTTCCTTTAATTTAGAAAGACGGTACCGTTGGTAAGATGCATTTCGGGCGAGTCACTCATGGATTGTACTAGTCGAATTCCATCCCATCTGATTCTATGATCTGATAATCCTGTGGGTTGGCTAGTCATGAATTTTTTTAGGCAAGTTTATCATATTTCACTAAAGTCAAACTAAATGGTTCACCTACTTCTAAAAAGTGAACAAAAACAATTCTATCCTCATTTCTTAGAGTGAAATTTCTAAGCCTGTTGAGGTTAAACCCACTTAATGAAATGCAAACACATTTTCAATGACTAATTAGGAGTAATGAAGTCAGAAAACTTTAATTTTGACATCTTGGATTTTGAGAAGATGAGTGTAGTAAGCACTGCTAATTAGTTTTCAAGTTCTTTTTTATCCCTAATGTTTAGGCAGCCTTTATTCCAAATGGTCATATATTATTTCATATACTTGTGTGAGATAACAGAGTCATAGAGGAGTGAGTGTCAAAGTCCAGGATGCAGAAGGATCCCTGGGGTGGGGAGGTGAGTGATTTAAACAGTGTCCATTCCTTGTCTCCATAATTTAGCAGGCCTGGGATGGGGTCCAAAAACGTGCCTTCATACAAACCCAGGCCATTTTGACACTGGTGATCTGGAGATCACCGTGGTAGTATAGATCATGAAGAACAAGCGCTAGGTCCTAGAACAGAAAGAAATCATCAGGATCACTTAATGGGAGTGTCTCATTTTACAGAGTTAAAGCCTCAGAGAGGTAAAGAGACCAAAATAGCTTATACAAAGTAACCTAGGTAGGTTTTCAGTTATATCAGAACATTTTAAGTGTTTCACTTGGGACTTATATTTTTTGCTGTATTTGAATGTAGATATTTATTATTTGGACTTCAGTTAAATCTAAATAATGGAGCCATTTTCTGTACATCTTGGGAAAATGAATGGGGAACGTCAGACTTTTAAAAATTCTTATTGTCGTGAAACTTACTGGTGTAGACTGTCTTGTGTTTCCCAAGCTTAGTTTGTTTTGTTGTGTTTTTCCTGCTTTCTGTAAGACCAGGGTTCACTACAAGTACTCCTGAAAGCCCCTTCCTGCCTTTGGACTTGGTTCAGAGGTTTCCTGGTATTTTAGAGTGGACATGAACATCTGTCTTGAGGGTATCAACAAAAGCTAATATTTAAGAAAAATAGGTGTTCTTTGTTGATGGGAGATGTCTACCTTCCTCTAAGCCAAGATGAGAGTTCTTCCTGTCTCACCAGAAAAGTGAGTAAAGGAAGGGCATGGATGCTAGTTGTCCAACTAGAAAGCAGTATTGACCTTAGATAAGCCCTGCTTCAGATTGCCCTTCAGTGGATAACCAGGAAGTGATAGTAAAATCAGTTTTGTAATCAGCTTTGTAATTCTCATAGAATTTTCTTTTATTGATACCTAACATTTTGACTTTGTTTAAAATGTACTTGTGAATAATAACCTCCTATTTCCCCCCAAAATCGAAATAACTAAGTCTGTCAGATAGTTTTTCTACCTATCATAGTGTTCACTTTTCTCCAGAGTCCTTTTTATTTTTATTTTAAAATGTGAGTGTTTACATTGTTACATTTTGAAATCTATTCAATATTTAAAGTGTGTAATTTTGAAATCTAATGAGTAATAAAATAGGTTCAATGTTTAATCAATTTAATTTTCTATACTTTTATATTTCAGTCAGTCTAAACATTGAAGCAGTCTAAAAGTTAAATAAGATTTAATATTCTTTGATTGGAGTTACACATAGACATGGTTTTATTCAACACATTTCTCAGCTTCAAGTAAAAAGTGTTTAACTGTTAAGTTATCAATTAAAATACTAGTTTTTGTCTCTTTGGCTTTTTTTTCAAGATATAATAAGCAAGATAATTTAAAGTTAGCTAATGTTTTAAATTACTGCATTAAAAGGTGCTTTATGCACTTCATTAGCTTATAGAAAAATTGAAATGCTGCAATAATTGTAAATTACAGTATGTAATCTGTGCCTGAACCTCTTTCTATACTAAGCACTCTTAACAAATTGAAACACTTTAGCAACATTAAATCATTCATGGAGTATATATGACCAGAAGCTCAATATTATTTTTAAATTTTTTTATTATAAGATTTCTTCTTTCAAAAGTAACCCCATCTAATTTTCTTTTCCTCTTTTTGAAGTACTACTATACAATCCATGTCTAATTTTAAAAAATGTTATTGCTATTCCATTTTATCTGTTTCTTATCATTTGATTTAGAAAAGTTGCAGTCTAAAAAAAATCTAGAAAATCTAGGATATTATATCTAGAATCTTGTGATTTCTAGTCAAGAAGTATAAAGTCTGAAAAGTGTCTCTTTTTAGCAAGCACTAAGCAGTGATCCTTAGCATTTTCAGTGTTTTGTGATATGTGAATGTCTTTTGTCATCTACAATCATGTTAATCCTCGTGAGCCTGGACTATTGGAACTGAACTGTGCTGCTTTGCTGCAGGTCAGCTTTCATGGACAATTAGTGTCGTAACAGGACTTTGGTCACAAGTTGTCTTAAGTGCTTACCATAAAGACATCATCCTGCAGTTGAGCAGTGGTGTTCTGTGAGCATCATCTCTTGTGAAGCATTTCATGTTAGCCTTTTCTTTGAGAAAAGTCAAGCAACTGCTCGTTGCTCAGTCCCTGGCATCTTTTTTTTTCTGAGAAGCCTTAGGCCCTTCAAATTTACTGGTTATTTTTTTTCTCTTTTTGCTCATCTTGTTTGCTCTTGTCCCCTCTCGGTAACTGTCAGAGGCCCACATCGGTTCATTCTTCTGACAAGAGTGAAAAGAACGATCTTCCTGCTGTTTGGCTCTGTGTCAGTGTTGACAAGTCGTACGTGTTCGACGCTCCGTGAGGCAACTGGTTCCAGCAGTATGCAGAAGGAAACCAGTAAATCCTCAATGTCACGCCACTCATTGAGACTTGGTTGCTCTTTTTACTCTAAATATCACCATGGATACAAACACTTTGAAACCAGGGTCCTGTCCATCACCTCACAGCCCAGTATTGCACAATTGTGTAAGCACTTGAAAAGGTAGACCTTGTACCTCAATCGGCTCACGAATACTGTTGGGACACCTGTGAAAACTTAGTTGTTTTAGGTATTTCAGTTTTGTTTTTTATCATTCTTTGTATTGGAAAGTTATTCTGATGCGTCATTACAGATTTTAAAGTAAAAACAGAATATCTGTAGTATGATAGTTTTCTCTTCTATAGGTACATAATCTTTTATAAGTGTTTTTAATTTAAAATGAGACTGTAATGCCATTGCCTTTAAGGAGGATAGTTTCAGTACCAGGAAATAACTGACTGTCCTCACCTGGCACATGAGTGTAGTTTTCTGCCTATTTTTTAAAATTATACCATTTTGAGTTTCAATTTGTGTGTGTGTGTGTGTGTGTGTGTGTGTGTGTGTGTGTTTTTGAGAGAATCAAAGATTCAAGGAAAACGTGACTTCGGGTGTTCTAGGTTGACATGTACAAACAAGGCTGACATTTAGTTGAGATGTTTCTTCGAGTGCAGGAATCTCAGTGAGATTACTTACCTTAATATCATCATTTTACATTTTGGATAATGTCTAGGATACCATAAATTTTCTTTCTAGCATAGGAATGATCTCTTTATTTTCTGTTGTAAGTTTATGGGCTACTTACCTCTTAGTTGCCAAATATTTAATAGTTTTAGAAGTGAGGATTGAATATATTGTCCTTTACATATTGACTAGTTACAGTGAAAGAACATTGGTTGAAATGAAATTAGAATTTTTCTTTAGCAGCTAGCAACTGGAAAGGTATTTTCTTTAGTTCTGTCTGTATATTTTTAAAACAATTGTATTGAAGGAAAATACTGTATAGTTGTTTTAATCATCTGGTTTTCTTGTGATGCACCAGTCTTTAATTTCAATTGACATTTGCTTTCGATGCCCTTCTTTTAAATGCTAAGGTTTTATGCTGTGTGATATTTGTAGAATATTTTCCAAGACCTGTTATGTTGTTTTTCCACGCCTAGTAGCTGATACAGTTAAGATTGGCAAGTGGTCCTCATTTTAGTTGAGTAAAATATACTAGCTTAAAATGGATATGTGCTCAAAAGGAGATAATTCATTTCAGTTGGGAGAACTGTAAGCCATGATACATGATTTTCCTTAATAAAATTCCCCATCTCTGAGACAGTACTAGTTCTTACTTTAATTACTGGCTGCCGTAATGTTTCCTATCCATAACTGTCTACACAATGGACTGTTTCTGAGCAGAGGGTATGGCCTGTTTACTCAACCGTTGAGGAGAGTGCCCAAGTTGTACCAAGTCTGAACTGCTGCACAGGAGAGTGTCCTTCATTTAAATATTTAAATATTAATGTTTAATTGTATAGGCAGAAAACTTCAATGTCATTTTAAGGATATGCAACTTTACCAGAGACTCTTTGTCCATGATCAACTTTAGAGGCTTGTCTTGAATCTTAACATTCTTTGGAGGCATGCAACCTTGTGGCCATATTGGAAAGTTTGAGTATATTTATCTTCGTATTTCCTCTTTGCCCCACATTTTGAAAACAATAACAGAAAAGCTGTTGTCAAGGGTGCTTCTCTCAAAAATGGCTTAGTTGACATTAGCTGAAAATGAGCAGAACGACACTAACTACTAATTGATTACAGTAATTACACAGTCTTTGGCTAGTTTGTATTGGCAAACTCTATGTACTCCTGGAATAAATGTGAACTTGCAGAATGCAAGGAAAAGGTCACTCTCATTTGCATGATAGGCTTCATTAGAATATGCTAAGGACGAGACCTAGTGTTTTATGACTTCGGGTGATGAATAGCTACCATATTACTCTGCTAGATGAAAGTGTGTTTCACTCACCTTAATTTACATGCTTTTTTTTTAATTTCAAGAAAAATATTTTAGATTACAGCAATGGAGAGCTTGCTGTGTTTTGCACTCAATTATATTGTGGGTGGGTTTTTTGAGATAGCAAAATATTTTAGGTAGAATTATTTTGAAGGATATTTCTAAAGATAGGATTAGAATAATTATAAAGGGCTTTCTACATTAGATCTTCTAGCATTATAACTTTTGTCAGTAATAAAAGAAAATGGTTTTTTAGTGGTTGTTTAAATAAAATACAGGTTAACTCATTGGAGCTTAAATTTTAGGTTTTAGCTTGCTTTAGACTTATTACCTAGTGGGCTTCATTGAGTCCTAGAATGCATTGATTTTCACTTTAAAATAATGCAGTTTCATCACTTCATTAATTTTTTCCCTTAACATTTTTGCTTAATTAGTACTATTTCTGTACTGAGATTTTTTTAACATATAAAATGTAGATACAACTGTTCTATGATGGCTGTTTTTGCCAAAAACATGCCTGCCCAGGATGCCTTTGTCAGTTGTTTTCATGGCATTTGCTTGGTGGAAAAGTTGTGGGGGTTATGTAGAAATAAAAACGAGAATAAATTTCTGCAGCCGATCTAAATACATATTTTTAAAGTCAAGAATTATGTTTCCCATTAAATAAACGTTCTCATTTATGGTCTCCGTTCATATAGTGATGGGTCCTATTAGCTGTCATTATCCTTCTATTCTCATTAGGAGAGAAAAATAGTCCAGGCTCCTAAAAGTATCTTCATGAGAAGTATCAGCTCCTAATTAGCAGTGACTGTAATCTTTTGGAACACAGGGTTAACACTTCCTAGATAAGTTGCTATTATAAAGTTTCTTCATCTTTTAAAAGCCATTCCTGCTAGTAAAACTAGGTCGAAATGAAAAAGTAGACAGTTTTTTCTTTTATCAAATGCAGTTTTGTAATAAAATTGTACGATGAGCTTGCACAAGCTTTTTAAAATATCATTGCTGCCACTGAATACATCTATAATTTATTTATTCAAGAATGTTGGAGGCATTTTTGATTTATTTGTTTTTAGAGAAGTTTTGTTAAGCAAGATAATGAGCAGAGCTGGTGTTAATCATTTACTATGCAACTCTAAAGAATGAAAATTTTGCATATCTTTAGCACTGTTGGGGAAAATAAATTCACTCAGTGCTAATGGTCTATCTGTGTAATTTTTGAAAATACTATCTTACTCTGGAGAAATGTAACACACCATTGTGCTTTGCTAAAAGCTAAACTAATCAATACATAATTACACATTTATATGTACATATGTATTAAGTAATTATAATTGTTTGTTATCTGTAAAGATGATAAATTAACATGTGGTTGGTCAGTGCCTTAGGTGTCTGCTATACTTCTTCTTATATAACTTGTGGTCTGTATTTTCAACAAAGGACCATGAGTGTGTGTGCAGTGCATGTGTGTGGATACATACGCAGACACACACCCTTACGTTTAGGTATGTATTTTCAGCAGAGGACCACAGATGCGTGTGTATATGCACATGTGTGTACACACATGCATACACATCTTTAGTTGTATATTTTTAAAGGATCACAATTACCTTAGTGTCTCATAATCTTGTAGTAATATTGCTTTTAAAATTCTTGGGGATGTGTGGCACATGTTCTAGATTTAAAAAATAATTCTAGTAAAAATAAGTATTGTCATTTATAATATTAATCATGAGAATCTTGCTATATTTTGTTATATTTATGAACATTTAAATGTTACTTAAAAACACAATGGCAGCTTTCTAAAACATGAAGTTTATTTTAAAATCTCTTAATGTGGTTTATTTTGTATTTTGTGAGGATTTGAAGATAAGTGTTAGAGTACAATATAAAAAGAAAAATGTAAGGAAGGATTTAAAAACCAAATACTGTACTGTGGTAATCATGTCATATGTGCACTGTCTTTTCTATATTCACTGTTCAATTAAAAAGGGGACGTTGGGCCAGGTGCGGTGGCTCACACCTGTAATCCCAGCACTTTGGGAGGCCGAGGCAGGCAGATCATGAAGTCAAGAGATTGAGACCATCCTGGCCAACATGGTGAAACCCTGTCTCTACTAAAAATACAAAAATTAGCCAGGTGTGGCGGTGCGTGCCTGTAGTCCCAGCTACTTGGGAGGGTGAGGCAGGAGAATTGCTTGAACCCGGGAGGCGGAGGCTGCAGTGAGCCAAGATCGTGGCACTGCACTCCAGCCTGGACGACAGAGTGAGACTCTGTCTCAAGAAAAAAAAAAAAAAAAAAAAAAAAAAGGAGAAGTTGGCCGGGTGTGGTGGCTCATGCCTGTAATGCCAGCACTTTGGAAGGCCAAGGCGGGTGGATCACGAGGTCAGGAGTTTGAGACCAATCTGACCAACATAATGAAACCTTGTCTCTACTTGAAATACAAAAACTTAGCTGGGTGTGGTGGTGTGCTCCTGTAGTCCCAGCTACCTGTGAGGCTGGGGCAGGAGAATCGTGTGAACCTGGGAGGCGGAGGTTGCAGTGAGCCAAGATCACGCCATTCATCTCCAGCCCGGGTGACAGTGTGAGACTCTGTCTCAAAAAAAGTTAGGGAATATTTTCTCAGAATTCTCTATGAATTCTGTAAAACAGTACAGAGTTCATCCTGACTGAATGAACACTGGAGGAGGAATACTGGGATTTCTGAAACCATTTTCATATGTATCATAGAATAGTAAGTTTGTTTAAGGAGATTTGAAAAGATATATAAACTTTTCTGAAGTAAAGAAAATATATGAAATTTTATTAATGTGTAACAACTTGATTAAAAAATAAGTGGCTCCAGATACCAGGTATTTTAAAGAATATTATATCTCAGTGTTAGGAGCTGCTTGATTAGCTTTTTTTTAGTGCCAGTAAATTTTTTCATGCCACAACATGTATGTTTTTTTCTGATTAATATTTCATACGGCCACAGAATTTATCTCCCTAAAGATGTGGTATACATCTTTTTAGATAGATGTATATAAGAATTATTACAAAATTTATATATATTAGAATTTATATATATAGATGTGTATTTGAATTTAGGCATATCCAGTTGGGAGTGCTTAGAACTTTTGCTTTTTCATAATTAGTAATGTCCTCTCCCACAGAAGCCACTGCCAGAGGTGGGAGAGTGAACGAGAAAAGGGAAAAGGGACACCTGGCTTTTCTCTGCTCCAGTTACTGCAGGATCCAGAGCTAGAAAGAGTACAGTGAGGCACATGCTTCTCTTGTCAGTAACTAAAAAGTAGGTGGTCATTGAAACAGGTATTTTCCTTTCAGAGAATGTTCTTACATTTGGGCTCAGCTTTCCTTTTATTTATATTTATATATATATATGTATGTATGTATGTATTTAAAGTCCAGGGTTAGCTTAGAGGGAGAACATGCTTTGGACAATTTTTTTTTGAAGCTGGGCTAATATTTTTGAAAGGAGGTACATGATTATAAGCAAACGTATAACCTTACCTCCAAAAATACACTATGAAGGAGGATTTATATGAATCGTAATTATAAGACTTTATAATATGGTCCAATCTATTTTAGTTTTTGAGATAAAAAAATGCTCATTTAAAAAGTAAAAATGAGAAAAATATGAAATGCAAACAAAAATAACCCAACTTGTATGACATTCTGAGCACGGAATTAGGGGAAATTCTATACAAGTAAAAAATATATGCCCAGAACCTCAATTATTAAATGGAACTTTATTATTGTTATTTCTTACTTTGTCTTTTTTATGATACCTTTATAGGCATTCAGTTTTGAATATACTAAGTCAGTCAGTGTTCTGGAGAAAATATTAAATATGCTGCATTAATTTCCTCTGGCTTCTGCATCAAATGACCACATATGGGGTGTCTTCAAACAACAGATTGTTTTTTCACAGTTTTGGTGGCCAGAGGTCAGAAATCAATGTGCCTCGGCTGAAATCCAGACGACCTCAGGTCCACACTCCCTCTGGAGGTTCTCGGGAATGCATTCTTTGCCTCTCTCAGTTTCTGGTGGCTGACAGCATTCCCTGGTTTTTCACCTCATCATTCCAATTCCCGCTTCTTTGCCATCTCCTCTGACGTCTCTATCAAATTTCAGTCTGCCTCTCTGATAAGGACTCTTATGACTGCATTTATTTTAGAGCTCACCAAGGTAATTCAGGTAAATCTTCTGATGTATAGATTCTTAACCTAATACCTTCTGCAAGGATTGCTTTTCCATTAGTAGGTAACGTTTACAGGTTCCAGGGGTTAGGACCCGATATCTTTGGGGATCACCATTCAGCACAGTACATATGTGTACACATGTTACATCTGTCTGCCAACCATAGATCCCTTGCATGTTTAGTCCAAAGTACTAGAAAGAAATTGCACCCACCCTTGTCTCTTTACGTGCACAGGGGAGTACAGTGATTGGATCAGGGAAACTTTATTGTTGGCTGTGTCCAAATGCAGGGTTAGAGTTAGGGGGCATGGAGTGGGGATTTTTGGCAAGAGGGGCTTTAGACCACTCCTGGGTTTAGGGAAATTAATCCAAGTATCTTCCCTTGTATGGATACTGCCTCCTCCCCTGGTTCCTGTTGCTTCATCACAGGTGGACCTTTAGATTTCCCTGCTGGGAGGTAAGTAGTTACTAGACCAGGGTCTAGACGAACCCCCTCCCACTGGTCCTGTACCAGCACTGAGGAAGTAATCAAATGATGTCTCTTTTGGCCTCTCTTACACTGTGCAAATGTGATTATTGCTAGAACTCCCAAATCAGCTCGGTACCAGTTTTATAGTTGTCTCTGGGAAAACTTGCCTGGGGAAACTTGGCTGAGAACCATTCTTTTGTCCCAGTAGCAGTAGCTGGAAGGCAGCTGCATCACAGGAAGTTTGAGATTATTGATGGTCAAGTGATGTCAAAAGAGTGATTGTGACATATAAGATGGCTTATGGAAGTCCTTCAGTGGATAATATGTAAAACCAAGGCAGTAAACCAGTTGAGAAAAATACATGTATGGATGGTGAAATCAGGAATACGTTTCTATAGTCAGGTCGGGAGCATTTTGTATATATACATATATACACACATACATACACACACTTATGTGGACTTATGTTCACGCTCGTGTGTGAATGTGTGTATATGTGTATCTACATTTGTGACGTGTTATAAATATAAATGTATATATGGAAATATATACATATACATATACATAAGTAAATACATGCATACAAATAATTTGGATAATCATATATTTACTTCTAAATTGTTGGCTATAGCCTAAAACAACTGTTTTATGTTATTTGGACTAGACTGTAATGAAAAACAGCTAGAATCTAAATGATTTATAAGCTCTCTGAATAAAATTGATGAAAGGATGGTGTTCTATGTTAAGTTTAGAGCCAGATTAACCAAAAAAGAATAATTGTAAAAACAAAGGACAGTGTGGTGTATTATAGATATAGAATCTATATCTGATTCTCTTTCAGTATATATATATTTTTCATGCCTGATTTGCACATTTCAAACAATAGTAAATTTCCTTGGTTGTCAGATATACATACCTAAGCTTGGTGACAAGAAGGGATACTCCTTGGCATGAAAACCGCCCCTCAGATATCAGTCATAGAAGAAAATTGCTATTTAAGAGCCTGCGAACCCCTTTGTGGGTGTTACTTGGAATCTGTCATGCTCTATGAAAAAGCTGCCCAGTTGGATTTTACAATTATTTGCTACTATAGGATTAAAAATGAAAACCTAGAATGAGTTAAAGTTTACAAAGGAAAACCAGTGTGGTTCTTGCCTAGAATTTTACACCAAGTGGGAAAGATGAAATAACAATTAGCAGAAAGCTTGAAGTGCTTTTGAATACTGAATTATATTATGGAACACTTCTTCATGTATTAATATCTTTAGAATTTAGCCAAGTATGGTAATCAAAGCATTGCTTTTCATTCTTTACCCTCCTACTCTCTATAGTTTTGGCAGAGAAGGAAGATGGAAGACTTGAAATAGGTAAAGAGAAGTGAAAATATTCTCACAGAACATGCTTTTAATGAAGGAACTATTACATAAGGGAGTCTTGTCTTTCCCTCTTCCTGTAACATTTAAGAGGACATACTTTCTTAAATGTATAAAGAGAATACCGCTTAGAAATTAACAATCTGGAAGAACTATGAAATACTTGTTCTTCTTAAATGTCCAGTGAAGAGTAATTTAATGAGAGATGAGGCCAGTAACTTAATGAGGTTAAGACACATGACGTTGCTGACTTCAGTTGCTTTTTTTCTGTAAGAACTGCAGTTTTATTTGGTTCAAACTAATATTTTTCAGAGATAGTTTGAATCATGCTTTGTTCTTTTTTGAATATTTGTTGATTGAGTACTCAACTCTACCCTTTAAAGTTTTTTATGTAAAGTCATGATTGGATAATGAAAATTATCTTTTTTAGATTACATCATTTTAGGAAGAGTGATAGAGTATTTTTTAGAAATTTGTTTGTTCGTTTTGCTTACTTGTAGAATGTAGCTGCAGTAGCTCAAAGTATCCATTTGCTCACATTTTTCTCCTGTGTACTCCAAGAGCAGTGATGCATCATTCCTGTCATCCAGGCCTCTTGTCTGCTTAGTCCCTGTTTCTAGCTCATAAATTCTGTGGTCTGGCTAAAAAACAATGTGGTTACCTTGTGCATAGGAGGTCTTGAATGTATATTCAGTTAATGGCTGAACTGGTATAATTATGGGTCTTAAGGCCAATTAGGATACTTTTTTTAATAGTCCAGCAATAGATAGGGAAACCCTTAGGTAATGAACCAGCAAAGGCGGTGGATGGATGGAAGATGATAGATTCAGGGGTGTGAGGAGGCAGAACTTGACGGCTGAATAATGCAAGCGTTGATGGAATTGGAGGAGTGAAGATTTGCTTTACATTTGTAGTGTGGCTGACTAGCCAGTGGCTGACTAGTGTTCTGTTAACCAAAATAGAGAACGCTGGAGAAGAAGCAAGTTACAGGGGTTAGGGATTACAATGTGGGAGGGAAGGTGACACATTTGGTTTAGTTGTGTTGAATTTTAAATGACCACAAGATACTCAAAATATATATTTTAACAAGGCAATAGCACCAATTTTCTCTTCTCTTTGATACTGAACTCGGAAGGGGATTGATGTGGTTGGTCAGGATTTATCTTGTCTTGTCAGATCTGTGTGTGTGTGTGTGTATTTTCATGTACACAAGATGTCTCGATTCTTGCTTAATGGTTTGGTTCTTTAGTTGTAAGATAATATGATGGTAATGTCTAACTTTCATATTTATAAAATAGGAGATTCTGAGAGTTTTAAAATTACTAAATCAGATAAGGACCACTGTAAAGTTGTATTTGAAATATATAATATTCCTTTTTTAGGACAGGTAGTGATAAAATCCTAATGAGTTGTCATGTTTTAAGATCTGTGAAGTTCCCTAATTGGTATTCATACAGGTATTTTTAATGGAAATAACTTCTTGCAATCTAAAATGTTGTGAAAGAAACTTTACTATATTCCTTCTGCCATTATCTCTAGAACATTTTCTTTTCTTAGATATGTTGTGTCTGTTGCTTCTAAAAGAATAGGTATATTGTGATTTATTAAAGGCTTCCTGCTTATAAGACATACTTTTTAAAATATTTGAACATTTTTGAAATTGTGATGTGTTTTAGAGTTAATTGGTACATTAATTTGTTTTTTCTTTTAAAACTTTTAGAAAAGCTTTTATTAAATCAATTAACTGCCTCAAAATGGATGGTCTCTTAGAATAACATAAATACTGTATGTTAAATTATTATAATGTACTACATAAGACATTCATTGTTCTCATGGGACCTTTTGATTAGTTGATTCCAATTTTGGCTCTCAAGTTATTTCTTATATAGGAATTTAGTGTTTGAACTTCGGCCTCAAACACTGATTTTTGTGACCTGCAGGCAATACATTGAGAATTTATTAATGAACTTATTATTCCTCCAGAAATTTTCTCTTTATGTGTCATCTACTTCGCTGTTATGTTCTGAATTCTTTGACAAGTGGGGCACCTCCCCAAGATTTGGATACCTTCTTCATGTCCCTGTTTCCAGTGCTCTGTCATGAAGGGACGTCCTCTGATGCCAGGGAGTGGATTGATGGCTTATGACCTTTGACCTGACTCATGGCCTAGTCAACTTTTCTTTGTGCTAGCCTGGGTTTGCTTTGTGCTTGGATGGTTATCCACTTCTGTAGTCAATAGCTAATTTGGATAGTTTTTCATTTTTATTTTTAAAGCAACATTAGAGTGTTGGCAGAGATATCAATAGTTTTATATTTTAAAACTATTATAGTTTAATTTTTAAATAAAGGAAACACATTTTTGTTGGTTTTAGACTTAGGAGTGATTTTAGTAGGGGAGAAAACAAGTTTGTGGACAGGACCAAAATACTTGGAAGTTGATGGATTTAGCACATAGATTTTTGCTGCAAAAGAAACAAAGCATTGGGGGATTGTTTTCAACAGTCACAAAAAATTGGAAACAACTCAAATGTTCATTGACTGCCACAATGTGATACCATTTTTGAAAAGCTCAAAAACAAACCACACTAGGCAATGTATTAGTGTGTAATACATTACTAATGTACTAAGCAGTGTATTAGTGTGAAATGCTGAATAATATCATTATTTCCTACTTGATTTTATAGCTTTACCATGGATGGACTGGTAGTTTTAATTTTTAAATAAGGGAAACTCCTTGATTTTATAGCTTTACCATATATAGCTTTACCATGTCCATCCATGGTAAATCTGTAAAATCGAGTAGGGAATAATGATATTACTCAGCATTTCTTAGAGAATAGGCAATGAGATGAGAGAAGGAAGGGACACAACACGTATCGTAGTGCATTCAGACTCACCTGAAAGTCACATCTGTTCTCAGTTGGGTGGGAAATACCATGTAATGAAAACATTCTTAAGATCAGTTTTAAAAAGGCAACTTAATAATTGGTTATCTTGTGGAGAATCATAAATGTACACCTAGGATATGAATTAAAAAGTTCCTAGGATTGTATGGATATTTATGTATTTCTTGGTATTTAAAAGTTATTTAGGAAGAGTTATTTAAAAAAGTTTTATGGAAAGTAAGTCATTAGATGGAAGTTGTCTAACTTGGACAAAAAGGGCTAAATATTGCTAATTTCTTCAGAGGCAAAAAAAAAAATATTCTCAATCTCACCTGACAAATGTGAAGATCAGATGTGAAGGATTTGGAAAATACTGTAAATTTAGATGCTGTTAAAGCATAAAGTTTATTTTCCTCATCCTTTCTATTCTTGCCTTCTTTATAAAATGTAATCATTTGGTATTGTGGTTCCACAGAGTTTCAGCTTTGCTTGAAACTATCTTCTTGCCTTTGCCTATGTGTTTGATTTTAGTAATTGAACTTACGTATTTGTTTTATGTTAGTTGCTTTAACATACTTTCTCCATCAATTTTGGGAAAACAGAACAAAATGCTGCAGGTGGTGAGGATATATGAGGAATATCAATATGTATAAGTACGCATTTAGAGTAGCTGAGAGTCTAGTTTTGCCTCATTTAGGAAACCGGTCTTATGGTTATTCATCAGTCTGGATGTCTGTTGTAGCGTCTAACTCCAGCTCTGCCAAGGATCCTGCCTCATACGAGGAGTCTGTATTCATTTGCTCACTCTGTCTGTGTATAGCAGCCTGGGATTTCTTGCATATCTCTTCTTTATTAGTTGGTTTATCACTCCAACTTAAATACAGTCATGTGCTGATAAATGATGGGGATATGTTCTGAGAAATGAGTTAGGCGATTTTGTTACTGTGCAAACATCATGGAGTGTATTTACATGAACTAGATGATAGAGCCTACCACACACCTAGGCTAGATGGTATGGCCTATTGCTCCTAGGCTGCAAACCTGTCCAGCATGCGACTGTACTGAGTGCTGTGCGAGTGTACCTAAACATAGAATGGTACAGTAAGAGTACAGTACGAAAGATAAAAAGGGGTGCAGTTGTATCTGTGCAGGGCACTGAATTGTGAATGGAGCTTGCAGGACCGGGAGTGGCTCTGGATGAGTGAGTGGTGAGTAATCGTGGAGGCCTAGGACATTACTGTACACTACTGTAGATTTTATCAACACTGTTCACTTAGGCTACACTAAATTCAATTTAAAATTTTTTCTTTTTTAATAAACTGTATCTTACTGCAAGTTTTTCACTTTATGAACTATTTTTTAAAGTTTTTGACTCCTTTTTGATAACATTTTGCTTAAAACACAAATATTCCATAGCTGTTCAAATGTATTTTCTTATATCCATATAAGAATGAGAATATTCTTATTTTTTCTATCCTAAATTATTTTATTGTTTTACTTTTAAAACTTTTTTGTTAAAAACTGTGACACAAACACATTAGCTTAGGCCTACACAGGGTAAGGATGATCAGTATCCCCATCTTCCATCTCTGTATCTTGTCTCAGTGGAAGGTCTTCAGGTGCGATAACAGTTGTGGAACTGTCATCTGCTATGATAACAATTCCTTCTTCTGGAAGGCTTTCTGAAGGACCTGCCTGAAGCTGTTTTACACTTAACTTAAAAAAAAAAACGATAAGTAAAAGGAGTACACTCTAAAGTAATGACAAAAAGTATTATATAGTAAATTTATAAGCCGGTAACATAGTTGTTTACTATCATTATCAGTTACATACTGTTAATAATTAGTTATGATATACCTTTATATGTTTGACAGCAAAGCTTTATTTATAGCAGCATCACCACAAACGAATAATGCACTGCACTGAGATGTTTGGATGGCTATGAGGTCATTAGTCAACAGGAATTTTTCAACTTCATTATAATCTTACGGGACCATTGTCATATATGTGGTTAATCACTGATTAAAACATTACATGGTATGTGACCATATGTAATATTTTTCTTGCTCACATTCGTTTCTAGTTTTTTTTTCATTTAATTATGTAACTATTTCCTCACTTTCTCTTTTTATTTCTTGTTGCAAAGGAACATATCATTAACAATTAAGTATTTACCTGCTTAAACAGAAAACAGAACCGTGATTTCAATAAAAATACCTTGCATCCAGTCATTTCCGGAAGGGAATTACATGGTATTCATAATGCGTAATACATTTATTATGATTTGTAGAATATATGCTGAGAAAAGGAGAATGTGTGAATTGTGAAAAATTATTTCCTCATAATGACTTGACTTGGTTGATTTATGGTTAAATGTCATTTAGTACAACCATTGAGAGGCTTTCCTGGATTTTTTTTTTTTAAGACAAGATTTCACAAACTTTAAGTTTGGCATGTTATTAAATAACTGAAGAAAAATCTAAGCTCAGCAGAATTTCAAACCACTGATTCTGTGTTACATACATGGATTGTGTGTATGTGTGTGTGTATGTCATCTTTGAATATTACCATCATTGCTATTATTTGCCAATACTGTCTAGGGTTCAGAACAAGTGCTGTTTTTGGTACCATTTTGCTGACGTTCAGCACAAGTTTAGCTGCATTAGTAAAGCTCATATTATCCTATCTCTTAGTTAAAATGTCAATATTTTGAAGAATTTTCATTATGAATATAATTTTCTGAGTGAAACCATGCAATGTATAACACATATACTTTGAGGAGAAAGTAACAAGATAAATCACTTCATACATTTATATACACGTATGTTTTTGGGTAGAATTTTAAAATGAATCTAAGTGAAGTTTAATGGTTTGTAACATTGAAGAATTTGTCAAGAATTATCAACTACAGTTCTACATAGGAAATAGTTAAATGTTCTAGTTTTTAGGATTATAAAAGCTGTCAGGCATTAGAAAATTAAAATGTTGCTTGGTGATTTTTAGAATATTTAAAAAATGTGCTTAGTATGTTTGTAAATATGGGGATATGTTCAACTATTTTAATGCTATAAAGTTTCTTTTCCCAGGTTAAGCTCTTGTGATTAGGCATGACTCAGGGCTTGCAAATAATAAAAATTATGATCAATAATTTTCACACAGCAAGTTTTCAGAGATGATAAAGTTTTTCAGTGTTGCTGACATTTAAAAATTCTTTCTTTTTTTTTTTTTTGTCCTCTGCAATAAGTAGTCAAATTCTTGAGGACTCCTAATATATATCTGGACAACACTGATCAGAAAAAGCTTGGGTTTTACTATTGAGAACATGATTATTCAAATAGCCTTTCTACCACCAAAATTACACATTACAGGTTTAATTTAAAATTAGCTGACATATCATTGCTGCACATTTTTATTTGAAAACATTAAAAGACAACTTACAAAGTTTTAATTTAAAATTGTTTATTAATACAAATAAGATTTTGTTTCTGCTTCAGTTTTATCCCTTTTGACTTTAAAAGCCAAAGGGAAAAATTTCTTCCAATCACTTTCAATCTATAGAAAATGAAAAGAATTTTAATTTTATGGCCATAATCATAAACAGTACATTAGGTTTTGTATAATAACATGTACCATTAAAAGACTTCATTATGGCAGTATCCTATGATCTTCACATCAAAATGAGGAGGAAAGAACATTATTAAGTATGGGAATTTCATGGCAGTTTTACCTGTTGTGGACCCTGTTATGTCAAAAATATAGTGCAGTGACTTCTGAACTAGCTGACAGACACGAAAGCCGTTGTGTCACTGTGTGTTATCACCTCCTGTAACTGAAAGTGCTCCCAGAAGCCAGTTTGTGTTGTGGAGTTCTAGATGAGGTCTTCATGGGTGCTGACCATAAAAAGTTCATCAAAGTAATGAGGCGAAGAGAGCGCTTGGTGCTCATGGGCAGAGCTCAGCACCAAGGAGTGTGAACTGGCTCCAGCTGTGACAATAAAACAGCAGGTGGCTGCTGTCATTAGGGGTGGCAGATGAGGCAGGGGACTAACATTCAGCCCACAAAACTCTCATTTGTTAGCCATTGCCACTGTACCATGCAAAATAGCTTCCATCTCAGTCAATTTTCCTTTGCAGAATATTATACACAGCCATAGGAATATGAGAGCATCGCGTGTACAGGTCTCCTCTCTGCTGTCCTCCCCTCTCCTCTCATCGTGGCTCCTCTGCTCTGCCCTTTCCTTACCTTATATTTTCTTCACATCCCCCAGCCTTCTTGCTGGAAAACACTACTTCATCAACGATGTTGGGTATGGCCTGTATCAATTCCAGTAAGGTATTGGAATTTTAGAAATTAATGGTGCCCATTTTGCCCTCATGCTGCAATTATTACTTAGACTTAGATGTTGTTTTAACTATGTAGATGATCATAAAACCTAACTGAGATACCGTTTTTTAAGAATCCATACTGTCTTTGTTATCTGTTGTGAAGAATTTAAAACTGCAGTGAAAGAAAAAGAGGAATGCAGCAGAGATGTCAGAAAAAAATTCCTGTATTTATTGTTTGAGATGCCTTACCACAAATTTCAGAATTTATTGGCTCCCGAATCATTCTAGTTTGGAAGTAAAGGATAGTTTTTAAAAATAATATATGTGTCTGTGAACATTTTAGTATACTGTTATTTTTGAAAGTACAACAGTAGGTCAAGTCTTAACATCTTATTTGGGGAATAAAACTCCAAATAATAGAAAGCTTTGTATTCCATTTAATACAGGAGGCAAAGGAAATTAAAGAAGTATGATAAGTTATTGGAGATGTATCTTATTGGAAACTATAAAAATTAGAAGAGTGTGAAATTGTCATTCTTTTTTGGAACTTTTCTAAGGCAGAAGAGAGGCCTAAATTCACTGGACAAAGTATGAGGTTGGTGCAAGGGTCACAGTTTTGTCCATGAAAGTCCTTTCCAGCCTCATTTTCACCCAAATCCGTGCTATAGCCTTGGCACATATGTAAGCTTCTCAGACTGGTTTACATTTTCTCACACTTTTCTTCTCTTCCAGGAATATCATCCTTCTCATGGAAATCCTAGTTATCTGTACATTTTACTTCTTCTTTGAGAGTATCCTGAATTCTTTTAGGCATTACTATATCTTACCTACATTATCATCTTGTGGTATTTTTTGCCTACCAACATAAGATGCAAAATTGTTTAACAGTTAATTGCTTTTGTCGCTCATTTTACTGATATGTGAACTTTAAAATAAAACCTAAATGAGTGGTGCAGTATGTTCTTTTTCAGCTGAGGGAAAGTCATTTACTTTTTAACTTGATTCATATGTAAATCATCAGCTTTTCTTTTCTATAGATTTATTCTGGACAGTTCATATGAATGTGATTATACAATATGTGGCCTTTTGTGTCCAAATTTATTCAACTGGCATGTTTTCATGATTCATTCATGTCATAGCATGCATCAGTGCTTCCTTCTTGTGGCCAACTAATACTGCATTGTGTGGACCCAGCACCGTTTGGTATTCACCCGTTCATCATTTCATGGTCATCAGGATGATTTTCACTTTTTAGATATTATGACTAACGGTGCTGTGAACGTTTCTGCACAGATTTTTGAGTGGACATAAATTTTCAGTTTTCTCGGGTATATAGGAGTAGAATTGCTGGATCTTGTGCTAACTATATGTTTAACTTTGTGAGAAGCCATCAAATGTTTCTTGCTAGCAGTGTATGAATTTTTGAATTTCTCTGTATCCTCAACAAGACTTGTTGTTTGTCTTTTTGATTATAGCTCACCTGATGTGTTTGAAGTGATATATCATTGACGTTTTGATTTCAATTTTCCTGAAGAGTAATGCTCTTGAGCAACTTTTTATGTGCTTTATATTGCCTATTTTATATATTTTATGGGGAAATATCTATTCAGATCCCTTGCCCGTTTTTACTTTGTATTGTCTTTTTATTGAGTTTTCTGAAATTTTTATTCTGGATATTGTCTTTTTAATTTATTGATTGTGTCCTTTGAAGCACAAACTTCTTTAATTTTCATGAATTTCAATTTACTCTTTTGTCATTTGTGCTTTGGTGTTATATCTAAAACCATTGCCTAATTTAAGATCCCAAAGATGTATTCCTCTAAGATTTTATAGCTTTTTACCCCTTACATTGGGATTTTTGAATCACTTTGAATTACTTTTTGGATATATCATTAGGAAGGAGTTCATTTTATTCTTTTCTAATGTGGCTACGCACGTCTCAATACCATTTGTTGAAAAGTCTATTCTTTTTTTTAAAATTTATTTATTTTATTATACTTTAAGTTCTAGGGTACATGTGCACAATGTGCAGGTTTGTTACATATGTATACATGTGCCATGTTGGTGTGCTGCACCCATTAACTCGTCATTTACATTAGGTATATCTTCTAATGCTATCCCTCTCCCCTCCCCCCACCACACGACAGGCCCCCATGTGTGATGTTCCCCACCCTGTGTCCAAGTGTTCTCATTGTTCAATTCCCACCTATGAGTGAGAACATGCAGTGTTTGGTTTTCTGTCCTTGCAATAGTTTGCTCAAAATGATGGTTTCCAGCTTCATCCATGTCCCTACAAAGGACATGAACTCATCCTTTTTATGGCCGCGTAGTATTCCATGGTATGTATGTGCCACATTTTCTTAATCCAGTCTATCATTGATGGACATCTGGGTTAGTACCAAGTCTTTGCTATTGTGAATAGTGCCGCAGTAGACATACATGTGCGTGTGTCTTTATAGCAAGCTGATTTATAATCCTTTGGGGATATACCCAGTAATGGGATGGCTGGGTCAAATGGTATTTCTAGTTCTAGATCCCTGAGGAATCACCACACTGACTTCCACAATGGTTGAAGTAGTTTACAGTCCCACCAACAGTGTAAAAGTGTTCCTATTTCTCCATATCCTCTCCAGCACCTGTTGTTGCCTGACTTTTTAAATGATTGCCATTCTGACTGGTGTGAGATGGTATCTCATTGTGGTTTTGATTTGCATTTCTCTGATGGCCAGTGATGATGAGCATTTTTTCATGTGTCTGTTGGCTGCATAAATGTCTTTTTTTGAGACGTTTCTCTTCATATCCTTTGCCCACTTTTTGATGGGGTTGTTTGATTTGTTTCTTGTAAATTTGTTTAAGTTCTTTGTAGATCCTGGATATTAGCCCTTTGTCAGATGGGTAGGTTGCGAAAATTTTCTCCCATTCTGTAGGTTGCCTGTTCACTCTGGTGGTAGTTTCTTTTGCTGTGCAGAAGCTCTTTAGTTTAATTAGATCCCATTTGTCAATTTTGGCTTTTGTTGCCATTGCTTTTGGTGTTTTAGTCATGAAGTCCTTGCCCATGCCTATGTCCTGAATGGTAGTGCCTAGGTTTTCTTCTAGGGTTTTTATGGTTTTAGGTCTAACATTTAAGTCTTTAATCCATCTTGAATTAATTTTTGTATAGGGTGTAAGGAAGGGATCCAGTTTCAGCTTTCTACATATGGCTAGCCAGTTTTCCCAGCACCATTTATTAAATAGGGAATCTTTTCCCCATTTCTCGTTTTTGTCAGGTTTGTCAAAGATCAGATGGTTGTAGACGTGTGGTATTATTTCTGAGGGCTCTGTTCTGTTCCATTGGTTTATATCTCTGTTTTGGTACCAGTACCATGCTGTTTTGGTTACTGTAGCCTTGTAATATAGTTTGAAGCTAGGTAGCGTGATGCCTCCAGCTTTGTTCTTTTGGATTAGGATTGTCTTGGCAATGTGGGCTCTTTTTTGGTTCCATATGAACTTTAAAGTAGTTTTTTCCAATTCTGTGAAGAAAGTCATTGGTGGCTTGATGGGGATGGCATTGAATCTATAAATTACCTTGGGCAGTATGGCCATTTTCATGGTATTGATTCTTCCTATCCATGAGCATGGAATGTCCTTCCATTTGTTTGTGTCCTCTTTTATTTCGTTGAGCAGTGGTTTGTATTTCTCCTTGAAGAGGTCCTTCACATCCCTTGTAAGTTGGATTCCTACATTCCTAGGTATTTTATTCTCTTTGAAGCAATTGTGAATGGGAGTTCACTCATGATTTGGCTCTCTGTTTGTCTGTTATTGGTGCGTAGGAATGCTTGTGATTTTTGCATATTGATTTTGTATCCTGAGACTTAGCCGAAGTTGCTTATCAGCTTAAGTTTTCTAAATATACAATCATGTCATCTGCAAACAGGCACAATTTGACTTCCTCTTTTCCTAATTGAATATCCTTTATTTCTTTCTCCTGCCTGACTACCCTGGCCAGAACTTCCAACACTGTTGAATAGGAGTGGTGAGAGAGGGCATCCTTGTCTTGTGCCAGTTTTCAAAGGGCATGCTTCCAGTTTTTGCCCATTCAGTATGATATTGGCTGTGGGTTTGTCATAAATAGCTCTTATTATTTGGGAGACGTCCCATCAATACCTAGTTTATTGAGAGTTTTTAGCATGAAGGGCTGTTGAATTTTGTCAAAGGACTTTTCTGCATCTATTGAGATAATTGTGGTTTTTGTCTTTGGTTCTGTTTATATGATGGATTACGTTTATTGATTTGTGTATGTTGAACCAGCCTTGCATCCCAGGGATGAAGCCAACTTGATCGTGGTGGATAGCTTTTTGATATGCTGCTGGATTTGTTTTGCCAGTATTTTATTGAGGATTTTTGCATTGATGTTCATCAGGGATATTGGTCTAAAATTTCTCTTTTTTTTTGTTGTGTCTCTGCCAGGCTTTGATATCAGGATGATGCTGGCCTCATAAAATGAGTTAGGGAGGATTCTCTCTTTTTCTATTGATTGGAATGGTTTCAGAAGGAATGATAACAGCTCCTCTTTGTAGAATTTGGCTGTGAATCCGTCTGGTCCTGACTTTTTTTGGTTGTTAGGCTATTAATTATTGTCTCAATTTCAGAGCCTGTTACTGGTCTATTCAGGGATTCAACTTCTTCCTGGTTTAGTCTTGGGAGAGTGTATGTGTCCAGGAATTTATCCATTTCTTCTAGATTTTCTAGTTTATTTGTGTAGAGGTGTTTATAGTATTCTCTGATGGTAGTTTGTATTTCTGTGGGATTGGTGGTGCTATCCCCTTTATCATTTTTTTATTACATCTATTTGATTCTTCTCTCTTTTCTTCTTCATTAGTCTTGCTAGCGGTCTATCAATTCTGTTGATCTTTTCAAAAAACCAGTTCCTGGATTCATTGAATTTTTGAAGGGTTTTTTGTGTCTCTTATTTCCTTCAGTTCTGCACTGATCTTAGTTATTTCTTGCCTTCTGCTAGCTTTTAAATGTGTTTGCTCTTGCTTCTCTAGTTCTTTTAATTGTGATGTTAGGATATCAATTTTAGATCTTTCCTGCTTTCTCTTGTGGGCATTTAGTGCTATAAATTTCCCTCTACACACTGCTTTAAATGTGTCCCAGAGATTCTGGTACATTGTGTCTTTGTTCTCATTGGTTTCAAAGAACATCTTTATTTCTGCCTTCATTTTGTTATGTACCCAGTAGTCATTCAGGAGCAGGTTGTTCAGTTTCCATGTAGTTGTGTGGTTTCGAGTGTGTTTCTTAATCCTGAGTTTGAGTTTGATTGCACTGTGGTCTGAGAGACAGTTTGTTATAATTTCTGTTCCTTTACATTTGCTGAGGAGAGCTTTACTTCCAACTATGTGGTCAATTTTGGAATAAGTGCGATGTGATGCTGAGAAGAATGTATATTCTGTTGATTCGGGGTGGAGAGTTCTGTAGATGTCTATTAGATCCGCTTGGTGCAGAGCTGAGTTCAATCCCGGATGTCCTTGTTAACTTTCTGTCTCATTGATCTGTCTAATGTTGACAGTGGGGTGTTAAAGTCTCCCATTATTATTGTGTGGGAGTCCTAAGTGTCTTTGCAGGTCTCTAAGGACTTGCTTTAGGAATCTGGGTGCTCCTGTATTGGGTGTATATATATTTAGGATAGTTATCTCTTCTTGTTGAATTGATCCCTTTACCATTATGTAATGGCCTTCTTTGTCTCTTTTGTTCTTTGTTGGTTTAAAGTTTGTTTTATCAGAGACTAGGATTGCAACCCCCTGCTTTTTTTTTGTTTTCCGTTTGCTTGGTAGATCTTCCTCCATCCCTTTTTTTGAGCCTATTTGTGTCTCTGCACATGAGATGGGTCTCCTGAATTACCGATGGGTCTTGATTCTTTGTCCAGTTTGCCCGTCTGTGTCTTTTAATTGGAGGATTTAGCCCATTTACATTTAAGGTTAATATTGTTATGTGTGAATTTGATCCTGTCATTATGATGTTAGCTGGTTATTTTGTTCGTTAGTTGATGCAGTTTCTTCCTAGCATCGATTGTCTTGGCATTCTTGTCACAATGAATTGATCATAAATGTAAAGGCTTATTTATGAACTCTTAATTGTATTTCATTGATGTATCTTTCCCTCTCTCCCTCCCTCCCTTCCTTCTTCCTTCCTTCCTTCCTCCTTTCTGGTTTTTTTTTTTTTTTTTTTTTTCTGAGACCGAGTCTAACTCTGTTGCCCAGGCTGGAGTGCAGTGGCGCTATCTCAGCTCACGGCAACCTCTGCCTCCTGAGTTCAAGCGATTCTTCTGCCTCAGCCTGCCTCTCTTCTTTCTTTCCTTTCTTTCTTTCTTTCTTTCTTTCTTTCTTTCTTTCTTTCTTTCTCTCTCTCTCTTTCCTTCCTTCTTTCATTCATTCGTTCATTCATTCCTCCCTCCCTCCCTTCCCTCCCTCCCTTCCTCCCTTCCTCCCTTCCTTCCTTCCTCTTTTCCTTCCTTTTTTTTTTTTTTTTTTTTTTTTTTGAGACTGAGTCTAACTCTGTTGCCCAGGCTGGAGTGCAGTGGCCCTATCTCAGCTCATGGCAACCTCTGCCTCCCAAGTTGAAGCTATTCTTCTGCCTCAGCCTCCTTAGTAGCTGGGATTGCAGGTGCGCACCACCACACCCGGCTGATTTTTGTATTTTTAGTAGAGATGGGGTTTCACCATGTTGGCCAGGATGGTCTCGAACTCCTGACCTCATGATGTGCTCACGTCAGCCTCCCAAAGTCCTGGCATTACAGGCATGAGCCACAGCGCCTGGCCATATATTTCATTTTTATGCTATTATCGCACCTTGATTATTGTTGCTTTGTAGTTGAAACATGTGAGTCCTTCAACCTTATTCTTTTTCAAGATTGGTTTGGTTATTCTGAGTCTCTTGCATTTTTATGAATTTTTAAGGATCACTTTGGTAATATTGGCAAAGGGGCAGGTTGGAATTTTGATAGGGATTGCATTGAATTTCTGAGTCAATTTGGAAAGTATTGTCACATAAAGTATATTGTGTTCCAATGCATGAACATGGGATTTCTTTCTATTTACTGAAGTCTTCTGCTTCTTGTAGTGAAGTTTTAAAGTTTTCAATGTATGTCTTCCACTTCTATTGGTAAATTTACTTCTAAGTATTTTAAATGTTTTTATACTTTTTTTGATTTTTCTTTGTTAGTGCATAGAAACACAATGCATTTTTGTGTATTGATTTTGTATCTTGCAACATTGCTGAAATTGTTTATTAATTTGAATAGTTTGCTATTTTAAATTCTTCAGGATCTTCTGTGTACAAGATCCTGTCATCTGTGAATATGTCTTTGTAGAAGGTTTTTTTGACTCTTCATTCAGTTGCTTTACTTGTTATAGCTCTATACAGATTTTAAAATTTCTTGTTTAGTTGTGCTTCACTTGTTTTCTTCTTTCCAGGAATTTGTCTGTTTCATCTAGATAGTTTAGTTGGCACATGGATGTTTATAGTATTCATCTTTAATTCTTTTTACCTTTGTAAGGTTAGTAGTAATATTCACCCTTTTCATTCCTAGTTAATAATTTGGGTCTTCTTTCTTTTTTCTTCTTCATCTGTTCAGCTAACAGTTTGTCATTTTTGATGATCTTTCCAAAGAACTAATTTTTGGATTTGTTGATATTGCCTATTTTTCTATGTCATTATTTATATTCTAATTTTTATTTCATCCCTTCTGCTCACTTTTGGTTTTGTTTGCTTTTCTAGTTTTAGTTATGGTGGAAAAATTAGGTTCTTGATTTGAGATCTTTTATTCGTTTATTTTATTTTATTTATTATTTTTAAGGAAGTCAAATGAGGCAGTAAGAATGGAGACTTTCTTTTTTTAATATACAGATGTTTAAAGATATAAATTTCCCTGTGTCTATTGCTTCAACTACATCTTCTGAGTTTTTATATGTTCCATATTTGTTTCCATTCATCTCAAACTGTTTTAAAATTTATTTTGTGATTTCTTCTTTGACCCACTGTATTTATGAGTATGTTTCATTAACACATATTTGTTAATCTCCCAAATTTCCTTTTGTTATTTGACTTCTAATTTTATTGTATATGACTAAAGGAAATAAAAGTATTTCTTGTATGATTTCAATCTCTATAGATGTCCTGATGCTTATTTTATATCCTATCATATGATCAGTTCTGGAGGCTATTCTCTGGGCATTTGAGGTTGTTTTTATTGTGTGACATATTCTATAGATGCCTTTTATTTCTAGTTGATGTACCTTGTTGTTCAAATCTTCCTTTCATTGTTTATGTTTCACATTAAGTCTATTTATTACTGAAAATGGGCTTTTCAAGTCTCCAAATCTTATTGTTGAAATTTCTGCTTCATTTCTATAATTTGTTGTTTTGTTTATTTTGGAGGCTTTGTTATTAGTACGTTTGTGTTTGTTCATTCTTTATAGAGTACCAACTTTTTGTTATAAATGTTCTCCCCCGTTTTTTGGCTTCTAGTAACAATCTTCCTTTTAACATTTATTTTCTCTGATATGAATATAGCCGCTGCGGCTTTCTTTTGGTTACTGATTGCATGGTGTATCTTTCATCCTGATACGTTCAACTTACTTGAGTCTTTGAATCTTATGTTTATGTCTTGTAGACAGCATATACTTGGATCATGTTTCTTGAATTTGTTTTGCCAGTCATTACTTTTTGCTTGAAATTTTTAGTCCATTTACCTATAATGTCATTATTGACAAGTAGAATTTACAGGATTTACACGTGCTATTTTGTGTTTTTCTACATGTCTTTATGCCTTTTTTGTTATGGTATTTTACTGTTTCTTCTTATTTTGTGTTAAATAGGAATTTTTCTTATTTATATTTTTACTTCCTTATTCAGTTCATGCATATACACACATGTATGTATATGTATGCATGTGTGTGTATAAATTTTCTTAATTCTTAACCTAGGGATGACAGTGAACATCTTATAACAATCTAGTTTTTACGAATACCAACTTAATTTCAATACTGTATAAAAGCTCCTACATACATTATTTCCTCACCCCCTACTTTGTCCTGTTACTGTCATATAAAATGTATCTTTCTACTTTTATATCCATCAATACAAATTTGTAATTACTGTTTTAACTAGATGCCTTTTAATTGGACAGGGAAAATAATTACAAAGGAAAAGAGAAAATATATCTATATTTATTTTTGAGATGGAGTCTTACTCTGTCACCCAGGCTGGAGTGCAGTGGCATGATCTCGGCTCACTGGAACCTCTGTCTCCTGAGTTCAAGCGATTCTCCTGCCTCAGCCTTCCTGGTAGCTCAGATTACAGATGTGTGCTCCCATGTCCAGCTAATTGTTTTGTATTTTTAGTGGAGATGTTGGCCAGGCTGGTCTCGAACTCCTGACCTCAAATGATCCGCCCACCTTGACTTCCCAGAGTTCTGGAATTACAGGCATGAGTCACTATGCCTGGCCAAAAAATATATTTATAGTTTTAAAAAATTACCTACGTCATTACCTTTACTGGTCCTTCATTTCTTCATGTGAAAATGAGTTAGTGACTAGTATTCCTTAATTTCCATTTAAAGAACTGCGCTTAGTATTTCTTGTACAGCAGGTCTGGCTGATGGTGTTTTTTGTTTTTTCTTTTGTGTATCTGGGTGTGTCTTCATATCTCCTTTGTTTTCATTTGTACTGTTTTGCTGATACAGAAATTTAGATGACAGTAATTTTTTTTCAACACTTTGAATATGTCATCCCCCTGCCTTCTGACTTGCATAGTTTGTGTGGAGATGTTAGTTTTTAATCTTATTGTGCATACTTTGTAATGGATGACTGACTTGACTCTGTTGCTGCTCTCAGGATTCTCTTTTTCTGTTTAGCATTTGACAGTTTGAATATGTGGTATTCTGTGGACATGTTTGAGTTTTTCCTATGTGGTAATTATTGAGTCTCTTGGATGTTAAGACTAATGTTTTGCATCAGATTTGTTAAGCTTTTGATCATGATTTCTTCAATTTCTTTTCCTGCCCTCTTCTTACTATGTTTCTTATTATGTCCTTAATATTATGTCCTTATTAATTTCTTATTGTTTCCTGGTCATTTTTCCTCTTCCCCCTCTTTCTTCTTCTCCTTGTTATTCTCCTTTTTCACCTTCATTTTGTTTCTCAGACTGGATCAGAAAGACCTTGCTGTATTTTCTGTGACTATTTTCTTCTGCCAGTTCAAATCTGCTCTTGAGTTCCTCTAGTGAATTTTTCGTTCAATTATTTTACTTTTCAGCTCCAGAATTTATATATGCTTCTTTTTTTTCATTTTTATTGATAATCTTTATTTGTTAACCCATAATTCTCTTATTTTCCTGTATTTCTTATTTCCTGTAGTTCTTACTTATATTTTCCTTTTTTTTTTTTGAACATTTTTATGATGCTAGTTGAGTTAGTGTTTTTGTCTAGCAGTCTTATCTGGGATTTCATGGAAATGGTTTCTGTTGACTGCTTTTTTCCCCCAGTATATAGGCCATATTTTTCGGTTACTTTACATGTCTCTCTCTCTCTCTCTCTCTCTCTCCATATATAAATATATATATATATGTATGTATGTATTTGCTAGAAAGTAGTCATTTAAATAATGTAATGTGACCACTTTGGAAATCAGATCCCTTCCTCCTCAGAGTTTACTTTTGTTGATGCTGTTTAGTGACTATTCTGAATGTATTTTGTAACGTCTGTATTCTTTGTCATGTGTGGCGACTAACGTCACTGCTTACTTTGAAAAGTGGAAGACACATATTTCTTCAAATGCCTTGAACCAGTGTCCATAGCATTTGTCAAGGGGCTCTGTTGCATTGTGGAATGTGCTTCATCAGGCAGTTATCAACTCTACCTTTACCTTCTTTTTCTACCTGTGCAAAGGCTTAATGTTAGCCAGAGATGCTATGGAAGATTATTACCTTTTCAGATTTCTCCCTTCATTCACACAGCCCTGTGCATGTGTGTTTGCTTTTAGATTTCTGGAGTATGTTGGAGCTTTTCTAAGCTTGTGTTTCTAATCTTATTCTCATTTTTCCTTTTAAGTTTTTTGGCTAGCCTCTTATTCTCCCTAACTGGTTTTATGCTCAGACAGCTATGGTGGTAAACAGTTGCTTCTGTGGTTTTTTGTTTGTTTTTTCCATTGCTACTGACAGTTGCCCTGAGGATGGGGGTTATTCACACACAGTGAGTTGTGAGTCAAGTCAAAGACAAACCCTGAGCATGGAGTGTTTCAGGGATCTTCCAGGTAAGTAGTGGAATTTTTACGGGAATGAGGTCTTTGGTGAGTTCCTAACCTGTTTGACCGCTCCTCCTAGCTCCTAGGCTGCTGGTTTTCAGATCTACTCTAGTCATCATTTTGTTGTTTTTCTGGAGTCTTACGAATCTAGGGAGTTGGGCATGAGATTGGAATAAGTTCAAGTGCCCCAAAGCTTATTGTTGAGTTGGTTTTCTTGAATAGTCTTCATACTCTTTTCTATTTTTATTTCCAGAGTTGGTAAAAAGTTGCTTTTTCTTGTGTTCTTTTGCTTTTATGGAGGAGCAGATTTTTGGAGGACCTCACTTTCCCATTCTGGCTGTCCCTCCTCTCATGGTGATTATCTATTTAGGCAAAAATATCTGAAAATGCATTAGACTTCCAATATAGTACTGCCAACCTTTTATTTCTTGAAATACAAACAATTTTATTTTAAACTACTTCTTTTAAATTTACTTTATATTTATTGGAGTACTATATTGATCTTTTGGATTTTTGAATTTTGATAGGTTTTATTATACATTCACTTAATTTCAGGATAGTAAAGGAGCATTGTACAATAAATGTTGCAGAAGTTATTGTCAGTTTGATAGGGTGAGAGACATTTTTATATTTTGTGTAGTCTCTTTAGCACTAAAATATTTCTTATACTTGTGCATATTTCTATGCATTTTTTTTATTTAGGTATACCATGAGATTTTAGCTTATATTAGCCCTTTTCTATATCCCTTAGCACAATTTTTTTTACAAAGCACATTGTCTGAAAATATTTATTAATTGGTTTGATATTACAAGATGTAAAAGTTACATGTTTTAGAGATATCTAAATAGTTGATCAAATGTTAGAACTTGCTAATAATATTGCTATATATTATTTCACCCATAGATGCAAGTTTGCCCCTTTTAATGTAACTTAGACCCCAACATATAAACCCTAAAATCTTGGAGCTTTTAGGCCTGTTGCTGTTACCTTCATCAGCTCTATAGCCTGGTTGTAATTTATATTATTTCTGACTGCTAGAAACTGCTGGGTTCTTTTCATGATTGTGTTTTAAGTTCTTATGAATCATATTCAGTTCTTAAACCACACATTTTTGGTAATTTTGGTATTTTTAGAGTATATCTAAATTATACATTTGCCACCATGTAAACAATACCAAATAAAATGGGAAATTCAGAAATAATCTGTTTTCATGTATCTGTCTGTATACTTTTGTCATGTGTAGCTTCTCCTCCAAATTTCAAATTGCTAGTATTTGTAGGAAACTGTTTTGCTTGTAACACAGTGTAAGAAAGTTATAGTCGTAGAAGGGAAAATCATGGAAGTTATTTATATAGTCAGTCAGTCTCTCTCTCTCTCTTTTAGTTACCTTTTTGCTCTGAAACTTAGGCTTTTCCAGGTAGTTGCTTGACAGTGTTACCATCCC
Source organism: Homo sapiens (assembly GCF_000001405.40). Taxonomy (NCBI): domain Eukaryota; kingdom Metazoa; phylum Chordata; class Mammalia; order Primates; family Hominidae; genus Homo; species Homo sapiens. Next base: position 74,762,119 of record NC_000018.10, read on the forward strand.
TCTGCTTGCAAGATATTTACTGTTTATCCTTTCGTAGTACCATAGAGATCTCAAATATAATTTAGGAAACAATGTCTGGTCTGTACATGCCAAGTCAGGGGTTGACTTCTCAGTTACTTTGGAACTCTATAAAATCCTAAAAATTAATAAAGCAAAAAGGTAAAGAAGAGCAAAAAATAAACATATATCTTACTTGTGTATGAGTGTATAATGCCTGAAAAATGAATATTTTCTAATTAAAATTATTATGGACTTCCTATTGTAAATGTCGTTTTTAACTTAAAAGTTTTATTGAAGTATTACATACGGAAATCTGTACATATTTGAAATGTATGATTTGATGAATTTTAATACATATTTAGACATATGTGTATGTATTCTCCATGAAACCTTTACCTCAAACAAGATTATGATTATACCCATTACTGCCCCAAATTCCCATTTTTTCCATTGTAATCCATCCTTCCTGCCACTCTCTGCCATCCCTATGCAACTGCTGATCTGCTTTCTGCCATTATTAGCTTGCATTTTTAGAGTTCTTTGTGAATGGAATGATATAGTTTGGAATTTTTCTTGTCAGTCTTTTTTTTTTTAAAATCATCATAGCTGCTTTTAGATTTTAGATTTTTTCTTTTTTGTTGTTGTTGTATATTGATAGTTAATTCCTCATTATTGCTGAGCAGAATTACATTGTTTCTTTATCCCTTTGTTTATCCATTCTCCTTTCTATAGATGTCTGAATTATTTCTCTTTTTTGGATATTTGAAATTATGCTGTTATGATGAACATTTGTAAACAAGTTTTGTATGGCCATAGCCCTACATTTCTCTTGGGTAAATACCTAAATCTAAAGTGATTGGATTTTAGGATAGCTGTATGTTTAAGGTTTTACCAGAGAATAGTACCAGTTTACATATCCACCAGAAGAGTTTTAACTTTCCTATTTTTCTACGTAAACTTCCCAAAGCTTGCAATTGTTAGTCTGTCTGGTTTTAGCCATTTTTATTAGATAAGTAGAGGAATCTCTTGGTGATTTAATTTGCATGTCCCTAATGATTTTGAGCATCTTCTTAGGACCTTTTTTTTTTTTTTTTTTTTTTTTTTTGCCATGTGTATTTCTTCTTTGGTGAAGGGTCTATGAAAAAAATCTTTTGTCTATTTAAAAAATTGTGTTGTTTGTTTTCTTCTTATTGAGCATGGGATTTCTTTTTGTATGCTAGAGATAAGCTTTTTATTAAACATATGATTTGCAAGTATTTTGTCCTAGTCTGTGGCTTAATTCTCTTTAGAAGGGGAGAATTAAAAAATTTCCATGTAGTCCAATTTATACATTTTTTCTTTAATGAGTTTTGCTTTTTGTGTAATATCCCAGAAATCTTTACCTAGATGAAGGTTACAACTTTTTTTCTTATATTTTATTTTAGAAGTTTAATGGTTTTAGGTATTATATTTACGGTCTGTGATTCATATGAATGAGTTTCTACTACAAGTGTGTAAGGTATAAAATGAAGGTAGTTAACATTTTTTTGTAGTCTTCATTTTTTCCTTGCTTTGTATCTGTAAATCTGTTGTCATTCTTATCTTTGATTTTTTTTTTTTTTTTTTTTTTGAGACGGAGTCTCGCTCTGTCGCCCAGGCTGGAGGGCAGTGGCGCGATCTCGGCTCACTGCAAGCTCTGCCTCCCGGGTTCACGCCATTCTCCTGCCTCAGCCTCCCGAGTAGCTGGGACTACAGGCGCCCGCTACCACGCCCGGCTAATTTTTTTTTTGTATTTTTAGTAGAGACGGGGTTTCACCGTGTTAGCCAGGATGGTCTCGATCTCCTGACCTCGTGATCCGCCCGCCTCGGCCTCCCAAAGTGCTGGGATTACAGGCGTGAGCCACCGCGCCCGGCCATCTTTGATCTTTTGTATATAACATGTCTTTTTTCTCTCTTTTTTTTTTAGACTTTTGCTTTATCATTGGTTTCCTTCATGTTTGCTTTGTTTGCAATTCGTTGACCTTTTTTGATTTGTGAGTTTATAGTCTTCATTACACTTGGAATTTTTTTGCCCATTATTTCTTCAACTACTTCCCTGTTCCACCTTGTATTTTTGGACATTCCAATGATACCATTTGAAATTGGCCAACAACTAATTTGTTTTCATTTTTAAAAACCTATGTTCTGTTTGTGCTTTTTTTGTGTGTGTTTTCTATTCCTTTTTATTCAAGGTCACTATTCTTCTGGATGTCTAATATGTCATTAAGCTCATCTAATGAATTTTTTTATCTCATGTGTTTTATTTCTAGACATGTGGTTTGGATTTTTAAAAAATATCTTCCATCTCTCTACAGTCGATCCTCTGTATCCTTGGGTTCTACTTTTGTGGATTCTACCAACTGCTGGTCAGAAATACTTGAAAAATACAAAAATAATACAACCCTAGAAATTAAAAAGCAATACAATAGAACAACTATTTATGTAGCTTTTAGATTGTGTTAAGTATTGTAAGTAATCTAGAGATGATCTAAAGTATATGGGAGGATGTGCATAGGTTATGTGCAAAAGCAGTTGCCCCTTGAACAATGTGGAAGTGAGGGGCTCCAACCTCCCTTGCAGGTGAAAATCTGTGTATAACTTTAACTGCCCCCAGACTCAACTACTAGTAGCCTACTGTTGACCAGAAGCCTTACTGATAACATAAACAACCAGTTAATAAATATTGTATATATTACTCTATTCTTTAAGCTTGATAAAAGAAATTGTTATTAAGAAAATCATAAGAAATAGGTGTATTATTTATTAAGTGGAAGTGAATCCTTATAAAAGTCTTCATTCTCATTATCTTCACATTAAGTAGGCTGAGGAGAAGGAAAGCAGGAGGGTTTGGTCTTCCTGTCTCAGGGGTGGCAGAGGTGGAAGAAAATCATAGTAAAAGTGGACCCACACAGTTCCAATTCTTGTTGTTCAAGGGTCATCTATACTACATTATTTTTATGTAAGGGACTTGAGCATGGATGGAGTTTGGTATCTGCAGAGGGTTCCTAGAACCAATTCCCCAGGAATACCAAGGGACGGGTGTACTTATCTTTTGATTATGTTTTGTGTATTTATAGTAATTGTTTTATTGTTCCCTAATTTTAATATCTTTGTTCATTCTGGGTTGGTTGTATTTGATTGATTTTTCTCCTTATTATTGTTCATATTTTTACACTTCTTTGCATGCCTGGTAATTTTTTCATTGAATTCTAGACATTGTTAATTTTACTTTGTTGTTTCTGTTTATTTTGTAGTTCAATAAATATTCTTGACCCTTGTTCTGAGATTGCAGTTAATTTACATGAAAATGATTTTTTTGCTTTGCTTTTAAGCAGGATCAGAACAGTGCTCAGTGTAGGATTAGTTGTCTCTACTTCTGAGACAGAACTTGCTGTGTGCCCCTTGAGCCCGCAGGTCTCTCAAGTCTGGCTGATGGGAGCCTGTGTGAGCCCAAACACTATTTTTTTCTTTCTGTGTTTTGTCGTGCTCTCATGTAGCTTCTTCATATATATGTGTCTTGATCAATAATCGCTGAATCCTCCATGCACTCTTCCCATGATCTTTAGAGTTCTGTCTCTATTGGGGTCTCACCTCTCTGCCCTGTGCATTCCAGCTGCCTGGCCTCCCTGTGTTCTCCTAGCTGCAGCTCTGTTTCTCACCTCGTTACACTGTCTGACAGCTGGCTCTTTGAGATCATTGTCTTTCTTTACCTGATGTGCTATTTCTTAAAAGTTGTTATTTCATACATTTTTTGGATTTTTTTTTAATCAATGGGAAGGATAAAACTGGTTCTGATTACTCTATCTTCTAAACCCCAAATCAGTCAGGATTCACTCAGACATTTAGAGCCACTGTGATATACGCATATTACTCTGTGTGTGTGTGTGTGTGTGTGTGTGTGTGTGTGTGTGTGTGTGTGTCTGTGTCTGTGTGTCTGTGTGTGTGTGGCTGTGTGAATAAAGTTAATATACTTGTTACAGAAATTTGGTCTCATGCAACAATGGGAGCTTTTTAACTAGTCTCTGTAAGGCGTTGTCATCACATCTGATGTTGGACCTTGAAACCCACAGGGCAGGCAGTTGAGAAGTGAGGAGGGATGTGACATGAGGGAGAATGAGAACTTGGGGGACCCACAGGCATGAGTGGGAGCTCATAGCCTTGGACAGTGGTGGTATGGGATTCCACAGAAGCTGGGTCCCATCCTATGCTTCTTAAACTTACCCATGAGGTTCAGGAGTCAGAGAAGCTGATGTAGAAGCTTTCCCAGGATTGTGGAGAGTGGTCAAAGGTTTGGTTGTTGTCTTGTGATGATGAGATGATCTATGTGGCAATGCCTGCGCGCTATGGTTTCACATCTGCCCTGCTTATTTCATACTGGTATTTCTCTGCTGGCTTTTCTTAACCAGCTACATCTAGGGAAGCAAATTCTAGGAAATGGAATTTGGCTAAGCCAAGTTGTCATGTTACTGAGCCCCATCTTTGTAAGGCGTATTTAATCTCTAACTAAAGAAAAAAAGAAGATACACTTCTAGCCAACATGATGTACATGTTCAGTACACAATCAACAACATGCTAGCCTATTACCAAAAGGGAATACACTAGCCATGTTTTGTTTTTAGGGTTATTCGTTCTTCAATTTACATTTTCTCTTTGCTGCCTGTAGCTTTTAAAATGAGTTCTAAAGATAACATCGTTAACACATATTATTTTAGATGATAAGGGGACTAAAACTGGGAAATAAACTAATCCCAACAATTTTTATTTTTTTAAATTTCTTCTTTTCATTTTCTTTTGAGATAGAGTCTCACTCTGTCACTCAGGCTGGAGTGCGGTGGCACAGTCTCTGCTCACTGCAACCTCCGTCTGCCAGCTTCAAGCGATTCTCCTGTCTCAGCATCCCAAGTAGCTGGTACCACAGGTGCGCACCATCATGCCTGGCTAATTTTTGTATTTTTAGTAGAGACAGGGTTTTGCCATGTTGATCAGGCTGGCCTCGATCTCCTGACCTCAGGTGATCCACCTGCGTCGGCCTCCCAAAGTGCTGGGACTACAGGTGTGAGCTACCGTGCCTGGTCCTGACTTCGTTATTATTAAAAAGATTCCTGAGTCTTTCTTATTTTAATAGATTCACTTAGTTTATTACAAATTGTTATAGGAAAGTAATTCAACCGTAATTCTTCTTAATTGATAACTTCTGCATCTCGCCAATGTTGCGGTAATTGATGATGATGATCTTCCGGAAGCACTGCATGTTTTTCATATACCTGCTGAATATTACAGATTATATTCTGTTCTATATACAGATTATATTCTGTTTTATAAACTTTTATTATTAAGTGCATCCTATTGTGTTCTAATTTTTGTATAATTGTATTTCATGGAAAATATTTATCTTAACTCTAATATATGTAAACCTCAATACAAGACACAGAGGATATATTATCTGCATATATATCTCATGTTATTTTCCTGCTAAATATGTTCAGAATTAGATTGTATAATTCTGAATTCTCTTTTTTTTTTTTTTTTTTTTTTGAGATGGAGTCTCGCTCTGTTGCCCAGGCTGGAATGCAGTGGTGCGATTTCGGCTCACTGCAAGCTCCGTCTCCCGGGTTCATGCCATTCTCCTGCCTCAGCCTCCTGAGTAGCTGGGACTAGAGGCGCCTGCCACCACGCCTGGCTAATTTTTTTTTTTTTTTTTTTGTATTTTTAGTAGAGACGGGGTTTCACCGTGTTTGCCAGGATGGTCTCGATTTCCTGACCTCATGATCCACCCACCTTGGCCTCCCAAGTGCTGGGATTACAGGCGTGAGCTACTGCGCCCTGCCCCTGAGTTCTCATTTTTTGTTTCAAAATAATTTAATATATTTTCTCTGCATATATATATTGAATGTGTATGGTGGGTACCTTCAATTCATTTTCACATAAATTACAACTTGAATATACCTATTTGCCAAATAGTATTTTTAAAGCATTAAATGAAGAAGTCTTATTTTTTAAAAGTACCCTTAAGCCAGAGTCCTTGCACTAGTCTTGGAAGTAGAGCTGTTGGACAGGTTGGCACATCTCGCCTGCAAGCTCCTTGATTACCCAAGAACATTTCTCCCTGATGTTCAGTCAAGTATGGAGTGCTGGTCAGTTTAGGCTCAGCTATTCCTAGATCCCTCTTAGACAAGATTGGAAACAGGTGTTGGTTTTCATTGACTCATTGATGTCTGCTGCATTACATGTGATCGTAGTGTCAATTTACATAAAATATCAGGGAAGAAATTTGAAGACAAATTACATGTAAATGTGGAAATCCCTTTTTTGGTGGATTTATTGATTGGTGTTTTATTCCTTGACAGGAACACCCTCATGTGTTTTAGCTCCTGCACATTTAATCAATAAGGACAATACCAGAATTATATGCTTGGATAGGAAAACTCTTAATTTATTAATAGCCATAATTCTTTGAGACTTACTGAATTTCTTGAAATACCTAGGAATTTTACTCTAGACTTCTGTATACTGTATATAGATAGATAGATTTTTCTTACACCGTTGTTATATTCCAGTAGGCCTCAATTTTCTCATTTATAAGTTGAGGCTAGTAATACCGTAATGTGTATCTACTACAGTTGTGGTTTTATCTTCAATAATCCGCATTAAACATTTATTACCCTCTTTGGCCATAGTGTTCTCTCACTAATATGCTAAATTTCATCACTATTTATTTTTAATATTTGCATGGCCCTCTTTTATCCTGGAAGGATGAAAATGATATTTATAGAGTCCTGTCAGCCAGTGCAATGCTACAGTGTGTGTTCTGTCTGCCATCCTTCCTCTTGTCTTTGGGGTCCTCTTCTTAGTCATGGTCATCGTCGTCATTGTCATCATTATCATCATCATTGCAGTGGGCTAACAATTCCAGAGGAATTACTGTGCTAGGCACTACAGTAAGTCTTCGCCTTACCTCATCTCATTTAATCTTCATAGCAACCCTAGGGAAGAGAGATAATGTCCTTATCCAGTCATAGGGAAGGCCCAGATTCAGCCCAAGTTTCTTTGACATCAGGCTTTGCCCTGACCCTCAGTGATATTCTTTTATGGCCTACTGTCAAATGATTTAATATACCAAGCACATCTGTGTGTGTATTTTAATTCCTGTTGACTGTGTTAGCACTTTGCATTCTCAGGTTACTATCTTACATTAACAGAAGGCCCCACCAATGTTTTACCTCCTTCAGAAGAGTTGAGGTAGCTCTAGGCAAAGGGTTCTTTACAGAGCTGTTTTTGAAAGTTTCCAATGAGTATCTCTTATGATAAGTACCTCTTTGGCTCATACTGTCTTTGTACATGATAACCATTCATAAACATGTCTCATAGAGTTTGTTTTTGATTCCCCTGCTGGAGATTTCAATTGGTCATGGCAATTCCCATTTTATAGTTTATCACTAATACAGTTGTTTACAAAATTCATTGTATTTTTTAAAACAATTCAGACATTAATGATCTCATTTCGTCTCACATGTCATGTTTAACTTAACCAAGGCCATGTTGGCCTAGACTAGATGCAGGTTTTTGCATGTGGGATGCAAGCGCCTAGACTAGATGCGGGTTTTCAACTCTAGACTGGAGCATTTTTCACTGAACTTCTACTATCTGTGTCTCAAACTCAAAAATAATATACACTTTCATCACTGATTTACTTAGTTGTTGGAAAATAACTTTGTAATTGAAAAATAATGCAGCAGACACCTGAAACTAGGCCTATACCTGACTGAAGTTTATAAGAGGGAGAGAGACACAGGACAGTTGAGGGGTGAGTGTGGTCTGTGGGCTTTGAGGAGACAGCCTGGGGCACATTCTGACTCTGCCACTTAGGAGCTTGCAGTCTTTGGGGGCTTAATGGATATGCACCTCAGGTTTTTCATCTGGAAAATGAGATGTGGTGAGGGTTAGGTAAGTTGGTTCACATGAAGCATACAACAAAACTTGGAAGCTGGGAATGGTGGCTTATGCCTGTAATCCCAGCAGTTTGGGAGTCTGAATTGGGAGGATCAGTTGAGTCTAGTAGTTTGAGACCAGCTTGGACAACATAGCAAGACCCTGCCTCTACAAAAAATAAAAATTAGCTGGGTGTGGTATGCTCACCTGTAGTATTAGTTACTTGGGAGGCTGAAGTGGGAGAATCGCTTGAGTCTGGAAGGTGAAGGCTGCATTGAGCCATGATTGTGCCACTGTAGTCAGCCTGGGTAACAGAGGGAGTCCCTGTCTCAAAAAAATAACCAACCTTTCTCTCAAGAAAACCTCAAAAAACAAACAAAAGCTACAGAACAACCCAGAGCTTGGCAGTCTCCCTCTTTTCCAACGAAAAAAAACAAGAATAAAATAACCTTAATGCTTTTATTATTAAGAACCTGGTTAATATTTGGAAGTCTACAATGTACTCTTAATGTCTTGAAGTATAATATTATTTACAGTTCTTAGAATAGTTAAATCTTCATATGGACCCTCATTAAGTGGCAATGGAATTGACCCTTGAAATAAAGCAGTACAACCTTGCTGAATAGCTTCATTTGCTCCGGGAAATTGTGGGTAGGTGTGTGTTTGTATGCATGTGTGTGTGGGGTGTGTATATGTTTATCAAATAAGCTCTCAGATTCTTGAACATTTATGTGTGTTGTAGCTAGCATTTTATAATATCTAAAAGGTTACTGCAGTTTTTCTGTATGCAGAATGCCTATTCTCAGGAGAGGTGTGAAATTTAAGAAAAGTTTATTTCTTATGAATAAGCAAAAAATTCTAACTTTTGTCTCTTCATAGAGATTTTCATTAAATATAATAGCATTTATTTTCAAGGACCAGCAGAGTCATCCAGGAAAATAATAATTATAAAGAATTTTCAGATATTTTAAATTTTAGAATGTTGGTAATTTGTATTTGAAACAAGTTGCTTGATATAAAATTACAAGGGTACATTTCACATGTGAAAATGGTGGATTCTGTATGGTAATTAAAACCAAAAGCGGTATAACATTCAAGGGAATTGTGTCAGAATATATTTGAGAAATAAAGATAATTATTTTGGCCTATCAATGATTTGGTAAGAGTTTAAGAAATATAATTATTAAATGTTATGTAACACCTGTTAACTTATGAATTTTGGAGTAAACAAATTTCATATAATCATAGTTTTCCCCCTTTGTTTGTAAGGTAAATTTCTGACAGATTTGAATACCTTTGAACTGCAGGTTTTTCCGTATTGTTTATTTAACATGCTCATTAATAGGTAAGAGAAGTAGGTGAGAAAAATTCTTTCCTGAAGTCTTGATTAAACAATATAATATGAACCTGCTTACAAACATATTTAGGATGTTAGATAATGTATTTCATCTTATATGTTATAAAAATGAAGTCTTTAATAATTTCAGTTTTATATTATCTAACATATTTTACATGTTAACAACAAATTATAGTATGCCCCAGGTTTCTGACACTTTAAAAATAAAATATATTTATTTTGATTTTGTTTATGATAAAACTGGTGCAATCTATCTCAATTGGCTGTTCTTTAAGAAATGATCATCTTTATTTTTAAGCATAATTATTCTTGATAACTGATTGTGTGGTATTTATTTTTGTCTGACTTGTTTCATAGGTCATTAATTTTTAGTTTTTCTCTTCATCATATAAGTATTTTCTTTTAAAAATATTGTGTATACTTAATCCCAGCAAATCTTAAAAAAAAATCTCTATGCTTATATCAATTACTAGATTTGTCATTCATTAGCTTGGATAATTCACATTCATTTAGGAAAGTAATGTAGTGGTTTTATTTTTGAACAGTTTTATTTCAGTAGTAGTTTCATTTTTCTTACTTTCTATGAGGCTATAATCTTTCATTAGGCAAGAAGTATGGAGTGGTGGAGAGACTTCTGTATAAAGGTCACCAGGCATGAATTCTACTTTTGCATTTTCAGCTTCTTTGCCCCATTTTCTTGAAAAAGTCAAAGTCACTTATCTTGTCTGAGCCCCACTTTCGTCCTCTTTCAGGGTGATCTGATTATGCCCAAACTGCATGCTCATACACTCTTGGGTAGCCATTGAGGAGACATATAAAACTGTTGTATAAACTATACATCTGTAACTATAAGCAATATATTATTTGTTGCTTTTTTAAATTACAGATTTTACTTATAGAAAAACAACCCTATAAATCATCTAAATCTAAATCCCATGTCAGAGTGAATTTGGTTGATGTTGGCTTCTTTTCATGTATATATTTGTTCATGTATATGTCAGAATACAAGAATAAACACACATAGGATTTGTTGTATGTAGTATTTTTTGTCCTTTTAAAATCTAAGCTATCATGAGCAGCTTTCTATATTTTCAGTTGATGCATAATATTATACCATGATTGTGCCAATGCTATTGAACTTTTAGGTTGCTTTCACTTTTCAGTTGGATTGTAGCTTTTTATCTTTTATTTCATATTATTTTTGGAGTGCATATTTCAGCAGTTAGAATACCTGATTTTGAATGACTGTTGAAGACTATTATTTGTTTGCTTAAGATTTGGTGCTTATCCAGTTCAGAAGGGAATTATAACAGGTTTTTGAGCTGAGGCATGACCTGAACATATTTATAGGAAGGTGTGTCACGGGGGTATGTGGAGTGAATTGTATGGGAGAGTGCCTTGTAGCTGTGGTACTCAGACATAATGGTTTGAACTAGTTCATTTAAAATGGAAAAAGAAAAGTCTTGGTAGCAAAAAATTATGAAGAAACAATTGATGATGTATGAACATGAGTATAAGATTACTAAATCGGGAAGGTGGTACAATTGATAGAATTCAGAAATTCTGCAGGAGATCATTAGCGTGGAACAATCATGACTGAATGTTGGACGTGCTTTACAATATTGTCAATGCAGACAAGAAAAAATATCCTGGAAAGGCCATGGGTGGAAATAAATATTTTAGTGTCATCCACAAGGAGGTTATGCTTGAAGCCCAGGAAATAAATTATACCTTTGAAATATGAATGTATATGAACAAATATATCACCCTTAGAGGATAAGATGAGGAACGAGAATCGACAATAGTATGAAAGAGGAAGTGATCAGAAGTGGTTTGGAACTATCAGTAGAAGCCAAGTTATTAGAGAGCTTAAAGAAGAAATTGACAATAGTATGAAAGAGGAAGTGATCAGAAGTGGTTTGGAACTATCAGTAGAAGCCAAGTTACTAGAGAGCTTAAAGAAGAAATTGACAATAGTATCAAAGAAGAAGTGATCAGAAGTGGTTTGGAACTATCAGTAGAAGCCAAGTTATTAGAGAGCTTAAAGAAGAGATTGACAATAGTATGAAAGAGGAAGTGATCAAAAGTGGTTTGGAACTATCAGTGGAAGCCAAGTTACTAGAGAGCTTAAAGAAGTAGTAAGTAACACCTTTACACTAAAGTTTTATGCGAATAATTGTTTGAATAGAATGCTGTCCTGCAAAAGCTAAAATGTGATTCATTTACAGTAATGTATTTTGTACCACCAGAAAATTTATTATAACACATTTTAGAATAATGAAAAGATATACTGATTGTTGCAGTGAGCACTCATTTACCAAACGTGGCCATTACAGTTGAAATCCTCTGTGTATATTTCCTTCTGTGCCCACAATGTATGTGTTTGTTTGTATATTCATTTATTTCCTAGCTTTGTGGATTGAAAGGGCTTAGACTCCATGATACTCCAGTAGCAGTGATCAGAGTTAGCACCCAGGTCTTGCTTTATAAACACCACTACCTACTATAAGAAACCAGGACTGATTGCAGGTCTGGAGCATGGACAGTGACTGTTGGGCCTGGAAGGCTGGTTGTACTAGAAAATAAGGAAGAACCCAACAGTAAGAGAAGTGATGTCAAATAAACATAGTAGCCAACTTTGAAGAGTTTCCACTGGCCAATTTTGGGAAAATTTGAGAATTACAAGACATAATTACGGTAATAGATTATAAAATATGGTATAAAATCCAAGAGTCCAGATAAAGTGCTTTAGAAAGAAAGTGAGGGTGAGAGAGTATGTCACAAAAAGATTGGGGAAAATGGTTAAGTCTCTCTATCAAAGAATGCTAGCTAACTAAAATAGAAGGAATGATAGAACATTGGTATTTTGTAGCCTTCAGAATAATCGAGTTAGGCAAGATTCATTAATGGGTGCCTATGCCATTGGGAGAAGGTTGTTAGTGAACAGGATACTCACACAATATCAAAATATCACCTACAGATTACTTAATTACAAATGGCAAGTAAGTATTTATATTGAAGAAATTTCGAGATTACTACCTTAAACAAATAGTCAAGTTTAGCATAATGGAATGTGAACCTGACGTTACTTTTATCCTGATACTATGTAATTGGAAGTACCCAACATTCGTAGGTGATGTTCTTGCCAAAAATGTTTAAACTGAATCAAATCATGAGGAAACAATCAGACATACCATATGTGGGACATTATTATAAGTTAGGTTACTCAGAGTTTTTGTCACTATACAAATAAAGAAAACGAGGGTAGTTGTAGATGAAAGGAGATGAAGGAGACGTGACGAAACACAGTGAGTGTGTCTTATAGACTGTGTAGTAGATATTACTGAGTCAGTATTTTCTTGAGTGTGATCTTGATCCACAATGGGTAGAAAAATGTCTTTCTTTGGAGTTGTGTGCTGAAGTTTTAGGGGAAAAGTGTCATCTCAGTAACTTACTTTAAGATGACCTAAAATAAAGAAAAAGTACGTATTAATACATTCTTAGTGAGAGAGAGCAAGGAAGCAGGCATCCCAAAACGTTAGTGGTGAGCCGGTTTGGAGAGGGTACAAGTATTTCATGTATTGTCTTTTCAACTTTTCCAAGTCTTAACTTTTTTCAAGAAAGAAGCTAAGAAAAAGAACAGTTCACAATTAAAAAATAAAAGTGTGATAGATAAAAGGATAAACCTTCAACATAAAATTAGATATGAAGTTGTTTATCAAAACTTTGTAAAATAATTATTTATCCTTTCTGTCTGCTAGGATTGTTGCTGGAAGGTTTCTACTTGGATTATTATTAGTTTTTCTTTACCTATTTTGTCCCATGTCAGTATTATCTATTCCACTCCACCCTTCACACCCATCTTTTGCTGCTCAGGTCGGAACAGTATTTGTGAGAGTATGATGACACAACTGTAAGCTGGATACAATGTTTAGATCATAGTTCAACTGTGTTACATAGCTAGCCATACAATGTTTATTTAAATTATTCGTGACTGTTTCTTGGACTGAATCAGTACTTTGTAATCAAATTCTGATGATGTCAACTGCAAGTGCAGTATGTGGTAATCTGAGTAGACATTATCAGATAGTTTCTCACATATTTGTCAGTTCCCACAAATCTATTTTCTTATAGTTGTGTGAATCAGAAGTTTGAAACCAGTCCTCATACTCGACAGCAACTTCACCATGCTCTGAATGCTTGTGTCCCTCCAAAATTCCCATGTTGATACCTGTATTAGGCTGTTCTCGCATGGCTATAAAGAAATACCTGACGCTGAGTAATTTATAAAGAAAGGAGGTTTAATTGGCTCATGGTTCTGCAGCCTGTAGAGGAAGCATCGTCCTGGCAGCTGCTTGGCTTCCAGGGAGGCCTCCAGGAACTTACAGTCATGGCAGAAAGTTAAAGTGGGGTGACATGTCTCACATGGCTGGAGCAGGAGCAAGAGAGAGAGAGGGCGGATGTTTTACACACTTTTAAACCACCAGATCTTGCGAGCTCTCTACAGTACCGAGGCTGACGCTAAACTGCTCGTTAGAAATCTGCCTCCGTGACCAATCACCACCCACCAGGCCCCACCTTTAACATTGCGGATTGCAATTCAGCCTGAGCTTCGGGCAGGAACGCAGAATCAAACCATATCAATACCTAATCCCCAGTGCCATAGTATTAATTAGTTGGAGCATTTGGGAGCTGATTTTGGGAGGGCAGAGCCTTCAGGAATGGGATTAGTGTCCTTATAAGAAAGGCTTAAGGGAACCTGTTTGCCCCTTCTGCCTTGTGTGGACACATAGAAGACGCCCTAAGGGGAACGGGCCTTCATTACACACTGAATCTCCTGGCACGTTGATCTTGGACCTTCCAGCCTCCAGAACTGTAAGCAATAAATGTCTGTTCTTTATAACTTATCCAGTCTCAGGTATTTTGTTGTAGAAGCCCTGACTGAGTCCTGTAAGCATTTTCTAAATTGTTTCCTGAAGCCACAGTTCTAGTAGATGTTTTCTATGACAGAAATATTTAGTGGTCCGGTAAGATTAGAAAATACTATGCAGATCTCCTATTTCTTTCCATTTCACCGTGCTAATCAGCACACACATGACTGAGAAGTCTACAGAACTTCACTTTTTAAACCTAGTGTTATCCAAACTTATTTGAAAATTCCCCCTACCCCTACTTTTTGGTAACATTTCTGTTGTCATCCTGAAGAACAGTCATCCATAGGAAACTGTTTGGCACAAGAGAAACACAGCCAAACCCCCATGCAGTAAAAAATCCAAGTATAAGTTTTGACTCCTCAAAAACGTAACTACTAACAGCCTATTGTCGATCAGAAGCCTTACCAATAACATGAACCGCAGATGAACACATTCTGTATATGTATTATATGCTGTATTCTTACAATAAAATAAGTTAGAGAAAACGTTATTAAGATAATCATAGGGAAGAAAATGTGTATATTTAGTATTCTTTAAGTGGCAGTGGCTCATCATAAAGGACTTCATCCTTTTGATCGTCGCATTAAGTGGGCTGAGGAGTAGGAGGGAGAGGTTGGCCTTACTGTGTCAAGGGTGGCAGAGGTGGGAGAAAATCGTAGCAGAAGTGGACTTGTGCAGTTCAGACTCGTGTTGTTCAAGGGTCAGCTGAGCTGTATGTGCTTTAATAGATGAGTTAGATCATCTCCCATGACTCTCAAATTGAAATAATTTTGTAGTGATAAAACCTAAAGGACTGAAGAAATAGGTCTTTATTATATGGTATGTAGTGTACAAGAATTTATTTTGAAATATTGTTAAAATAAGATTTTTTTTTTTAAACTGGAGTGTAGGCATTACTACTGCATTGCTGTTTTTACACCAAAACAAATTTTAAGTTGTACTGTGTCAGGCATTTACGGATACTTGTAAGTCGATCAATATTTTAAAAACAGTATTATTTTTTATTTAAAGGTGTTCCTTCAGATGATTAGATGCTTGCAAATGGATGACTTGAGCAAGAGCAGTTCTAGCATGGATCTTGGCCTCAAGCAGTAGAGTTGGCCTCCTGTTCCACGGGCTCTTGGATGTTCAGTAGGCTTCCTCATGAACATGTCCCAGACTGATCTCCTTCAAAACAGCTCAATTTCTCTTAAGCCAAAAATGGATCATTTCTTTGATTTCTCTTTCAGACTCTATATCCAATCCATATAGAAATTTGGTTAGCTCTGATTACAAATATATATCCCAAATCTGACCACGTCTTCACTGCTAGCCTTTGTCCAGGTCACTATCATCTTTGCCTGGATTATTCCAAGAGACTGTTGATCGATCGCACTCTCTCTCTCTCTCTCTCTCATTCACTCAAAACAGAGCAGACAGGAGTGCTATTGAAATGGAAGCTGAGGCTAGGTGTGGTGGCTCACACCTGTAATCCCAGGACTTTGGGACTTCTAGGCAGGAGGATTCCTTGAGCCCTGGAGTTTGAGACCAACTTGGGCAACATAGTGAGACCCCTGTCTCTACAAAAAAAATTTAAATAGCCAGGCCCAGTGGCGCATGGCTTCAGTCCCAGCTACTGGGAAAGCTAAGGTGTGAGGATCCCTTGAACCTCGGATTTTGAAATTACAGTGAGCTATTTAAAAAAAATAAAAACAAAAGCAAAAGTAAGTTGGACAAGTCACTCCTCTGTTCAGATGCCTGAGATGGCTTTTCTTCCCACTCAGAATAAAAGCTGAGGCTGTCATGGCCTTCAGTGTTGCTATTCTCACCCGCCCTCTTTTTTCTATCCTCCCTGGATGGGACTGTCCTCCTCCTCACTTACCAGCCCCCAGGTTTATGCTCCCACATCACATCTGTGAGAATGAATTGAGACTCTGCCTTCAGAGGTCTGTGGTTGTGCTCTCTCCTCCTGAGCAGGGGTTGCTGGTCCTTATTCCTTGGCAGGCACCGTGCCTTCATCCTCTTTACTCATAGGTCTCATTCCTGAGCCACCCAAATGTGGAATTTCAACCCCTTGCTGACACTGTAAGATCCTTGTTCTGTAATTTATTCTCCTACCACTTGACATTGCTTAATATGATACATATTTTACTGTTTTTTTTTCCTTGTTGTCTGTGTCTCTCACTAGGTTGTACATTTTTTGAGGGCAGGGACTTTTATTTGTTTTAGTCACCTGTGCATCACAGCTGCCTAGAACTGTTCCTTGCATAATAGTAGATCCTTAATAAATATGTAAATTAAATGCATGTGTGAATGACTAGCACTGTCCACAGAGGAGTGGCTAGTCAAGCTTAGTGTCACTGCATCCTGTTGATAAGCAGCAGGTTGTCGAGAATGCTCCGGGAAGGCATGACTTGAACGGTCTGTGTTTTCGTCATAGGTGCAGGACCCCCTCACAGCTAGCACATAGTAAGTGATCAGTAAACGTGATGAGACAGGGACTGAAGGTATGAAAGAATGAGGATTTATTGGGAGCAAGGCATGCCAATTGGCTAGCTTTCAGATTTGCCATCATTTTTGTTTTATTTCTGGTGATATGTAGATTATGTATATATATTTTTAAAAGTTATGTTAAAAATGTTAAAACAGTAATGTTACAGTGTTAGTGTGGAGTAGCCTACCTTCAGTAACCACATATGGCTGTCAATATTATGTCCATATGGGTCAGTAATTTAATGCTAGTCATGCTTGGCATATATATATATATATATATATTTTTTTTTTTTTTTTTTTTTTTTGAGACGGAGGCTTGCTCTGTCGTCCAGGCTGGAGTGCAGTGGCGCAATCTCGGCTCACTGCAAGCTCCGCCTCCCGGGTTCACGCCATTCTCCTGCCTCAACCTCCCCAGCAGCTGGGACTACAGGTGCCCGCCACCACACCCGGCTAATTTTTGTATTTTTAGTAGAGACGGGGTTTCACTGTGTTAGCCAGGATGGTCTCAATCTCCCGACCTTGTGATCCACCTGCCTCAGCCTCCCAGAGTGCTGGGATTACAGGCGTGAGCCACCGCGCCCGGTCAGCTTATATATTTTTTTAACCGAGGATGATTTTGAGGCTTTTACCTTATTTGTACTTTAAGCCAAATTTAAAGAATTAGTACTTCTTTTAAGTCCAGTGTTGGTTGAATAAATATTTTGCATTTGAACACAATTGAGCTGTGTTATAGTATTAAAACTTTTTCCATTTTTCTCCATGATAATAAAAATTATTATTTCACTAAATATTCAGCACTAGAGACACTCAGCACGTTAGGACATTGTATTAGGCAAAAGCTTTTTCTCCCTATTTCCTCTAGTTTGTTTCCCTGTGCCATGTAATATTTTTGCTTCAATTCTTAAAACCTAAGTATTTTAATTAATAATTTTGTTTTCTATTAAAAACTGCACTGTGGATTCTAAGTTCCCATCTCTTAATTTGTACTTGGTCGTGTAAATAAGCTGTGCTTTGCAGCTTTGGGTTTTTAACCTTTGCTCTTTGCTATTAGCTTTATGTTTTTTTAATTATAGACAATGGAGGACAGTAGGGAAGTTATGACTTAAATTCATTTATTATCACTGTGTTCTTTTTTAAGGAAATGAAAAATGTTATTTTGTCAAAACCAAGCAGAAACAAATACAGAATTTTTGTACTTTTTTTTGCTCAGCATTTAATATTATCACAGTTTTTTTATGTGATAATTTCATTTTAGTGATTGATGTTGGTACCAGTTGTTTATAGTTGTAAAGTGTGTATTGTCCATAGTTGTTATTACCTAATATTTAAGTAGAATGATTGTTATTTTCAGTGTATGTAAGTGCATTATTTGAATAAAGAAGTCATGGTCATTTGTTCTTAAACCTGAGATTCTGTAATATTATATGAAATTAAACAAAATAAATTAGACATTTAGACATGAAAAGAAAAGAAGCATGTTTTTAGAAGTTGTTTTGCTTTTGGCTTTTGTCACAAGTCTTTTCTGCAAGGATACAGTACTTTACAGTCTTATGTGGCTCATTTGTGCAAACATGTCCAGATGAATTCAGTGTTTAATGTTGAGAATCTTATAACATGCCAATTTGATTTGTAGCCTTTCATATCATAGAATGCTAATTAAAATCATATTTTTGCATATGTCATGTCTTTCATGTACATATGCAAATAGATGCTGTTGCCTTTCAGCTATTAGTAATTAACTTTATGAAGGACAGCTGTAATACATAATTAACAAAAATGTTTGCAAGCCCTTTTACACTGAAAGTTACAGCAGTAAATTTTTTTTCTGCTTATCCAGAGAGCCATTTTAGTTTTGATGCTTCTGAATGTTTCTGATCTAAGTTTTAAATAATCGCATGACGTAAATAAATTGATACTGCACTGTGTTCAGGGGTAGAATGGCATTCATGTACTGCTGATTCCTGTCCATTTCATATTTATGTCAACAAAATTGAATTAAGTAAGCTGATTTGTGTATAAAATAAGATAGTATGTCAGGTAATACTTTTTGTTTGTTTTTGTTATTGATATCTAGGTACTTCAATATAATTTTTTGTGCTATAGATACAGTAAACATTTGTATTATTTTTAAAAACCTCTCTTCAAGTTATTACCATGTTTTTAAGGAAGCTCCATGAAAGCTATTCTTTTTCTCTTTTACGGTCCTTTAAATATTTAATAAAATGACATTTTCTCAAACTCATTTCATGATTGAAGTGTGCGATGACCTAGGGGCTGTGCATGTTATACTGAGGTATTGCTTCATCTTTCTTACCAACTGGAAGTGAAGACAGGGATTGAAGAACTACAATCATTGTGCTCTTTTGCTCACTGTTAGTGTATCCAAGTCAAAACTGAACCAGTCAATTTAGATGTAGACTTCTTTTGAAGTCCTACAGTATATTTAATCTGTATGCAAGCTTTGGTGTAGCAAGAGTGCCACTGTAATACGCTTTTTATGTTATGTTTGCATATATATATTATTCTTAAGTTCTCTTTGTACAGATTTCTAGTGGAGAGTCAAGTTTTAGTTTTATAATTACTTTTGTTTATTTTTTAGGGTTGCTTTTGTAATGAAGAAGCACTTAAATACTCATCTACTAGGCAAGCATGGAGTTGGCACCCCAAAAGAAAGGTAATTTTCATTCTTTTTTTTTCATTTAAAAATACAATTTGATTTTTATTTTAGGCTTTATTTAATGACATGACTTCTAGACTTTTTTTTCACATCAGTTAATCATGTTTCTATTTGTGGTACTCTTTTGTCAAATATCATATTTTATGCCATCGTTTCACAAAAATTTAACATATTTTAATTAAAACTTGAGTCTAGAAGTAGTTGAAAGCATTTGGAGGACTTTGAATTTGTGAAACAACCTTGAAATACTAGAAGAATTAAATTGGAGGGAATTACCTTCTGAAAATGCATTCGAGTGTGATAAAACAAATATGTAAAACTCAACTTTGTTTTATTATATATTCTTATTTTGAGGTTTTAAAATAACAGTTTTGAATTCTTACTCTAGACTTAAAGATTGCTGATATTAAGAAGAAATACATCTTGTGTCATCCCCCAAATAATACTACAGTTGCCATGTCATGAAAAATAACACTACAATTATTATGTCATCAACTGCCAGGTTTTCTTTTTTCTTGCTTCTGTATCATAATTAGCTTCATCGCATAGACTTAATTATATTAGGTGAACTGAAATATAGCAGTGTCAGCTACCAGGTGAACATGGCTACTTCTGATATTTTAAATCTTTAAAATGTGCAGCTCACTCAAAACTGGTATAAGCATTAGTACTTTCCTTAAAGTCAGGATAGATTTTCAGCTTCCCTCAGATTCTCCAAGGTAGGATCCAAAATTCTACAGATACTCTCAGAAACTTTAGTTTTTTTAATACTGTTTTCAAAAGTCACTAGTGATGCAATTTTTTCTGTTACTCTGAAGCCTGAGGTCTTCAGTCATATTTGTAAATGTTTAATAGTCTTTTTAAAAATTAAAATGCTCTTAGCAGTATTTTCTCTGTTAATGGGAATTTAAGTTGACTTTTCTGTCAGGCATATTGTTTTCTTTAGTATTGTAGTATGGGCATAGACTGCTACTGAGTCAAAATTTTGGGATCTTGGGATGTCTCCTTTGCACCCATATGTTTGATTTCATCCCCTCCGCTCCCCTCCCCTCCTCTTCTCTTCTCTTCTCTTCTCTCTTCTTTCTTCCTGTTCTCCCCGTTCTCCCCTTTCTCCCCGTTCTCCCCTTCATTTGAGATGGAGTCTTCCTCTGTCGCCCAGGCTGGAGTGCAGTGGCATATGTTAGCTCACTGCAAGCTCCACCTCTCGGATTCACACCATTCTCCTGCCTCAGCCTCCCAAGTATCTGGGACTATAGGCACCCGCCACCACCTCCGGCTAATTTTTTTGTATTTTTAGTAGAGACGGGGTTTCACTGTGTTGGCCAGGATGGTCTCAATCTCCTAATCTCGTGATCCCAAAGTGCTGGGATTACAGGCTTGAGCGACCGTGCCCGGCCTATTTCCCTTATCTTTCTTTGTAACATTGTATTTAATAATTGCAGCAAAAATACATGCATTGAATGTGTCAGGGATGCATTATTCTTGAAATTTAAAAGCATACTATACTATATTTTTAAAAGAATAATTTGCGACATGTCAAAGTTATGTTTCATAAGTGTTGTTTAAGTATGTAGAAACAGAACATATTTGTAATTGCTATGTTTTCATTGCTTTCACATGCATTATCTCAGTCCTTCTTTGACCTTATTAGCAGTACATTATTATTCCAGTTTTATAGATCTAAGGACTGAGCCTAGAAAATACAATAATAATTTATTCAATATCTCATAAATAATAAATGATGGAACTGTTACTTTTCTGACTCTGATTTCAAAATAAATTTGAATGAAAACAGTGGAGATTGTGTAGTAAGAAGAAAATATTTCCCAACTGTACTTTTAAATAGTATATATTTTTAATTTAACTACATCATTTTGGTTTTTACTTAGAAATTTTTTTAAAAGTTGAAGAATTGTTCATATTGTTTCACAGGGAAAAGTTGATCTCCCCATATATGTGCATGTATGTATATATGTTCATGTATTAAACACCTTAAAATGCTAGAAATCCTCTATATATTACGAATTTGAGAATCAAAAATTTACTGTTTTTTTTTTTCATTTACCCTTTTCGTTACATTCTAGGATACTTTTTCTTTTCTTTAATATTTATTTCTGTCCTGAATACATAAAGGGAGATTAAAACTGAGGCAGGAGAAAGATTGAATTTCTCCCCTCTGACACATGGTAAGCCCTTCTCAGATATTGACACTGTTTTTGTCCTAACATCAAGAAAATCGCAAGTGGGAAAGCACACCCACCTTCTGGATCAGTACCTTTTAAGTACTTCAAGCAGCAACATTCTTCTAAACCAAACGTCTTTGACTGAATTGTTTTTCCTTTTAAAAATTCTTTGAGAGGACTTCTTGTTTTTGACGTCTGCTTATATGGCACTCTCTCCTGTTACAGAGAAATACTACACAGGAATGCCAGGACCCCAGCAGCAGTATAATTTTCCAGTAGACACCTGTAGCTAGAGCAAACCAAGATTTCAATGGTATAATCTAGAAGCAGAAATGCCAGTCTCCTTGTTTCCATTTCACCTTCCTCCCTTCCTTCTAGTGGTTTTAGGAAGCAAACCCTTCGTCAGTATGCTGGACCATCAGTCTGGGCACAACTGTTCTCTAAATTAAGTTAAATATTTTTCTTACCTATTTAAAACATTAAAGCCTTGGTTATACTTTTGCAAGCTTGCTGTATTTTAATTTCTCCAGGACAGTATAATCAGTTTTAAAAAATGTTTTTAATTTGATTCTCCATTCTAATGCATTGCATATTATAGCAAATAGTAATAGAAGTTAGCTAAATAGGCTGTGACAATTAAATTAATAATGCATTTTGTTTGCAAGTATTTAGGCCTTGTGCTTTGACTGATATATGCAAAAATTATAATTTATTAAAAATAAATCCATATACTTGTACTATAATGTTTGATGATCCAATAAATTTTGTCAGCATGGCTATCATTAGAAACAGAAAACTAAATTATTTCAAATATTTTCTTTGAGACTCTGTGAACACCTGAGGTGATGGCTTGTGTAAGATTATACTTTTTTGTTCCTACATCTGCATTAAATTATTTTAGTGCAGTATCCTACAGTATTTCTGAAATCCTACACACTTAAATTCAAACAATTACATATAACCACATTCAGTTCACATTCTAAAATAATAAACTCCAGTTAACTTGCAAGTTCATTTGAAAGTATTCGCTATTTTAAATGAGTAATTCTCTTTGTGGTATAAGTAAGCCAAAGCATCTTTATGACTCTTTGAATTGACTAATAGTAATCTAGAAAACGAGCTTATCTACAATTATCACAATTGGAACAGCCATACTAAGTATATCTTCTGTGAAAGCCAGGTGCAATTACAATGGAAGTGGATGGTATTCGTCGTTCAGTGCTGGAAATCAGCTGGGTTTTGAATGACTGTGTAAATAGGAGGACAGGGAAATGATTCGTGTAGAGCTTTGCATTTGATCCATTGCTTTTGTGGTGTCAGAGATGCTGTCAGGACATATCTGCACTGGCAGCATCTCAAGAAGGCTGATAAACTCAGAAAACTACCAAAGAAGAATTTTAAATTAGATGCGTGTGTCATAAAGTATAAGCGTTAAATAATTTCATAACCCAGGAAAAGTACTTGTGTTTTTACTGGTGAATATTCAGATCAAAACCTTACGTATTTCTTCCAGTGCAGCCATTTTTGTCGGAGTCTGTGAAGTTTCTTACCCTCAGTGCATTTTTGTTAGCATAGCTGTTGGGTGTGTTCAGGCTACTGGATTTGGCTCAGGGCTTCTTAGTATTTTTGCTCAGGCTAAGATTTCCTCTGGGGTCCTCCAGATTACTGAGCCCTGAAATTTGTGCTGGCCTCTCCCCTTTTATGAGACATTTGGGATATGGGGTTAGCTGTCTTTCTTTTAGCAGCACCATTGATCTTATTGATGAGTCAAATCTTTACCCCACCTAATGTAATTGCGGAGAGATGTCTCAGAGCCCTGATGCTTATTCTAATTTATTTGAAGCCAGTATAATAGGACATGGCATTGTATGGGTCTTTTGGAGACTCTTTTCTCTCCTTTTTCTCTATTTTCTCAAAAACTTGCATATTTATAAGTTGAAGTGGCATAAAAGCATCATTGCTATTTTTCAAGTTTACACAGGAGCGTCACCTTTTTTTTATGAAACATGAAAATATCTGAAACAGCAGCATCTGTGGAAAAGCGCATGCACCTGGCATGCACCTGGCATGCAGATGTCACTCACATGGCACACACATGTCACCCACATGGCACACACAGCATGTACATGGCATGCACATGTCACTCACATGGCATGCACATGGCCCACATGGCACACACGTCACTCACATGGCACGCACATGGCACTCACATGGGACACACATGTCACATGGCACACACGATGTCACTCACATGGCACACATGATGTGTGCAGTTGTGACTGATGCTTCACAGGGTTGTTTACAAGCTTAGATGATGTTATATGAGAAAAGCCATGCGTTTATAGAAACCCTGAGGAAATTATTGGGGAACAGATTAAATTTTTTCTTATTAGAAGATATTCTATTCATCATATATGACTGACCTCCGACGTCACAGTTGTCACTGTTTTCCACCTTAAAGAAATAACTTCTAAGTTGTTCTTGTTGCATATATTTCATTTTATTAAAGGGAAAACAGTTTTCCTCTATTCCTCCATAGTGAGTTTCTATAAGGTAAATACTGTTATCCATTTTATCATTGAAATGGGTGATTTATTCTAATGGATGTGTTGTGATAGTTTCTTCTCTCTGATATATTCTTCATGGGCTCCTTCTGGAATATTTTTTATGAAACTTTTCAGTCACCTCTGTGTCCAGGCTTCAGGCTCTCCCCTTTACCCACTACTTATTAGTCTTTCCCTTATTTCTTATTTTTTTTCCATAGTTAGCAATATTTTTTCTTTTTCTTTTTTTTTTCCCCATGATGGCCAATTTAGGAAAAATAAAGTGTTTATGGGCTTCTCTCCACCTTAGAACATATTTACACAAGAAATAATTCTTTTGGGCTAAAGTGGAGGAAAACATGTCAGTTCTTTCCATTCTGGGTTGCTTATTTTGTTGCGTGGGGAAGGGGGTTATATTTCGATGACGTACTGCTTTTGCATGAGCTGCGAACTCTTTCTGTTTTTTCATTTTTTCCATCTTTTAACCTGTAAACAGTTAAATATAAATAGTATCTATGATCATATGACCTGGTTTTAATTGGTTTTAATGTAAAAAAGTATGTTTTTTTTTTTTTTTTTTTTTTTTTTTTGGAGATGGAGTTTCTCTCTTGTTGCCCAGGCTGGAGTGCAGTGGTGTGATCTCGGCTCACTGTGACCTCCGCCTCCCGGGTTCAAGCAATTCTCCTGCCTCAGGTTACTGAATAATTGGGATTACATGCACCCGCCACCACACCCGGCTCACTTTTTTTGTTTTTAGTAGAGACGGGGTTTCATCATGTTGGCCAGGCTGGTCTCAAACTCCTCACCTCAGGTGATCCACCTGCCTCGGCCACCCAAAGTGCAGGGATTACAGGTGTGAGCCACCATGCCCAGCTGTAAAAGTAAGATTTAATAGTGCGATAGTCCTGCTAGATCAATTTGTTCTGCATGGAAAGACAGCTAGAAGTCATATCAATTCATCTAAAGCCGAAGTGTTTATTTTAGAAAATTTCTCTTATACTGTATTTGCTAATAAACCAACAATTTACTAAGGCACATGTGGAGATAGGAGATACACCCTCATGTTCCACCAAAGTTATCTTGCTGGGATTTGGAAGTATTTCTAAATTCTATGGGTAATTCTTTGGGTAATGTAGATGATCTGTGGTTGCTTCGTCAGCAATGTGTTATTACTAACAATAATATTTTCTAACTTCTGCTTCATAAGTTTTGCAGATGAAAGTTAACAAAAGTCAGCATCTGTGCTGCAGAATCTCAGGATTGCAGGCAGATACTTATGGCTCCTCTGCGGGGTGGAGAGCCTTCTCTTCAAGCTTCTCTCTTGGTTGGGTTCCTCAGCTCTTAGGAAGCAATGTCACCGGTACTCCTGCATCAGTTACATCATCAAATGCGACATCAAATATCTGGATTCCATGTATTTGTCAGATAATTTACTTTGATGTCACGATTCCTTCTTTCTTCTATTCATTTCTTAATGTCCTTTCAGTTTTAGCTTTCAGTTATTTCCATTGCTAGAGAACTGCTTTTCTTCATTGACTTGTTTCGTTTTCTTCCTTTCGTAAATTGACTCCGCTCATTTAGCACACAGCTATGACAATGACTTAAATTTAAGACTGTTTTAAGAAGTAACCTCATAAAAGTTACATGTTTATTGTGAAGGTAGTATTTAGGATGCTGTTCATGGAAATACATCTTTCTTTTAAGACTCAGAAGAATTATTTCTCTCTGGTCTTTATTCCAGAGAAAGTTGTACTTGTCTCTAACACTTCGTTAGCCTTTGATACTAGCAAATCATGTATATGATTGAGTTTTCCTCTTTATGTTTACTGTTGGGAAGCTCATGGCCAAAATTGTGATCCATCTCTAGTCAGCAGGATAGCCTTAAAGGCATGCATTTTATTTACTACTGTTATTTCCAGTTTTATTTATTTTTTCCTTATGGGGAAGTCCCATTTTATGTCCGCAATATATTTTAAAAACCTCCCATAAATCAAAGCTCATGTAATTCAAGGGCAGTTTTGCAATAGAAATTGTTTTTGAGTAAAACCAATATTTTTCTGGAAGTGCATATATCTTTAGCCATTTGGTTTTGGGGGCGTTGTATTGAGCATTGTGCATCCCTGTGATTAGGCATATTTTAATTGTGCTTGCTCTGTTGTAGGAAACTGCTGTGCACTTCTGTGTAGTGGTCCAGTGGTGCTTTTTACTTCTCAGACTTATTTATTTAAAAACACGCTTGCTTCTAAAGTTTGCTGAACAGACCCAGTTAACAAGTACTCCCAAGGAAAGGAAAGGGAAGGATTCCTTTCCTTTTATACCAGGAGTCCTTGCTCTCTAGCTGTATAAAAAATACTGTTTCTTTTAGTACATCTTGGTTATCTTGAAAAAAAAAAAAAAACACCACCACAGTTTACTACTTTAGTAGAAATTATCATGCTAGAGGTAGTGAGTTTTTAAGTGTTAGTAGTATATGTCACAGAAAATAGATTTTGTTTCTTATTGCTTCTAAGATTCATTCCTCAATTTTAATCTAGGAAGTTTCTGTGTATCCTGAGTATTATTTTATTTATAAAATAAATATAAAATATCAATAAAATAAATATTTTATTAATAAACTTGAATATTATATATTTTTTATTCTTTAGGAAATACTGATTATTATATAGTTATTTATAATATGTGACAAATAGATCTATTATTCCTGCTTAAGGGGTTTTGTGCGGATGGGTGATAATAGGGCATCTTATTTCTTCACCTATTTATTCTCTCAATAAACATTGACTACTATGTTCGAAGACTTAGGTGATCTATAGTGTTTGAAGATGACACAGCCTCTGTTCTCATGGACTTGAATCTTCGGGTTGATGTCACAGGTGAGGATAGAGAGGCAAGACATACATAAATGATAATTTTCGTAGGTATAAGATTGAGGATGCTATTCCAGGGAGTGTCTGGGAGAGGTACTACTTTAGGATGAGTGGTTAGGAAAGTCCCTCTCGAAGGGCCTTGTTGTGTTTGATAGGTGGTTAGAGCAGTTCCAGCAGAGAGCACATTCCAGGTTCCCTGAGAGGTGTGGGAGAGCTTGGTGTGTTTTGTTCCGGTGTGCCTTGAGCTCAGTGGCCTTGCACACACGGTTGGGGAGAGTGGTCTAAGGTAGAGAACTAAGATCCCAGAGTTGTGTGCGTTGTTTCAGGAAATGGTCACCAGTGAGCGTATTTCATTGGCGGAAGGGCATGTAGTGGAGAGGAGAATATGGGCATATCAGGATGAACCTGGGAACTGGGTTGGAATCCAGCTGAACAGGCTGTGGCTGCTGTGCCAGTCGTCTTTTCCTCTGTCTGTAAGAGAAAGCCAGCGAAGTTGAGAACTCCTTGGAACTGTAACTCTGACAGCGTGCAGTGCAGAGCCCAGGGAAAGAGCCTGGGCTGGTGGATTCGCAGTGTTTCTGTGGCATTCGTCCTGGAACTCCACCTCCTTTTTCCTGGTTTACTACCTGGTCTCTTCTCTTCCCCAGTCACTAATTTAGTTTCTTTCTGTTCAAGTTCATATTGCAGACCAGCCTGCAAATAACCTTTTTAATCCTGTTTTATTTTGTTAAAATCTTTCCCTTATCTTTGTATCTGGTTTTTTTTTTTTTTTCCTCTGTACTTTTGTTCTACCTATTCTCCAATACACTCATATAATGTCCCACCTCTCCTGGTTGCCAGTCTAAATCATGTCTTTATTTCAAGTCCCAGTCTGATGCCCTGGCCACTGTCTTCTGTGAGTCCTTTTCTTGTTTACTGTATCTCTAATTGGTCTTCTTTTTCATCACATTCCTATGGAACATTAGAGAATAAAAGGTAATATACATGTTAATATATGGTTAGATTAGAACTACCTTTATCTTATTCCTTCCATCTCCCCAGAAAGAAACCAAAAGACTGTAATAATACTACATGCATTATAACTATGTTATTCAGTACCAGTTCAATGAGTTATTAGACCAGAGATATATGGTTAGTACTCTTATAATCTTTACTAAAATGACAATTATTTCATTCTCTTGCCTCTTATATAGAAATAAGATAAAACCGAATTCTGTAGAGATATTGAACTATAACTTTTGTAGTATGAAGCTTCCAGTTGCCCTTGTGTGTATAATACATTGTTGTCTGCTGTGACAAATTAATTTTTAAAGGATTTTCCTTTTCTACTACCATTTAGTCTGATAGTAGACTCAGATTTGGGGTATAAGAATATCTGCTGTTTTTAAGTTTTTAAGAATTTAGGTGTTTTTCTTCAGCTGGCATCTAGAATATTTTTGGCCATTCTTTCTTTTATTTCACTTAAATTACTTTTAGAACACTGGGGCTTATACAGCTGGACTCTGACTAAAATATGCCTTAAGCTCTTATCTTTAACTCCCAGTCATTGCCAGAATTAAAGAGAACAAAGGCCTATATGTTCACTGTAGTCTTCAATTATGCCTAATTACCAACTTGGATACAGTTTCATTATACAGTACTGACTTTTTGTGAGCAGTTCTTTATGATGTCTTGGTAGTTGCTTATAAAAGTCCGAATTAAAATTTTTTGTGAGGAATTTTCAGGAAAGAGAATCTATCTGAAGTAATTTTTGTCAAGTTGCATCAAAGCAATTTGATCATTTTTATGAGAAAGAAGATATTTTTATTTCATTATGCTACGGAGCTATGATAGGACACAGGAAGTGTTTACATAGGTTATTTCTACAACAGGGTTTCCCCCAATTCTTGGTCTTAGGGCCACTTGCATGATTGATCTATTGTGAGCTTAGAACAAAGAGAACCTCTGCTAACACTGTGGTGTTTTCTTACACTTAGTACTCATAGGAGAAAACAAGCAGATGATTGATAATCCCGTTTGAGACATCTTGATCTTGTGGTCATCCTCAGGTTGTACAAGATGTCTGACTGTCATTTCCGTTAGTCCTTTCAAGAACATTAAGGCACTCTTTGATACTTTTAAGATATTGCTACCTCCTCAGGTTGAATCATATGAACTTGACATTTACTAAGCTAAAAACAGTCAAATATTGTTAATTTCATATGAGTCAAACTAATTTTATATAGAAATGCTTCTAGTATATGATGTCAATATAAAGATCTGCTTTTCAGGGAAATAACCCTTTCCATTGAGATTTAATTTAATCCAGTTTTTTATTGTTTTGTGAATAATGATTTCTTAGACATAGCATTGGGCAGTAAGCCTATCGTGGAAGAAGGCTGGTCAAGGTGAGATGAGAAGCAATCTCACCTTGGTGAAATGTATCAGCTTTTGGTGAAGCTGACATGAATTTATCGATGCTGTCAGTGTTTTCACTCATTGCCATACAGAAAGCCATGGCTCCCTGTCTTCTAGGCCAGGGTCAGTGTGTACTTTATTTTCAAGGGTCAGATTTTTTCTCACTTATTCTGTGATGCCTTCCCTAGATTCCATTCCAAATAGTCACATCTTACCACTTAGAATGCTGATTTAGCAGCATTCTATTTTGCCTTCCTTTTAAAAAGGCGTTTATCCTGTCTCCAGACTAGATGGTTAATTTCTTGAGGGCTGGTCTCAGCTTCTCTTTCCTGTCTGCGCTTTGAAGAAGGGGATTCACACTCAGTAAGTACTGCTAGATTTAGGATACTAAAATCTTCATTGAGAGTTTTCTTTTTCATGATGGACTTTTACTCAGCTGGTCTAATTTATGACACACAGTCCCAGTAGTATTGCACGTCGCATAGTTTTATGGAGCTTTATATGGCACTGCCACTTACCGAGTCACCCTCAAGTTCATTGTACTTTGAATGAATGTCGCCTGTGACGCTGTGGACAACATTTCCCCTCCTTGGTTGGCAGATTTTGGTGAAACTGATGTGGATTTACAGTTCTAAAATACAAAAACAATCATACTGTTTATGTATGGAATTTTATCATTTTAAAGATACTAATTTTTTAAAAAAACATTCAAGAGCTTTTTAGTTGTGAAGGTCTAAATAATCTTTGCTTCGTTTTTTCATGCTAATCACACAGAGCAAAGGATTATGGGAAACAGCAGATTCAGCAGAACATGTAGATGAAAGTTTTTATTTAAATTAGACCCAAATTTTCTTTGAAGTTAATTAAAACAATAATTTCTCCTTTCATTGTCACTGTGCATTATAGTGTTTAGAATGCCTTTTCTCTTTTCTTATTTATGATTATGCAATATGGTTATGCCATATATTTTTGGCAACTAGATAGTGGCAGACTTATTTCTGGATAACAAGTCTTCTAAAATTTATGCCTTTGCCTTTTAAAAAATTATATTGTTATTATGATAATAAAATATCGAACATTAGGAGAAATTTTAATTAATGGCGTGACCCCAATGCTTATTTTTAAAATTAATACTTATAATAATGACAATATATGAACATATTTCAAAGTTTCAATGTGTTCAAAAGATAGAATATGAAAATATTCTTCTTCTTTATTTTCAAACTAATTTCTTTATTGTTGGTTTTCTTAGCATTAACTCTTTTTCCTTTAGCTGAAACGAAAAACAATTTTAAAACTTACGTGGAACATAACTGTGTGAAATCAATAAAAGCCAGGCTGCTCTGGTTGAAGCTGGAAGAGGGTCACAAAGACACGTCAATTGTGGAGCAGTTTCTCCACGTCTTACAGAATCTATGAGGCACTTCATCAGATTAAAGAAAATATCTTTTATATATGCAGCTCTCCTCTCTTACTTATTTGCTATTGACTTTTGTAGATTTAACATCCATAACATTGTCGATTCCTAAGACATGCAACTTAAATTTCTGTAAAGTATTTTGAGTTGGGCGTGTTCAGAGACCACTGTGACAGAGCTCTTAACTAGTGAGAGAACCCAGAATGTGGATCTCAGTATTGTTTATTTTTCTTTACTCATTGTATGTTTCTAGAATATCTGAAGAAGTGATTAAAAACAAAACAGTTTTGTCAAAAGAATCCAACTGCTGGAGTTGGTGTAGATAAATAATAACAAATATTTTGGATATAATCATTGTTAGCTAGAAATACAAGTTTGGCATAAATCAATGTCTGGAGTGTAATATTTTTAGTTTTCAGGTTTGGTGTTAAATTCACAAGTGTTTATTACTAAATGAATAAATAAGGTAGTTTTGTGTCTTGAGGCGTGATCATGATTTCTCCCACATTCATAAGATCCACACCATATGCTTGATGTGTAAACAAAGAAAAAGTGATTTCTGAAATTTTTATTTAGTCCTTTAGTACAAAAACTACCCCATTCAGTAAAGGAGAAAAGTTTGTTGAATGTTGAAAGATGGTTCTCTTGTTGGATGTTATGAATGTAAAGTGTGACTTTCAGCAAAAATGTAATTTGTTAGAAAATTATTAGTGTTTATTGTAAGATTTTATCTGAAATAACAATGGTGAAATAACTTGAGCAGCTATTCAACTCATTAATATGATGAGAAGAGTTGGGTTTGGACATTTTATTTTAGGAAGTGTTTTTCTTTCTATAACTTGCAGTTGGCAGAAGAGGGAACATCAACTGACCATGTTGTCGGGAAGCATTTTCCCGGGAGGAAAGACCTTCTTAGAGGAGAAGGCCATGAGTCAGCACGTACTCTTTGTAGATGAGAGCAAGTCTTCTCAAATGGGGTGTCTCTCAGGAGGGAGAGCTACCGCCAGGCTTTCAGGCAGCTGACTTGCCCCTCACCTGTTAACCAGGGCTTCATCAAGCTCCCGCCGTCTGAGAAAGAAATGTTGATTAGCACTGTCTTAGGAAATGGAGACTTTTTGATAGAAAGTTGCCAACTGCCAGGTGTGACATTGAGTCGAGAGAACTTTCTCTCCGAAGCCTCTGGTGTTTGGTTTGTCACTGAGCTCTGCTTCAGGGCTGTTTTCTCTCCGGGTGAGAACAGTGGCAGAAGCCTGTGAAATCAGGCTGACCTGCCTTGCCTCTCTGCCGCATACATGATGTCAGCGTCTTCACGTGTGTATTTTTCCGGCCAACTCCATCATCTGCCATTGTCTTCGTTTTGGTGCCTTAGGTTGATGTTAGCCAGTAAGGATGTACTCAAGACAGGCTGTGGAATTCCTTTTTCTCTTTAGTGGCGTAATTCATAGTTTTATTAATGATCTTATATTTATAGAATCACTGAAGTTCTAAAAGGGTCACATAATTTTTTTTTTTTTCAGAAATACTACTTTACCAGCTTTTATGAGGGAAGGTATATTCTGTTGGGCTTTTTAAAGGTCTCTGTTCATATTCCTTGCAAATATCATTGGCTTACTTTATTTAATTTGTCCTAACGCTACGTTGCTTATTGCAGAATAATATAGAATCATGCAATTTTGGATTTTAAGAGAATCTTTACATTTTGCAGATGTAAAAGTTTCAGAGAGAATTGCCCTAGATGAACTAGGTTTTCAAATTTTTGGTAATTAAAAAATGGTCTGTATCTCCATATTTTATAATATAACTTCATAACTTCACCTTTTTTGGTAAAAATGAACTATGATTTCATAGTTCTTTGGTAAAGCTATGCTTTCTCATGAGAGATCTTTTGGTAGAGTTGCATACGATGCTTAATAACTTCTCAGCACTTTGAATTTTAGTAATTGGTGGCAAATTATGTACAACTTAATGTATTTATGAAAGTTAAATTTCCTCCCCTTTTAGGATGTTTTTTGATGAAAGAGAATGTATAAAAAATAGATAAGTGAATATATTTGTTTAAATGAACAAGAAAATGCTTGTTTTTAGTCTTCAGCTTATTACTGTCAAACTTTTCTAATGATGAAATTTTCAGAAGTTACAGACTTTTCCTTTTTTTTCTTTCGATTATGGGATCATTCCTGTTAGCATTTGTTTATATGTAAAGTATAAAACAAGACTTTTCTAGAGAATATTATACAAATAGTATAAAAATATTCCACCAAAACAAAGATGAAATATTTTCCATTTATTATGAAGAAATGTGTAGGAGCTGATTTTATACTCTGGGGCCGTTGGCAAAATAAACTTGCATATATAGCATAGTTTATCTGAAGCCAAATTAATTTAGCCATTTGTGGCATATATCAAATCATAGCATCTGGACATTTATTTGTCATTCTATAACATTTTAAAAGTAAAGTTCATTTTAACTCTACTACATATGAATCAATATATTTGAGAAACTTTATTCAAGCTATTACTCATCTATTGACATTACAGCATTGGAAAAAATCATATTAGAAATATTTTGAAATTATGAATTTTGTTGTTACAATATTGAGGTACTCTTACTTAAACAAAAGTAATGTTCCTTCTACATTAATTGATAGTTTTACCATGGTTTCCCTTGTATGTTGATAATTTTTGACATCACACTTGTATGTGGGAAAAATAGACAAGCATGTAAATTATGAACTAAACCACCAGTTCAGTTCTGGGCATTCTCACCAAATGTTTTGCCATGTACTGAATTGTGTATGAGAGGAAGAGTTGAGCAGAGACCTTTAAACTCTTTCTTTGAAAGCTGAAAGTGACTTGGATTTAAGTTTCTGTTGTAAATTCCCCACATTTCGTAAATGACGGGTACATGCTTTGACCCTGGTATCATCCAGTACCAGTGTAATAAAAGTCACATGCAAAAGCAATGGAGTGTTATAGAGCCATTATATAGTGAGAGTCCTCCACATGTGGCATTTCATACCAGCCTCCCGCTGTGCACACGCGCACACACGCACACGTGCCCTTGCAGCACATGAACGAGTCTCTGGAAAGTAATTTTGGAACATGAGCATTGAGAGCATGCAAATCGGCTGCTCTTTTCTCCCTCAGGTGGCAGACTTAGTCTGTGTGCAGATGGTATTTAGTATATTTTTTAATGTGTTATTTTCATTCTAGAAAAAAATCTTAATTTTATCATGGTGACTTGAAGTTATTTTATTCGTTCTAGAGAAAGTGTTTCTGCAGTACTGAATATAATAGAACTGTCATCCAAATATTGATACATTTTTTTCCAGGCTGAAGAAGTCTAGATATATTTTTGTGTTTTATATCTTCAGTATATTAATGGCTTTAAACAAAATAAATAGCTCTTTGTGCATGACTGATAGAGCGTTAGGTTTTGTTACTCAATGAAATAGGCTTGTGGATTAGCCCCAGGTCATGATCAGTGCAAAAAGCAGGCAAATGCACTTGTTTTAATATCTATTTGATTGAGATCCCAAGCTGCATTTTTCTATATAGCAGAGATGTGTCACACGAGGTTGTAAGTATGTTCAGTATAGTAATGTCGAAGGACGCAAAATGGTGGGGAATGTTCCAGTCTGAAGCATTGTCATCTTTTCTCCTAATGAGCCTAAAATTCTAGCATACAATGCACTTTTGGCATCTTTTTTGAAAAGCAAGCTGTGTATGCTTGTGAAATGTTAAAAAAATTGATTGACTCCCAAATTGTTTTTAAATTCAGCAGTTTATCTAGTAGGTGACAGATTAAAAATGCACGCTCGAAGCTTGTTCTCTGGGTTTGAACGTAATTCTATTTAAACTGTAAAACATGGTGTCATCATTTTCTGACAGTCCTTGAGACGGAATTTATCTCATCATTAATTAACCATCATATTTCTTACATAGCTGCTGTTAATTAGAGTAAGGTCATTTGGGAGGGCTTATTAAGTGGAACAAATTCAGCAAATGTTAAGAAAGTACGGCTGCCAGCAGTTCAGCAAGTTTGACAAGACCTGCTAGGTGATTGATAACTGCACCAGTTTGAAATCTAGACCTCAAGGAATGGAATGGTAACTGGGGACGAGAAGAAGCAATTGCAAACATATGCCTGCTTGTAGGCAGGGAAGAGATAGATTACAGTGCATGTAGTGTCAGGAGGCTTTTTTATCATGAATTCCACCTCTCTTACTCACCTGTTATTTTTAGAACGTTGGATCTGTTTGTCAAAAAGAAATGAAGGCTGAATAGATTCAGTCTGCGTGGCCTTCAAGGGGCTCCAGAACTGAAAGCTCTCTGATATGTGAAGTGACACTGTTTTATATTAACATAATTTAAAAGGACAGAATTGGTTTGCTTGTCGTTAAAATAACAGCTGTTTGCTCTGGCTGACATTGTTGCCAAATTTCAATTTAGTGGCAACATAGATCTAAGTCTATTTGTCTGTGACCTGCCTCGCTTTGGCAACCAATGAATGGTACCAGTGGGTAGATGATAAACTCCAACAGATGACAGGCTGTCGACAGAGAGAATGAAACTGAATCTGAAAATCTTATAATGTGACACATCTGGTACAGAATTGTGTGCAGGCTAGCCTGCTGCAGAATTGTATTGTGGGAGTACAGGAATGCACTCTGGGTCATATCAACACGTTCATAAAGGGAAAGTTTTCTTTTCAGATTGAGAGGGGTGACCTTATATTAATTGACAGTAATTTTGAGCAATTTTAAGGATTTTTAAAAAGGTCTTTCGTATTATTAAAGGTTCAGGTTTCACAAAATGAGCCAGTGGCTAGCTGAAAAGCCCAGGCTGCTATTGGTGCCTTTAGTGTGTGAAGTGCTTATGAGTTAATTAGCTGCAAGGCATTTTTTTTTTTTTTTTACATTTTAAGGGAAAAGTTAGCCATATTTCATTAATTAAGGTTACAACTATCATATTAATGGGAAAACAATTAAGTGAAATAATGATGCACTAGTAATCCATTTTAGCGCATCCGTAAAGACCAGCAGGAGGGATCAAGGTGAGAGTTCTGGAATAGTGTACATGGGGAAGGGAAAGCATGACTCACTAATGCTGGGGAAAGGCGCAAACGCATTTAAATTTTTTTAACCTTTAAGTTTCATTACAGCAATCTGTGTTCTTATTTTTCATGTCTGAATCATAAAATACAAACCAGTACATAAATTTCTGGCCAGAGACATTGCATGGAACAGTAAAAATGAAAGGTTTTACAGGTATTCTTTCTTTCTTCCTTTACACAAACACACACACACACACACACACACACACAGAGTCTCTGAAGCTTTACCTTTTCTAATGACACAAAATTGTTGATTTTTTTAATTTTTTTTCTTTATGAGGAAAACATTGTAAAGCAGACTGCATGATTCAGAGTTGGTTTATTAAAATTGAGAAACAGTGAAAAAAAGGAAGGCAAGGAAGAATATATTTAATATAATTTAAGTAGGAAGAACATAACCAATTCTATTTTTTTACCAGTTAGTCTTTTCACAGTGTATTTATGCAATGATGAGGGATTATTTTCATTTCAGTGGTGTGGCAAGAGGTTGAATTACAGAGGGATATATATGATGGTGAATCTTAAAATTATAAAACTCTTAACAAACGCTGCTTTAAATCAACCTTTTCAGTGTAACTGTGGAGTCTTTTACTGATGCAGAACTCAGTTTTTCTTTCAGTTTTGTTTTAGGGATTTATTAATTTATGACAAACTTTAGTGATAGGTTGAGTAGTAAGGATATTATCTTTGTTGGAGGAAAAACAGTCTTTATTATTTTAGGCCTATGGGCTCATTTTGTAACTAGGGAAAGATGATCAAGGATTTTTTTCTTGCTTTCAAACTTAATTTTATTTTTGCAAAAGAAATTGTTTTCTCTTTGAACTCCCAGAAGACTGACAGAATCTTTGGATTTTATGTTTAGATTTATAATAGTGTTGATGCTTTGAAATTAAAATAATTTTTAATCTCTTACTTGATCTAATGGTTTACTACCTTTTGTCTTATATTTTTAAATGAATTAAACTATGGTGATGTAGTTAACATCAAATCATAATGATAATTTGTTAGTTAAAGGCTATTTCAGTCTATAAAACTTTGATTACTAGAATTTAGCTGTGGTTTTATGAGTTTTCCCATATGATTGCCCACAAATTTTTAGGTTGACTAATATTGTAAATTGTTTAAACTGTTCAAAGAAATTACTTAGCAATTAAACCTTCAGCAAAATTGTAATTCATTTTAAATTTAGCACGGAGGTTTGATGCTGTTTCTGAGGAAAATAACTGAACATAACAGTGAAATATGTAAATTCAGTATTTTCCATGAACTGTTTCCCATAGGACAGAAACAGTCTCAGCACTGTGGGCATAGGAAAACCTTCCATTAATGTGAATTAATCTTGCAGTACAGGATCCCTTGAGAGAATTCCTGCCCTTGACATTCATTCAGATTTCATTCATTCAAGATAAATTTTAAAATTTTTGTTTCATTCCTGATTTCTAGCACTTCAGGTTTTAATATTTAAACTTGAATGAAAGTAACTGAAATCATGTAACATTGATTTATGTTAGATATTACCTGTTGTCCCAAGAATTGCATAACCTGAAAACATTAAAAGGAGTAAGTTGGACATTGACAGCAAAAATATCATATAACAAGTCAGTATCTCTTTTCATTTGCAATAGGTAGAGACAGTGGTAGTGCTTTTGTGCATTTATATTGTTTGGATTAGCATTCAGTGTTTCTCTGCAAACTGTAATGATTTGCACACATATGCATACTGTCCTGCTTTGGAGAATGCGTATGCACCTGTATCCTACAAGTAGCAATAGGATGAATATTCAATCAAAGTTTACATATTCAAACATGTTTTAGATGTATTTGTCATTCTTAGGTTCTATTGCAGCAGTATTGCCGTTGTTGAAAAAAAAATCCTTTTTTTTTTTTTTTTTTAACCATTTTATTAGCCAAAGTCTACCAATGCCATTGCTTTTTGGTTACCTTACATTTTTTCCAAAAATACATGGTCCATCTTGATCATTCATTTCACTGATGAGTCCTGGCTTTCAATAACTTGAATAACAATAGAATATTTTTCATCTTTGAGGAGAGTCCAAAGACAATTCTTTGTATACACACACAGTGAGTCTTTCCATTTTTAAAGTCATGGAATAAAAATATTCCTAAGGATATAACCTGAGCACAAATCACATTTAATGAAAAGATAGACTTACTTAAATTTCATGAGTGAGTTCTGAATTTGGTCTGCTTTTTGTAATTCTTGGTCTTAATGCTTCTATTGTAGTTTTGTTATTCTTATGCTAATTTTGTGCATTCCCCTGCTTTTGAGTTTGCTGATTAGATTGTACTCTTTTATTGTTTTAATTCAGCTGTTGTCTTTTTTATTCTCATATTATTTTTATTTTCAGATTTTTTCCAATAAACAAAAGTTTAGTCACATTGTTCCCTCTTCCACATTTTTTCCAGTTGTTGAGATCTTCAGTCTTTTTTGCTTGCTTTCTTGTAGATTTGCTTAACGGAAATGAACGTTTAACCTCTTGCCTCTTAAAATTCATATTCTCCTTGCCATCTATGGCCTTCCTAATTATTTAAATTATTTTTAGAAAAATGAACAGTTCAAAAAGAATTATACGAAGATAATTGTTTTTCTCGTGATGGGAGAAGCCTAAAGCCAATCTTAGTCATTTCTCATTGGAAGCATATATAAACTCAGTTTGTTTTATATACTGAAAGTTTTTGATTAGTTTGCTTCCTAGGTAGAATGGAAGCCCAGTGTCTCAGGAAATGTTTCTGAAATTAATACGATTTTTACATTGAATGTCTCTGATAACTTGACTTCATTTGTCAGTGATTTGCCCTATCACTGATAACTTTTATGTCATTTGTCAGGTTATTGTTTCAGGATGGAAATAATTATGACCATTATTTGTAACTCAAACATAGCTTGTTAACAGACAGATTCATTATACCGTTTTTTTTTAAACTCTATAAAATGTTTCAAAGAGTCTCTTCCATAAATTTAAAGCAATCCTAGACATTTAGGCACTTTGTTAGGTTTTCTTTCCCCGTTAGAAAATAAGCAGTCCATACTCTTAGTGATATTCTATAATTTCTTTTTGGAATACTTGGAAATAGTAATATAATGATCATTAGTGCTTATGAATTTTTGTCTTGATCATCAATTATCAACTAATTTTTAAATTGTTTTTCTCTTGAGTATGATTAATGATTGTGTACCTGAAAAATGTAAAACATTCAGTTTGTCACATTCCTTTGTCAAGGTATATGAGATTAATTTTATAAATCAGTATATATGAGATTAATTTCATAAGGCTTCATTTATATTTTTCTTTCATTATCAGTGTGTTTTCATGGAAATCTAGACTTACTGTTTATATTTTATATATACTTCGAGTATCACAAACGTGGGCCATGAAAATGGCAATGTAATGGTATCAGTGAAACTGATTGAAATAGAATGTTCCCTCAAATCATTTGTTGGATATTTAAGTTTTAATTTTTTATTTTCTCTTACAGGTATATTCAATTATATCCTGAAAATGAAAGACAGTTAATTAGGTTATACCTATAGGTATCTACTTATCCCACCTGTAGTTCAAATGCAGTTTATTGTTTTGATCAGAATTTCACACCCGCAGATGCATGTCGAGGTCTCTTGGTTGGTGTGCATTTGCTGCCAGTGATAGCTGTATGGTATATAGAAGCCAGGGCTAGTTTATGAACTTCACATGGAAGAGCGTTTTGTAGTGTCAGTGGACACCTATAACCTCTTTCAGTTACCGCTTAAATTGATGCTACTCACTGTGAACATGACAAAAGGAGAGTGTGAATTACTCTGTATGAACAATAAACATTCCAGAAATCGTCCAAGTACATAGTTCCTTCAAAATGTTCTGTTAGCACATGACCTTGCTAGAAGAAAGTGCTCTTCCTTAAAAAATAACCATTTTCTTTTCCTTTTCATTTTTGTCAGAATTCTTAAAAAAAAAAATTTTCCTTTGCTTAAACAAAATAGAACCAACATACGTGAATATGAAGGATAAAATAAATAGAATCTCAAATCTTTTCACTGAAAGTCACTGTTAGCTTTCTGTAATGTCCCTCAATGAACATCTCTCAATTCTCATGTATATATAAATGTACATATAGTTATACTACGTACAAATATATTTACAGAATGTTTTTCAACTTGCATTTAGTCTATATGTTATGGGCATTATTCCATGTCAATTTGTAAATGTGAGTTTACATAATTTTAGTGGCCTTTTAACCTATTGTTTATGTGAATCATGATGTTACTAGTTAATAGGCATAGTACATTTTTACTCTGTTAACAATGTTACATATACATTTTTTCAAGTTATTATTTTCCTAGTGTAAATTCTACACTTTGAACTGTTGTGGAAAAGGCATTTTTATTTTGTTGCAGATGAATAGTCTTCCACTGAATGCTCACAACCGACAATGTGTGGTAGTTGTTTTGTTGTATGTATTGGAAGGAGAGGGAAAATATTATATTAAAATCCAAATTTTATGTAGCAGAATAATTGTAAGATTTCAGAGAAATTTCTAATTTGCTTTGCTTCAGGTCAGTTCGAAAATTTTTCTCTTACTCTTCCTTTTTGTTAACAATTGTTTGACGGAAAATTTTGTGAAATATTCTAAGTGTTTGACAAATAGTGGATATCCAGTGGAAGAAAACAGTAACACTAAATATATTTAAATTGCATATTTTTATGTCGCTTAGTTTTAATGCATATGCATGTTTTATAGAGCTTTTGATGTTCCAGGGAAACTGTAATAATTAAGTTTGCAATACATTGTCAAGTTAAGAT
Source organism: Homo sapiens (assembly GCF_000001405.40). Classification (NCBI taxonomy): domain Eukaryota; kingdom Metazoa; phylum Chordata; class Mammalia; order Primates; family Hominidae; genus Homo; species Homo sapiens. Next base: position 74,802,846 of record NC_000018.10, read on the forward strand.
TAATGATAAATATGGTAGTCTGTTCTGACATTAAGCCAGCAATCAACCAACCAATAGTAGGAATGTGTTTTTTTGTTGTTGTTTTTTTCTTTTTTTTTAACTTTGCCAGTGTGTAGGAATTTCAGGGTATCTCAGGCCATATAGAATTCAAAAGTTATAAATTTGGAGTGGTTATAATGTTACCTTTCTTTTTTTAAATAATTATATTGAGACTCATTCTGACTGTTCCAGGGTGGTAGCTAATGAGAGCTAAGTCCAGCGTTACCACCCCCTTAGCCAGTTTTGTTACCTGTCAGAGTCAAAAGAAAGCCCTGTAACAGCCTTGTATTTCAGTGCTTCACTCAATCCTGAGCTAACTGGAGTGAGGGGAAGACCTGTTTGCTCCCGTGCTCTTGGGGAGATGGATTTGGGGCTGACATCAGCACTGTGGTGGTTGTGGGTTTGTTCTTCCTGGCACTTCGTCCCTAATGGGGATACCCCGTTGGTCCAGCCCTCTGGTTCATTGCAGTGCTAGTGCTGGTGCTGGTCCTGTCATCGATAGGGAGACCCTGGAAACTTCCTGTTTTCTGAGAAGAAGGACCTGGTTATCAATGGGCATCTAGAATGTGTCTGTGGGATTTTTCTCTATAAAGTACTGAAAGTGACAAAATTCATTTTGCATTGTTGAGAATGCATAGTGTTTATTTTTAGGAGAGGAATATTTTCTTCCTATATTTTAGCAATTTTAAGTTGATTTTCTGCAATGCATTATGTTATTTCTCTGATATCTTACTAAATTTTATTAAAGAATTCGAAAAGGCAGATTTTAAAGAATGGGTCAGTCTTACCAGAAAACATACAAGCTTATTCTGATTGCGCATGAAAGAGAAAGTTTAGTATTTCTAGTTTGGTCACATTTATATGTTTTACAAACCAGGGAAGCTGTGTTGTGTTACCTTGGGTCTGTGTGTCAGCTGTGAATGACAGAGATAATGTGGTTTTTATCAATATTAATACTTTCTGGAGCATGGTTTCAAAAAGGTCAGGAATGACGGAGCGAAAAATGTTCACGAGAATGCTTTACAACGTGCCTTGAAAACATGAAGCAATTTAACAAACTTGATTGTCCTTGGCTTCAGAGTAAAGGTTGCATATCGAAAGATCGGGACGTTGCCAGGAATACAGAACAACAGGAACGCGTCGAGTGCCTCTGAAGCCCAAAGTCTTTGTGAGCACTTTTCATAACTGATGGGACCTGCAGTGGGAGGATTGGCTGAGGACTTATTTTGGTTGAAGTTAGACATATTTCATTGTCTTTTTTTTTTTCCTTTTATCTGTGTACTTCTTTGCATACTTGAATTCATTTGTGTGATGTAAATCATCACACAAATGTAGGCTAGTCTAGTGATTTTCTGGAAGGAACTGTTATTTTAAAAATTGAGTACTCAGTTTTATAAAATTGTCATCATCAATGAGTTAAAAAAAAAAAAACCCTTAATGATTCAGGGTTTATTTAAAGCTGACTGTCCAATCAAAGTTTTTGTAAGCATGCCATGTGACAAATGCCTGGCATATTCAGTAAGGAACATATTAATTATTCTAATTAACACATGACTTCAGAGAAGTCTTTCGTTAATCAGCACATGGATCTTGGTTATTTGTACCCTTTTGGGAAAATTTCACACTCAGATGCAAAAATACCAGGCTAAATACATTGCTTTGTTTGTATGTGGAGAGGATATTCATCACAATGGTACTATACATCTAAGAAAACAGAAAGTAATTAAAATGCTGATTACTATAGCCAGTCTCTAAAACGTCTGATTATTTGTATTTCATATGTGCTCACATTTCTGAGAAGTTAGCTTTTGTACCACAACCTACCATGATTATCTGATATTCTCCGGAAGGTTAGCCGAGTTGTTTCCTATATTACTTAGGAAAAAATTTCTTTTCACAATTGAAAATGTCAGCATCAATTTAAAGTAACACTAAGCATGTGCTTGCTTTCTGAATATTATCCTCCTCCACCTCCTTCCAACCACCCTGCCGAGGATCTGGCTGTGACAGTTTGATTAGATCATCAATCCTCACTGTTAACAGCACTTTTCCTGAACACCTGGGCTGCCAGGTCACATCTGAATTCAGCTACCGTTGTTTCAGTGACCCGACGTGCATTCACCATAGCAATTGACATTATGTGCACAAATTAAAAGTTACCTTATAACAACAGTTTACTTTAAAAAATGACCTCTTTTTTCCCCCCATGTTGAAGTTCTGCTGTGTTATAGGAGGTGCATTTTTGTATGATGAAAGACTATTTTAGAACATAGTCACACACCTTGATGAAGGTGTTTCCTTTTTCTTTTTACTTGGGCTTTCATTTCAGAACTTCTATAATGAAAATAATCGTCTTTCATCTTACTCTTCTGCTATTTAAAAATCTTTGATTGCATTTTTAAGATTTGATTACATTTTGGATTTAAGCCTAAGTAAATAATTGAATTTCTCATATATTGCGGAAAATCTTTCTGCTTTCTGCTCCTAAATTCTCCAGTTGAACTGTCACAATAGTCTGATTTACACTTTTCTATTTATAGTTGTAGTGATAAAGATAAATACCTACTTACATTTTCAATGCAAATTGTCTAGTAGCAGACTGCAACATAAGCATACTGTTAAATCTAGCATTATCTGATTTTTTGATTCCATAATTATCTTTTGTTTTCCCCACAACTTTTTATTTTTATAATGGGAAGAGTAAAAATATAAGAATGTTATCAATACATTTATGATACTTTGGAGTAGAGACCTGACTTCTGTTAAACTGAACCAAAGTTTTCCTGTTGCTGTTTGATCATTGTTAGGTGGGAATGAACACCATCTGTTAAAGGGTCTCCACCTGGTATAGGTAGAGACAAGAGTCAGTATAAATTATATCTGCAATTTTAACTGGAACTGATTATAATGTTTTGAAGTCATTCATTGTTCATTGTTTTAAGACAGATTTGAGCATTGTGCAAGCAAATGAAGATGTTACGTTGTGTGAGAAAATTGAGATACTCCTACTTGACTTCTCGACTCGTCCTCTTTCATTCTTTGTTTAATGGAAGAGCTTATGGATGTATATTCTACAGACTTTACTATTTCCAATACATTTTTTTCCTAGTGATGTAACTCTTTTTGTTAAAAATTTTCTTGAGTTTTTAAATGATTTATCCTTATACACTAGAACTTGGGAAAATATCTTAAAATAATACTAAACGAGTAAGATTATACTTTGTAGAACTCCAAGCCATCACGTGTGCACTTAGGTTTCCTGCCAAATCTGGAGCAGTGGCTGGATGGCGCAGGGCCTGCTGTGACTGCAGGCCCACACCTTGGCTAGGCCGCGCCCCTTACTTAGGATTACTTAGGTTTTCCTTAGTATGGCTAATGTTGATTGTCTTTATCTTATCTCAGAAAGTCTGTGGCAGTTGTAAACTCTCAAGCTTTTGACAGTGGCACAGTGTGATATGTTGGGAAGTTGATTCACCTGTCAACCTGGTTGTAATTCACCAATCTCTGCTTTAGCCTATGCCAATGGGGGGTTGTAGGAGGAAGGCGAGAGCCAGGGGTGGAGGACCTGAGTTCCAGTTGGTCCCTAAGTAGCTTTATTTCCATGGACATAGCTTTTTGACTCTCAGAGCCTTAGTTTCATTTTCTGGAAAGCAGATATGATAAGATGTGGACTGTTGTGAGGATCAAACAAGATGATAAATGAAAATACTGTAAGGGAAATAAAATGACAACATGTCATAGTGGATAAAGCTCTAGCAGAGGATGATTAAGATCCAGTACCTGAGTTTAAATCCTGTCACCTCCATTTTATTAACTGATGCAATTTGTCCGAGTTACTTAACCTCTGAAACTCCGTTTATTCAACTAAAAATATAAGGAATAATACTCCCTTTAGAAAATTCTCATAAGGAGTAAATAGAGTGAGACTGAGTAAGTGTCCCAGCAGAGTGCTTGACATGTAGAAGCTATTCTAGGACTATGAGTCACCTTTACCTCACACCTATGATTAATTTAGCAAAAATTTTCTCAGGCATGGCATGGTTTTAGGTTCTAAGAATGGAGTGGTGAGCAAAATAAACACTTCTTACCCATAGAGCTTACATTGTTATGGCAGAACTGGAAAGTAAGTGAAGAAGCACATAAATAATTTCAGAAAGCAGTAGATGCCATGGAGATAATAACGGGAAGCAACAGGTGATTGTAGATAGATTGTTTACAGTAGGCACCTCTGAAGCCTTTTTAAGGCTTTTCGGGCAAATTAGCCTGCATTATTTGCAAGAAGTAATGCAAAGAGAGTCCCTGTATTCTGAGGCTGAGTAGGAACGTGAATGATGAGAAAGGCAGCATTAAAGAGTATTCTAGGTGGAGGGAACAGAAAGTACAGTGAAACTGAATTAGGAACTGAAAGTGTTGGGCTGCATGTGCTGAAGGAGGGTCCTGTGGCTGTAACACACATACAGGCCAGCTTGTAAAGAGACATGAGCAGGGTCCCGAGAGTCATGGAGGTAGTCTTCGTTGTGCATGGATATTCATGGGAAGGTTTTCACAGGGCAAGCAAGACTTTGAACAGTCACACTAGTTATGCTATAGTATGGTGCTCAAGTTCCCCTATGATAGTATTTCAAACTTCTGTATCCCCTGCCCCAGTTGTTGGCAACTGAGTATTTTCATCCTAAGTACAGAAGTTGGACAGGATATAATTTCAAGTGTAGAATAAAAATTGACATAGTAAAGTAATATTTGTACCACTTTAAAATGTATCCAATAGAATGTTAACACCATGATGATTTGATTCCCACCGTCCATTCATTTAAAAGTACATGAATAAGTTCTTTAACTGTCAGAAAATTTGTTTTTCTTCTTGAACTCACATCCCTTATTTCCCCCACAGATTTTATTGTATTTGTATGTGGACATATTTTAATGATCATCTTATCATTTCTGGGTATCAGTACATACTCACGGACACATACATTGATGTAAGGTTTTTTTAATTGTTTTATTTTTAAAAAATAAAAGATGAGGTCTTACTATGTTTAGCCTAGGCTGGTCTTGATCTCCTGGGCTCAAGCGATCCCCCACCTCAGCTTCTCAAAGAGCTGGGATTACAGGAGTATGCCACAGCACCTCACATTTTTTTTTTTTTGAGACAGAGTTTCACTCTTGTTGCTCAGGCTGGAGTTCGATGGCGCGATCTCGGCACACCGCAACTTCCGCCTCCGAGGTTCAGATGATTCTCCTACCTCAGTCTCCCGAGTAGCTGGGATTACATACATGTGCCACCACGCTTGGCTAATTTTGTATTTTTAGTAGAGACAGGGGTTTCTCCATGTTGATCAGGCTGGTCTCGAACTCCTGACCTCAGGTGATCCACCGGCCTTGGCCTCCCAAAGTGCTGGGATTATAGGTGTGAGCCACCACGCCCGGCCAGCACTTAGCATTTTTTATATTTTAGTATCTTTGCTCATAAAGCTCTAAGTGTTAAAAATGTGTAGAAAGGATTATTGTAATTACTATTAAAACGATTGAAACAACAAAGTCTATAAAGAGTTTGATAATTATTAAGCATAAAATGTATAATGGTATTGGAATTGAATGACTTACTGAGACTTTAAAATTTTTAAATTTCAATTTTTGTGTCTATGGATGAAATTTATTGCTAGAATAAGGGAAAGTCTAATGGAAAATAATGGTAAATGTAAATGTTACTGAGATACTATAATTGTGGGGCTTACAAATAGAGTTCTAATGATTATTAGCTATATTGCTTAAACAGTACATATGCTCACCTATTGTATATGTTGTTATGATAGGATCAATTACATTTTTTTTAAAGTTAATCTAATTCTAATGAGTACATGGTAAGAATGAATAAATAGAGAAGTGCTTGTGCTTGTTGAGTGTCATCACTTTGATAGACATGGGCATTTAGTCAAAGGATAGTACCCAATAAAAAAGCTAATGGTAATGTTCCTCTTTGAAGAAAATAAAAATATTAAATTATATCAGAGACATGTTTCTTTTACTGATGTAATATTGGTCTGTGGGGAATAAATGTAGAATTTTTCACCTCCTCCTCCTCCAAATCATAAACAATGTGGAGCTAACACAGACCGAACCGTGGGTAAATAAGAGTGCTCTTTTTCTTACCTCGCATAGTAAAACTGCAGATAGGGTATGATTTATAACAAGTTATTTCCCAGGATTCTTTTACGAAAAAAAACAGCAAAACGTCAGGTAATCCCACTCTTAGATCCGGCATGCATCTTCGCCATGCAATTTTATGCAAAAGTGAAATGAAATTCTGCTCTCTTTAATATTTCTTTCCTCCTCTTCTTTTACACTGCTCTCATTTAGAAGTGATATCTTTGGTTGATAATTGTTCGGGATTCACAAGGCAAAAAATTGTTAAGCAAAAGTTATTGTCACTCTCAGCATCCCATTTGCAGTATACCTGAATTTAGAACATCTGAATTTGGGCCAAGTGCCCTATGCCTAATGTCATGCTTTCTCTTTATAGAAATATGTACAAACTAGGAAAGTGCATAGTGAAATCTCTAGGTTTCAGTTTATGGCTCCTTGATTTTAAGAAGGTTTTTCTTATAATGATGGTTTCTTTGGTGTCCCAGTGGTTTTTTCCACTTTGGAGCAAGGTAGATGATGGGCAAGAAGAATGCCTTTCTTCTGTTAAGTGAGGAAAAGGCAGTTGTGAGTTAAATAGGTGGTTAAGAAGAACTGGCGTATGGTTATACTTCAAGAGCTTTCTTAGGCTTATCGATAATACAAAAGATTATTAATGGAGTCTAGATCAGGAATTGGTAATTTTAAACAGTTCTTGCTTATGTACCCTTTGCACATACATACAAAGTCTCCATGTACCATTAGAGTGTATGGAGGTCTAAGCTGGAAGGTCGTAGCATGGAGAAGGAGTGAAAGGAATTAGTTCAAGTGAGAGATGACTGTAGTTAGCACCACAGTAATGGGAGTGGTCAGATTGGTGATAAATGTTGAAGGCAGAGCTGATGGCACTTGCTGAAGGATGGATTGTATGTGAGATGTAAATGAAAGAGGAATTATGTGGATGTGATGGTGCCTTTAACTGAGATGCAAAAGACTGTGAGAGGAACTCATTTTGAGCAGTCTTTGCTAATCAATAGATAGGTTTGAAGTAGTTTCAGACATTCAAGTGGCGATGCTGAACTGGAAGTTGTATGTGTAATTGTAGAAGTGAAGGTAGAGGCCAGGTGTGAAGGTAGAGCCCTCCACTGGGATCAGAAGCACTGAAACTAGTGGGAAAGGGAGAGAGAGATGAGGACCAACCTTTTGGAGCTCATTTAGTGGTCAAGAAGATGAAGTGGATGCTGCGGTGGACTGGAGAAGGCAAGTTGTTAAGGAAGGCAGTTTGTGTGGATATTTTAAATCTGAGTGCCAAAAGTTTTAGATTTAAGCGTCAAAGGTGATGCACCTTTGCTTTTTTTTTTTTTAAATCAGTAATCTCACCACTTGATGTACTGAATGATCATGTAGGATTCTGCTGTGAAATTCATGTGCATTTTAAAGCTGAGTGGCCTTATACAGTCATATCCTGTTCTTGGTCTTAAACTGTTAGAGAAAAGAATAAATAATGTGATTTGATAAAATACTCTGTTTCCACTCAAGTAATTGGTCAGATCAGGCATGATAACACTTTTATTTATTCCTAGTGGTTTTCATTTTAACTTTTTAAACTTCTGGTATTCTCTGTTCTCTAGTTTTGAGAGTCCTTTTGTTTGTTGCCTCATAGTTAGTTTTTAAATTTCAGAAATATCGCCGCATATCTACAACTATCTGATCTTTGACAAACCTGAGAAAAATAAGCAATGGGGAAAGGATTCCCTATTTAATAAATGGTGCTGGGAAAACTGGCTAGCCATATGTAGAAAGCTGAAACTGGATCCCTTCCTTACACCTTATATAAAAATTAATTCAAGATGGATTAAAGACTTAAACGTTAGACCTAAAACCATAAAAACCCTAGAAGAAAACCTAGGCATTGCCATTCAGGACATAGGCATGGGCAAGGACTTCATGTCTAAAACACCAAAAGCAATGGCCAAAAACAAAACAAAACACCAAAAACAAAAGCCAAAATTGACAAATGGGATCTAATTAAACTAAAGAGCTTCTGTACAGCAAAAGAAACTACCATCAGAGTGAACAGGCAACCTACAAAATGGGAGAAAATTTTCGCAACCTACTCATCTGACAAAGGGCTAATATCCAGAATCTACAATGAACTCTAACAAATTTACAAGAAAAAAACAAACAACCCCATCAAAAAGTGGGCGAAGGACATAAGCAGACACTTCTCAAAAGAAGACATTTATGCAGCCAAAAAACACATGAAAAAATGCTCACCATCACTGGCCATCAGAGAAATGCAAATCAAAACCACAATGAGATACCATCTCACACCAGTTAGAATGGCAATCATTAAAAAGTCAGGAAACAAAGGTGCTGGAGAGGATGTGGAGAAATAGGAACACTTTTACACTGTTGATGGGACTGTAAACTAGTTCAACCATTGTGGAAGTCAGTGTGGCTATTCCTCAGGTATCTAGTACTAGAAATACCATTTGACCCAGCCATCCCATTACTGGGTATATACCCAAAGGACTCTAAATCATGCTTCTATAAAGACACATGCACACGTATGTTTATTGCGGCACTATTCACAATAGCAAAGACTTGGAACCAACCCAAATGTCCAACAATGATAGACTGGATTAAGAAAATGTGGCACATATACACCATGGAATACTATGCAGCCATAAAAAATGATGAGTTCATGTCCTTTGTAGGGACATGGATGAAATTGGAAATCATCATTCTCAGTAAACTATTGCAAGAGCAAAAAACCAAACACCGCATATTCTCACTCATAGGTGGTAACTGAACAATGAGAACACATGGACACAGGAAGGGGAACATCACACTCTGAGGGCTGTTGTGGGGTAAGGGGAAGGGGGAGGGGGGAGGGATAGCATTAGGAGATATACCTAATGCTAAATGACGAGTTAATGGGTGCAGCACACCAGCATGGCACATGTATACATATGTAACTAACCTGCACATTGTGCACATGTACCCTAAAACTTAAGTATAAAAATAAAAAAAAATAAATAAATTTCATTGAACTTAATCTTTGCCTATTACTCTGTTAACTTTGTTTTAGGAAGCCTTTATCCTTTTGCCATTGTCTTTGCATGAAGTAGCATGGCAGACTCTCTGAGAGCTGTTTCAGAAAGCTCTGGATTTGTGTCTTCGCTTTTCCACTTAGGATTTGTGAGATGTCTGGCAGTAGCTTAGAATTTTTGTGTGTGAAAGGAAATAATATTTATTTGAGAAGGTTGTGAAATGTAAATGAGATACACATTTTATAATACATAGCACACAAACTACTTAGCAAATTGCTTACAATGACTTCTTTACTCTGTTTCACATATACTACCTTCAATGTAATCCCCCTCTACACCCAGAGAAAACAGCCAGAATTTGGTTTTCCCATATTATTGTTTATTTTTTTCTAGATAACCTATAATTCCTTTGAAGGTAACATCTCTTTTTTCCACCACTTCTGCTTTTATGATTTTGTCTTTGGTTTTCAACACATTGATTATAATGTGAAGTGAGAGTGAGAGAGAGAAAGTTGTGTGAGCGTGTGTGTGTGTGTTCGTTCTATGAGGTTTGATTAGCTTCTTGAATGTAGGGGTTGTTGTTTTTCTGCAGTTTTGAAACTTCCCCCATTGCCTCTCTCTGTACTACCTCTGCCTCACCCTGTTCTTCTGGGACATTTTCGACCTCTGTGTGGATCCCACGTGTCTCTCATGCTATGATCTGTTCTCGTTGTTCCTTCTCCTTACTCTTTAGTTTTTATGATTTTTTTTAATGACTTTGTCTTAGAATTCAGTAATCCTGTCCTTTGATATGCCTTCTTTTAAGCCATCCAATGAATTCTTGATGAAAGATATTTTGTTATTTGGTTCTAAAATGCTCACCAGATTTTTTCATGTAGACTACAGTTTTTGTTGCGGTGCTCCATTTTTTCATCAATTTCTTGTCCCTCATTTCATCTCTTTGATGTGGTCATCATAGTTCTTTCAAGGTTTTTACTTATTTTTACCCTGAATTGTTGGTTACACCTTGCCTGTCTACAGGCCCCGATGGTGTGATATGACAAGAAGGATGGCCCTTTTCTCTGTTAGGCAGAAAAGGGAGGAGTGGTTGCCTTGTCCACAGCAGATTGTGCTGCGCTGGCTTGCAGTTTTAGTAAGACTTGGTCCCTGTGTGGTTTGTCCCTGTGGACATCCTGTGTTTTTGATTGAGCTTGGACAGGTGGGCATAGCTTCTCTCTCCTCAGCCCTCAGAGACTGCATGAGGGCTCCTTGTGTTCTGGGGAGGTCTTGGGCTGAGTGCTTCAGGCTCACACTCTGCGCAGCTTCAGATCCATGGAGGTGAGGCACTGTCAGGTCCATTCGCTCAAACGGGAATTTGTCTTCATGATGCCGTGAGGCCACAGAACACTTCGCTCTGCGTCACCCCCTTCACCCCACACCCACCACCTCATCAAAGCCAGTGTCGTGGGAAGACCTGCTTTGCCACTGGGGTTCCTCCAGTTTCTACTCTGTCCCATCAGCCCAGGGTGAGGGCCGGTATTTCTGCTCATTTTCTCTTACCCCACTGGAGCCCTTCATCTTAGGGAAGCCAGATGTGTGGCTGACCTGGAATCACCAAGTAACATGGGGGAGGAGGTGGCATCTGTTCATAGCTTAGCTCCAAGGGCCCCTTTGTCCGCCTCCTCCTCTAATTCGTCTTGTTCTGGTAGCTCCCACAGCTTACTCAGTATCTTGAAGGACGTGGTGGTTGTAATTAATGCCCCCTTTTTTGGTTGTTGCAGTAGCAGCTTTGGTTTGCAGGATCTATATATCCTATCAGGAAGTGGAAATTCCTAATTTTGTAGGGAACTGAGAAGTTGTAATTTACTAATTAGTCTTTAAAATTGTATGGAAAAAATTCTTAGTAAGTGGAATAGTAGAAGGAAAGTGATGTAAGTGGATGTCCCATTATCTGCTTTCTGTGTTGGATGTGTGGTTCCTACCCTTCATGGCATAAGGGCATATTTCATTTCTAGTTATAACATTAAAATCATGTTTTAGTAGCATTGAGAAAAGTTCAGAGACCAAATAATACTCCTTATTGGTTTTGTTTGTGAGTTTGTTTTTGTTTTTAAGATACAGGGTCTCCCTCTGTTGCCCAAGCCAGAGTATAGTGGTGCAGTGATAGCTCCCTGTAACCTCCACCTCCTGGGCTCAAAGTTCCTCCTTCTCAGCCTCCCAAGTAGCTGGGACTACAGGCGTGCACCACCACACCCAGCTAATGATTTTACTTTTTGTAGACACAAAGTCTCACTATGTTGGTCCTGAATTCCTGGCCTCTAATGATCCTCCTGCCTCAGCCTCCCACAGTGCTGTAGTTACAGGCATTAGTCACCGCTCCCAGCCACTACTCTTTATGTTCTCAATAAATGATTGGTATTAGTCTTAAATGATCCTAATGTATGTTTACTTGAGCTATTTTTAAAGGATTTATTTGAATATAAGTTTCCCAGTAAAGAAGGAAGAAATTCAGTTTGTTGAAGAACAATCAGTATGATTTTATCCTCTGTCAATTTCCAGTGCCCTGACTGCATTGTGGATAGTATATGAGAAACAGAAGAAGATAAACATATTTTTTTATCAGGAAGGGAGAGGATTAAAAAGTAATTTTTCCAAAATGATTGTCTTTTTACAGATTTAAAAAAATGTATAATCTTACTGCGTAAAATTTTTTCTCATATAATTTGATGAAAAATTTGGTTTTATTCTTGTGTATTTGTTAGGCATTAAAATAATATGAGTGGTCTCTATAGTACTTTCTTGGCTTTTTTCATTTACCCTTAATGAATTTGTTATGCTAAAGTAGAGATACATTATGAAATATACAGTACATTTTTAAAATTCAAAATATCATATTATATAATCTTTATTAATCAGACTTTTATTTCAAAATTTTGTTTACATTATAAAATTTTACAATGTAAAATTACATTATAAAATTGTTATTATAAAGAAATAAAAGTTTATGACCAGAAGTATAACAATATAAATTAAACAAAATAAAATAAATGGATCATATTTTATCAGTAGAATTTTTGGTAGGATTATAACCTACCAAACAAAGAAAATGGATTATAAAAATTAGGGTTATTAATTCTATATTTACAAATGTTTCTATGCTAGAATATGTGATTTTATTTTATTTATTTATTTTTAGAGTTGGGTTCTCACTATGTTGCCCAGGCTGGACTATGATCTTACTTTGAAAAGTTGGATATTATTATCTACATTTCCTTTGTTTTAAGAATTTCCCAACAGTGTCTTATGAAAATGTCACTGACGCATCTCTGCTACCCAAGTAGCACAGTGTCGGCCCTGGTCCTGGTCACTCAGGGGCAGTGGTGTGCACTTTTGTCTTGTTTGCTTTTGTCCCTGTCTTTATCATATTTCTTCCCCTAATCTCCAGGAGAAAATGAGTTTTGTTTTATTTTGGGGGCTTATCCCTCTGTTTATGTCATACACTAGCAATATGGGATATATTGTATTTTGAGGTTTAAAAATGTAACAAACTTTCTTTTCTCACAATACTAATCAAAAAATTGTTGAATACCATTGATTTTCCATTATTATTGTTCTTTACAGAAAAGCTTCAGTAACTTGCCTGAGTTCAAAAATTAGCAGTTATTGGGAGCAAGATTCGAAGTAAATCAGTCTCTGTACAGAGGCTGTGTGACATAAACTGAATCCTGACTCCTTATTTCAGCACCTCCCTATGACATCACGATATGGCTACTATTGTAGGTCCTTTCTACTTAATTGTATTGATAGGTTATTACTGCGAAAGTATACGCCTTTGATTATGTTGCTTTCTTGCTCCACAAACAAAACAAAGCAATAGTGTCCCATGCCTCCCAATAACGTTTTGAGGTTTTCTGTGTTGTTCCAATCTCTATGTAAAATGTATCTAAGTATGGACTGCGTTTACTTCTCCAGCACGATTCGTTTGGACTTGGGATATGAATATTATTATGCTCATGAGTGTCCAAATTCATGACTGAATGTACAGGATACTCTCGTATGAAGGGACAATCATGAATTTGTTTGTGTTCTGCCACTTCTCTTTGGTTTATCCAACTAAAGAGAATTCCTTGCTGATGGGTAATTATCATATTATATTTCTGGTTACTTTGGCTGATGTTGACTTTGAGGTGAAAAATTAGATATTTCACCTTCTGATTCAACCCCTCTGGTTCATTTTCTGAAAGAGCTGAGTGGAATTTTCTTTCCAAAATTAAGATTTCATTAATTAACAAGAGCTTTTATTTGTGGAAATAAAAATCAGAAAGACCTTTTGGGTCAGTTAGCGTCCTCTGTCAGATTTTCACTTGCCCTGTCTACTCTTTATTTGTAGTCCATTTTGTCATAAGAATTGGGTACTTCCCTTAGGAAAAATTCTGTTTCTATAAATGCATTTAAAAACCTTTCTGAATGTTTATGGCTCTTAATCTTGACCCATTTCTTACTTTGTTATGCCACAATATTATTGGCATTTTGTTTGGTGGCTTTGATTTATTTAAACCTAGAATTTGGCGTTTTATTTGTGTGTTTTAATAGAATAGTGATACAATTGGATATGACATTTGTCATTTAAATTGATATCCATAAAATTCAATACACAAAGTATTATTCTAATAAGTACCTAATCTGTATAAATTGCTGAAAGTATTCACTTTTAACTTGCAAATATATTAATGATTTTGAGTTTTGATCAATATTTGCGTCAATAAAGACATGAACTTATTAAATTGGTGGTATAATTTATGTACTAGATAATAAATAAGGAATTATTTTCTATAGACCTTTATTCCATTGCATTTCTTTTCCTTTTGTCTGTTAAAATTGCTAAGGATCTCATTGATTCCCTCATATGTTTGTGCACAAAAAATTTATCTTTGAATAAAATCTTGTTGTTATTTTATGTTAATTATAATTAGGGTTGATTTTTTATTGATCTGAAAGTTTAATATGTTCAGAAATTTCAGCAAATATCTTGAATGCAGACTCTAAGAGTTTCCATCTTAGCTGATACAATGCCAGTTTAGTTGGTAGTGAGGCTCACAGCTCAAGTAGGGATATCATGCTGGTTTTATAGGAGAAACATGTTACAGGTAAAACATCTCATTGGTCATTTACTCTTTTGCAGTTTGGATTTCTGATTCTTTCTGACCATGAATTGCAGGGAGTGAGTGTTGGTGCCTCTTCTATAGTCCTGTTGTTTTTCTTATTGTGTCTGAATGATGTCTGAATACAAAACATAATTACAATGTCTTTCTATCATAGTTCCTCTTGCTGAGATAAAGTTTATGTTGTTCATTTTATAAACAGCTCCCACACATCCCCTTGTTTGCTTTGTGGTTGGCATTTTTCCCTGAAAATCACTTCTGCAATCTTCAGTCAATTTAGAAAAATATGTGTGATAATTTATATGTAAAAATAGGTAACTTTTATGATACTATTTTAGTTTATAAAATAAAAAATATTAAGGAAAATTGTGCATTTCTTTACCTCATAGCATTTAGTTATAAATTAGTCTCAAAATTACTATGACACTATTTAAGATATTTGTTTTTCAATAAATGAGTATCTATTTTTGCATTTATTAAGGCTTGTATATGTTCAAGATCCAGTGAAGACTGTCTTGGGCGTGTATAATTGATCTTAACCACAAGGCTGAGAAGTTATGTGCAGGGCTTATGATGCTACTTCCAAAGTATTAAATCCTCCAGAGAAGCCTGTAGTGTGGGATGCAAACTATTTTAAGTGTGACCATGAGGTGTTTTTTTGTGGACCATTTTAAAGCCAATGATAGGTTCTAAAGCAATCTCAACCTGAGTGAGGTAGAATGGGTTGGTTATCTGCACTCTAGCGGCCCTTCATAGCTATTGTATTCTGGATTTCAATTCGGCACTTTATGTATTAGCTAAAAATTTCATGACCAGATCTTTTGAAGTATACAAAGTAAATCTTCAAGGTGATAGTTTATCCAAGTGTAAATGTGTTGCACTAGGTCAGCTTGGAATTTTGAGATGACTTTTGGCATCATTGCATACATCTGGTTTGTGTACTGTGCTGTGCACGTTTGGTGAGTCCGCCTGTGCCCATGTCTCCCTTGTGTGTTAGTAGCAGGAGTCATAACTGGAGAAGCAGTGCCAGCAGCAAACGCAGGCATTCTCTCTCGAGCATAGCGCCATCCCGGAACCTGTGACTGCTTGTCCATGGGTCAAGTTGTCTCATATTTGATTTATTAAAATGAGTTGTTCTTCTATTCTGGACATGTGGATAATTAGGTTTGTGTGCTACATTTTTTTTGACTTTGTAATTTCTGTATTCTTCAGACATTGTAGTATTTGTTTCTTACATTGTACCTACATATATTACACATGCAATATGTGTTTATTAACCTGAGTTTGATTTTTTGCACATGCACATAAAATGGCTACTTGAAGATTTTTATTTTAGCTTATCCAGTGAAATTTGTTCACTGTCCTTCTTTTGACTAAAATAAGCGAAGCTCCTTTTACACACAGATGTATTTTAATTCAGCAGCTGCATTCTTACACTTTTTTAAAAACACACTTTGGCTAAATCAAAAATCAAATGCAAAATATAGCACAGAGAAATATCACACATATTTGTGGCCCTCTCTGGAGGACTGAGGAATAGATTACATTCACTCATATGTGGCCTGTTTCCAATCCTGATAAGTCATTATTCAATACATTTCAATAATACAACTTTAAAACATATTTTTCATTGTATTTAACTGGTTTTAAGGCCATTGAACAGTAAAAAAAAAAAAAAAGCTAAACATGAATAAAGACTAAAGCATTTTACCATGACTCTTGATAAATCATAAAGAAAACAATTTTTCTCTCTGTCTCCCTCCTGCCCTTCTGCGCTGAGACATGTCACAGCTGGAAACATGGCTTGTTTGTGACATGTCTTTTACCTCCCTGAGAGATGGGACCACATGTCAACAAAACACTGAAGCCTCATCTGAAGTCCCCCAGCCGCCTTGGTCAAGTATTCAGAATTCTGAGCCTCTGTAAAAGTTCATTATTGAAACTGTAGGGAGTTTACTATGGAAAAGGCCGGAAAAAAAATAGCTGTAGATATATTTGTATTTGGGTAAAAGTATTCACACTATGTGTTTGGTATCTTGTTATATCGGGGCTGAATCACAGTTATTGTAAGATGCTTTTTGCCCTTCCCTACATAATTTTTATGAGCAAAATTTTCCTTTACTTAAAAGGAAGTTTGTTTTGGTTTCTGAGAGTAGTCTTTAAATACAGAATGTATAATATCCGGTGAGGGTGATAGGCCTTCCTAATCCAAGGATATGGAAGTTTAACAGTGTGACTTTGAGGCTAATTTTACAAGCATACAAGGCCTACATGATCACCCCAATGTCTTCCTTGGGCACTGAATTTCTAATGGGCTTTCCTGGGCAGAACTATTGGTGGAGATGAGAGGATGCTGGGTTTGCCGCTCACAGGAGGCAGAGCCCAGGGAGCTCGGGGCATGGCATTCCTAGGACGGGACCTGTGCTCTTTCTTTTGTTCCTCCCTGTGTCCTTTGGCTGTCATAATCCCTAGCCAAGAGTCCAGCTGTGAGCCTTCTGAGTGGATCACCGAAACGTGTAGGTGGTCTTGGGGATCCCCAAAGGCACCATGCAGGTTTTGCCTCTGAATCTCCCTGCTGTCCCCAACCTGATGCCCTCTTACTCTCCTGAATTATTTTCTTGACATTCTTCACCCCTTACAGGACCTTAGCTGACTGACAGTGGATGGCCCTCCCCAGTGAGATTGTAGTGCTGTGAAGGCTTTGTTCATTGTGCTGCCTCTAGTGGCCGGCGCAGTGCCTGGCCTGTAGCAGGGCTCCATAGGTAATTATTGAAGGATGATTGTGTGAATGAGAGAGCTGGTATTTAAAATCAGCACTGAAGGAGGGCAGTGTAGAGTATTACAGAAGAAGAAAGGAGGGATCAGGATAATGAAGACAGTGGCTTAACTTTGGGAAGAGTTTTGTGCAAGTGTGAATAGAATCGATTTTCCAGTGTAAGGGAAGCAGTTGGAAGACAGGACTGGAAAGATTGTATTTCAGGATTTGCAACACTGAATAGATGGGAGGTTTGCGTGTGCACAAAACCTGGGGAGGGCAGGCAGCAGGTGTCCCAGGAGCTTGGAGCAGGCCCCACAGGCAACTGCCCAGGGATCCATGATGTCTAGTAGCCATTTGGGTTGGTGAGCAGCCCTACAGACTGCAGAGAGCTGTCCTCAGTGAGGCTGAGCATGGTGGGGTCTGCATTCCAGGGATTCACATTCATCAGTCAGGTCATCTCCACCTGGAGGGAGTCAGACCACCTATTGTGGATGGCTCTCAGGGCCTGCAAACTGGTTCAGGGACAACGAGTTCACTGTCACTAATGTTACAATTCTGTTTTGGTGCAAAGTGAAAGACTGCAGTGCTGGGGACTACTGCTTGATCAACTTCTGTTAGCTGACATTGTGAAGTAGTTTACCTATGCTCTTTTATTTCATTCTTAACCAGTCGTTCAACCTTGCCATTCTGGGAAAGTTGAAAGCTATAAATTCCAATGGCTTTAGGTTGCAGGGCTTGACCTGAAACACAAGTGCATCTGATCTCAGAGCCCTTGTTCTTTTCACTGCCTCAGATTGGGACCTACAATGACAGTTCAGTCTTAGGAACAGAAGTCTATGATGGAAGATGTCACGAAAATGGGGCATCACCTATGCCGTGAAAGTTGTGGGAAAGGAAACTAGGGATGGTAAATCAGGTGGTTGGAATTGCAGTCTGGCTCAGGAAAAGAGGGAGAGTGATACTCTACAACGTCTGGCTGAGGGGCACATGGTAGCAGACAGCACCAGTCGTAGGCAGAAGGCTAAGAATGCTTATGCATGTGTGTTCTTTCTCAACCCCTGATTTCTTCAGAGATTGGGCAGGGACATCATCAGTCTTCAGTTCTGTGATCGATGCCTTGTCTACAGAGGAGCTGCAGAATGGAAAGAAAGTTTAGGTACTAGTGTTATTAGGTTGGTGCAAAAGTAATTGCTGTGTTTGTCATTAAAAATAATGCCAAAAACCGCAGTTACTTTTGCACCAACCTAGTATTTTGCAAAGTCTTAATTGAGAAGTTTTAGACTTAGTTTTCAAGGCATTGAGAAGCTATGCAGTATTATTTTTATTATATTTTAAATTCTGGGATACATGTGCAGAACATTGCAGTTTTGTTACATAGGTATACACATGCCATGGTGGTTTGCTGCACCCATTAACCTGTCACCTACATTAGGTATTTCTCCTAATGCTATCCCTCCCCTAGTCCCCCACCCCACAACAGGCCCCCGTGTGTGATGATCCCCTCCCTGTGTCCATGCGTTCTCATTGTTCAACTCCCACTTATGAGTGAGAACATGTGCTGTTTGGTTTTCTGTTCTTGTGTGAGTTTGCTGAGAATGATGGTTTCCAGCTTCATCCATGTACCTGCACAGGACATGAACTCATCATTTTTTATGGCTGCATAGTATTCCATGGTGTATATGTGCCACATTTTCTTTATCCAGTCTATAATTGATGGACATTTGGGTTGGTTCCAAGTCTTTGCTATTGTGAATAGTGCCGCAATAAACATATGTGTGCATGTGTCTTTATAGTAGAATGATTTATAATCCTTTGGGTATATACCCAGTAATGGGATTGCTGGGTCAAATGGTATTTCTAGTACTAGATCCTTGAGGAAATGCCACACTGTCTTCCACAATGGTTGAGCAGATTTACACTCCCACCAACAGTGTAAAAGCATTCCTATTTCTTCACATCCTCTCCAGCATCTGTTGTTTCCTGACTTTTTAATGATTGCCCATGATAACTGGTGTGAGATGGTACCTCATTGTGGTTTTGATTTGCATTTCTCTAATGACCAGTGAGGATGAGCTTTTTTTTCATATGTTTGTTGGCTGCATAAATGTCTTCTTTTGAGAAGTGTCTGTTCATATCCTTTGGCCACTTTTTGATGGGGTTGTTTTTTTCTTGTAAATTTAAGTTCTTTGTAGATTCTGGATATTAGCCCTCTGTCAGATGGATAGATTGCAAAATTTTTCTCCCATTCTGTAGGTTGCGTGTTCACAATGATGGTAATTTCTTTTGCTGTGCAGAAGCTCTTTAGTTTAATTAGATCCCATTTGTCAATTTTGGCTTTTGTTGCCATTGCTTTTGGTGTTTTAGACATAAGTTTTTGCCCATGCCTATGTCCTGAATGGTACTGCCTATGTTTTCTTCTAGGATTTTTATGGTTTTAGGTCTTACTCTTAAGTCTTTAATTCATCTTGAGTTAATTTTTGTATAATGTGTAAGGAAGGGGTCCAGTTTTAGTTTTCTGCATATGGCTAGCCAGTTTTCCAAACACCATTTATTAAATAGGGAACCTTTTCCCCATTGCTTGTTTTTGTCAGGTTTGTCAAAGATCAGATGGTTGTAGATGTGTGGTGTTATTTCTGAGGCCTCTGTTCTGTTCCATTGGTCTATATCTCTGTTTTGGTACCAGTACCATGCTATTTTGGTTAGTGTAGCCTTGTAGTATAATTTGAAGTCAGGTAGCATGATGCCTTCAGCTTTGTTATTTTTGCTTAGGATTGTCTTGGCTATGTGGGCAGTTTTTCATTTTCACATGAAGTTTAAAGTAGTTTTTTTTCCACTTCTGTGAAGAAACTCAATGGTTGCTTTATGGGGATAGCATTGAATCTATAAATTACTTTGGGCAATAAGACCATTTTCACAATATTGATTCTTCCTATCCATAAGCATAGAATATTTTTCCATTTGTTTGTGTCCTCTCTTATTTCCTTGAGCATTGGTTTGTAGTTCTCCTTGAAGAGGTCCTTCACATCCCTTGTTAGTTGTATTCCTAGGTATTTTATTCTCTTTGTAGCGATTGTGAATGGGAGTTTGCTCATGATTTGGCTCTCCATTTGTCTGTTGTTGGTGTATAGGAATTTCATATCCAGCCAAACTAAGCTACATAAGCGAAGGAGAAATAAAATCCTCTACAGACATGCAAATGCTGAGAGATTTTTGTCACCACCAGGGCTGCCTTACAAGAGGTCCTGAAGGAAGCACTAAACATGGAAAGGAACAACCAGTACCAGCCACTGCAAAAACATAGGAAATTGTAAAGACTGTCGACACTATGAAGAGACTGCATCAACTAACAGGCAAAATAACCAGCTAGCATCATTATGACAGGATCAAATTCACACATAACAATATTAACCTTAAATGTAAAAGGGCTAAATGCCCCAATTAAAAAACACAGACTGGCAAGTTGGATGCAGAGTCAAGACCCATTGGTGTGCTGTATTCAGGAGACCTATCTCACATGCAAAAACACACAGAAGTTCAAAATAAAGGGATGGAGGAATATTTACCAAGCAAATGGAAAGCAAAAAAAAGCAGGAGTTGCAATTCTAATTTCTGATAAAACAGACTTCAAACCAACAAAGATCAAAAGAGACAAAGAAGGGCATTACATAATGGTAAAGGTATCAATGCAACAAGAAGAGCTAACTATCGTAAATATGTATGCACCCAATACGGGAACACCCAGATTCATAAAGCAAGTTCTTAGAGACCTACAAAGTGACTTAGACTCCCACACAATAATAGTGGGAGGCTTTATCACCCCACTGTCAATATTAGACAGATTGACAAGACAGAAAATTAACAAAGTTATTCAGGATTTGAACTCAGCTCTGGACCAAGCAGACCTAATAGACATCTATAGAGCTCTCCACCCCAAATCAACAGAATATACATTCTTCTCAGCACCTCATTGCACTTATTCTAAAATTGATCACATAATTGGAATTAAAACATTCCTCAGCAAATGCAAAAGAACAGAAATCATAACAAACAGTCTCTCAGACCACAGTGGAATCGAATTAGAACTCAGGATTGAGAAACTCACTTAAAACCACACAACTACATGGAAACTGAACAACCTTCTCCTGAGTGACTACTGGATAAATAACGAAATGAAGGCAGAAATAAAGATGTTCTTTGAAACCAATGAGAACAAAGACACAACGTACCAGAATCTCTGGGACACATTTAAAGAAGTGTGTAGAGGGAAATTTATAGTACTAAATGCCCACAAGAGAAAGCAGGAAAGATGTAAATTCCACACACTAACATCAAAATTAAAATAACTAAGGAAGCAAGAGCAAACAAGTTCAAAAGCTAGCGGAAGACAAGAAATAACTAAAATCAGAGCCAAATTGAAGGAGATAGAGACAGGAAAATCCCTTCAAAACAATCAATGAATTCAGGAGCTGGTTTTTTGAAAAGATCAACAAAATAGATAGACCGCTAGCCTGACTAATAAAGAAGAAAAGAGAGAAGAATCAGATAGATGCAATAAAAAATGATAAAGGGATATCACCACCAATCCCACAGAAATACAAACTACCATCAGAGAATACTATAAACACCTCTACACAAATAAACTAGAAAATCTAGCAGAAATGGATAAATTGCTGGACACATACACCCTCCAAAGTCTAAACCAGGAAGAAGTCAAATCCCTGAATAGACCAATAACAAGTTCTGAAATTGAGACAGTAGTCAATAGCCTACCAACCAAAAAAAGTCCAGGAACAGACGGATTCACAGCCGAATTCTACCAGAGGTACCAAGAAGAGCTGGTACCTTTCCTTCTGAAACTATTCCAAAGAATATAAAAAGAGGGAATCCTCCCTAATTCATTTTGTGAGGTCAACATCATTGTGATACCAAAACCTGTCAGAGACACAACAACAAAAAAAGTTCAGGCCAGTATCCCTGATGAACATCGATGGGAACATCCTCAAGAAAATACTGGCAAACCAAATCCAGCAGCACATCAAAAAGCTTATCCGCTACGATCAAGTCGCCTTCATACCTGGGATGCAAGGCTAGTTCCAAATACACAAATCAATAAATGTAATCCATCACATAAACAGAACCAGTGACAAAAACCACATGATTATCTCAATAGATGCAGAAAAGGCCTGTGACACAATGCAGCACCCTTTCATGCTAAAAACTCTCAATAAACTAGGTATCAATAGAACACATTTATGACAAACCAACAGCCATTATCATGCTGAATGGGCAAAAACTGGAAGCATTCCCTTTGTAAACCGGCACCAGACAAGGATGCCCTCTCTCACCACTCCTATTCAACATAGTATTGGAAGTTCTGGCCATGGCAATCAGGCAAGGGAAAGAAATAAAGTGTATTCAAATAGGAAAAGAGGAAGTCAAATTTTCTCTGTTTGCAGATGACATGATTGTATATTTAGAAAACCCCAGCATCTCAGCCCAAAATCTCCTTAAGCTGATAATCAACTTCACCAAAGTCTCAGGATACAAAATCAATGTATTTTTAAATATGGTTTTGAAACTTATTTAGATTGTTAAACAATAAAACTTAGTTTTAATATGAACAGAATGTGGGTGTCAGCATTAGGTGGTCAAAAATGTATGCCAATAGGAAACTGAAAACCCGGGTTGTGGCTCTGTGTGTCTGCAGTGCCTAGTTGTGTGGTCTTGGTTTTGTCAGGTTTTGCCTTTCTATATTTTAAATGAGAGGCTTATGATGTATTGATTCTTATGTGATCATGCCTTCTTAGCATTAGCTAACAATCTAATTTTCTGTCTGTTTGTTATATTATTGCATTTCCACATACTGATATATAGGAAATTTAAAACAGTCAGAAAATGTTTAGGGTATGTGGCGTATTGTCACAGGAACCCAGTATGGAATGAGATGGGAACTGTGACTTGCACTAAGCTAGCACAAAGCATCTGTCTATAAGAGCTCACCTAACCACATACACTAAACTGTTTGGCTACAGAATTTTTACTTTTTAATCTACGGTTGTATTTTATACACTTACAGAGTCAGCTTTTTCTTGTCATTCAATAAATACCAAAAGGAATTTCCATGAGTTTTTATTATTAGGTTACTTTACTTTTGTAGAACTTTCAAAAACTTTCTTCAGTTGGCTATTTTTGGTTTTAAATTAGAGGAATAAAGTTGCCCTCAATGAAGGTATTTCTTCAAGTCTGTATGCAGGTAAGTCTAGACATGTGGTTGTACTTCTGGTTATATGGCAATGTGGTGAATTTTAGAAAACTGATAGGAGAGAGAGAGAGAGGAGAGAACACCATGTCGTTAGCCTGTTTCCTGCACACTTTCTCTTTTTGCATTTTATTTCATTTATCTCAGTCATAACTTGTCAAAGTTACATGTAATACTCTTCTCAAGGTTGATCTCTTAGGCAGTTGGCTCAAGAGCCGTGTGTGTGGTAGTGTTTGAGCTCCATTTTCTTCAGAAACAGAGCAAGTTTTACAAATTAAGGGACTGTCTTTATTCTCTCCTTTGGGAAATACCCATGTCATATCTACATTTGTGGTGTTCGTAGGGTCAGGTAGGGAGAGGGATTCAGGAGACTTGTTTGTCAGTAATTTTAATATTTTCCTCCGAAGCCAAACAGAGAATTCCTGCATCCACTGGAATGTCTGATTTACCCTTATTAGTACTTAGTGTCCCAACTCCCCAAGCAGAGCGGGAATTTGGGAACACTGATAGCATGAGGGTTAATGTATCAGTAAGCAGTGATGTCATCTTCACTGGCAGCATGAGGGTTAACGTACAGTAAGCAGCGATGTCATCTTCTAGAGCAATTCCCCGTCTCTGTGCTGTGGAACAGGGCAGACAAGATCATTTTCAAACTCCCTGTATTCTGAATGAATGTTTTTAGACTTTGTATTGAATCAGTTTTCAAATTATAGAAAAGTTGTGAACATCATACAAGGAATTTCTGTATTTTCTTTGTCCAGAGACCCCATTCAGGTTTCCCCTGTCCCAGTAATCCCTTCACAGCAAAAGGATCCAAGACCAGTTGTCACGTCTTCCTTAGTCTACTTCAACCTGGAGCAGTTCTTTAGTTTCTCCTTAACTTTCTGACCTGGACATTTCGAATACTAGAGGCTAGTTGTTTGGAAAATGTCCCTCGGTTTGGATTGATCTGATGTTTTCTTATTGTTAGACCCGGAGTATGTATTTTGGTATTGAAAAGCATATGTATTTTGTGGAAAAATACTTGGAGGTGATGAAAATTTCCATTTCTTTTTGTACTTTCACCCACTTGGTTTAGTGTCCATTGATGTTTCTAGCCTGAATTAGTGCTATAATGGTTGCCAAATATAGACTTTATGTTTTGATTTTTCTGTTGACATTTCTTTTCACTTTATTTATTTTTCTTAATTTGTTGGTATCAGTTTGCGCTCATCATTTTTTCTTTTATTCATTGAGTTATACTCCATTGTTTTCATTTTTTTTTTCTGATGCTCTATCATCCCAGATTTGGCATATGGGAGCCTCATCAAGCCACCTCATGTGTCCTTTTGATGTGTCTCCATTATTCTTGAAGCACTTCTTTCTTTGCTGAAATCATAGGCCTATTTTGTTCTTTCTTTGTCTCAGCCCTGGAATTGTCTCTTTCTCCAGCTGTCTGTTTCCTTTTAGTAGATAATGGCATTTAGAAACCAACATCAGATGCTAAGAAATCCTTATGCCTGCTTGGATGTCACTGTTTCTGGGACCTCTTAGTAGACAAAGCTGCGAGGTTTGCACACATTTACATCTGTGTGTATTTCTAAGTCTGTCTTAATGTGTTGACAACCATTAGGTCACACTAATACCACCAATTCCAATTCTGATCCGACCTCACAGGGTTAATTTTAGCTTTTAGCCTTCCCATGTTTGTTCATACCTCCCTTCTATGAGGAGATGAACTCTACCTTACATTATAGTTAATATTTGTTTGTTGTTTGTTTTTTAACCCTATACATAGCTGATTTCTGGTGCTGCCGGTCTGCCTCGCTACTCAGGTGCTCCCTTCTCCTGGGCCTCCGCTGCTTCCGCACTGCCTTTCTGCTCCATTCTGTACCCTCCTTTCTACTGCTATGCTTCCTTCGCGGCCTGTTCAGGTTGGCTTTGTTGATTTTGGGGTAACTGGGACGACCAGAGTGAGATTCTTAATACATTAATCTGTTGACTTCTGGTTGGCTTTGGTGAGGGGCACAGAAAGTTGTAGGCATTCCTAATTTTCATGTATCACATTTCCCCCGGAGATACCTGGATATTCCTTATTCCTTACTGGCTGCTTCAGTGGGGCCTCAACAAGAGCAAAGGCTGCCTTTCACTGCCGGGCTTTTTCTCATGTTCTCAGCCAAGTTAGCAATGCTGTGGCCAGGAAAAGTTTCCACATAGCTGTTACTCTCCTGGGAGGCAAGGGTCTTACTTTTACCCAGATTTATATCTGACGAGGCTGCTAGAATCAATTAGTTGAAAAAATACTCCCAAGTTACTGAATGAATAAAGTTTTTAGATGGAGTTATTTAGTCCATTAAAATAATGATGAATGTCTACCAGAAGCATTCATTTGTTTTTAGCACTGCTTATGGGAACCTGTTCTTTCCACCACTGTATAGCTAGAAGGTTCTGCTGATTCTACGCTGTTCCTGGTGTGTGCTAGAAAACCTTTTTCAGAAACCTAGAGTGGGAGCCATGTTTCAGTTTTCATGTGTCTCGTTGCACTCTTTTAAAACACCAATGTGATACTTACTAGTGGGTTATCTGTGGTGAGTTATGTAAACTCTCTGATTGTATTTTCCTAATGCATAAAAGGGGTTAATTTTCATTGTTGCCTTATTGGATTATGATGATGAAATGAAATAGTAAATGTAAATTCTCAGTATAGTACCTGCTGCCTTAGGGCTAACCGTCCTCCTCTACCTCCCCCTCTGCCTCCTTGTCTATAACTGACAAATCAGACACAATAGAAAGGGCCCCACATGTTATGTTGGTTAAACAGGGGGCCAGTGGGCAGCAACTTAAAAATCACATTTTCAAAGTATACTTAATTACATGGGAAAATTCTTCATGTCCCGTATTTTAATAGCTTAATTCTAATCTTTACATTTACATAAAATAAAAAGAACTGTCATGTGACTCACACACAACATAAAATATTAAAAGGAAATAGAGATGGTCTTTTGACAATGGGCTGTTTATCCATCATTTTAATTTTTTGCTTTATGCTTTTCTGAGTAGCCTGTAGTCAGAATGCACTGTTTAGTAATGTAGAATCATTTGTAATAGGCATTCAGTAAATGGTTAGTACTGTTATGAACCTACGAATTCCCTTTGTATGATCAAAAACCGCCCATTTTAATTTTTCTTAGCTGTTGTCATAGTTCAATGAATCCATCGTAACCTTACCTATTTGTAAGATCTTGGAGAGCAACTCCTGGATCTCGATTTGACTTTCTTGAAAAGAAAGCTGGCAGAGACTTTCAAAGCAATGTTCAGCATTTCTGTAGGTCTAATTTGGGTGAGTGAAGGGGAACAGAGATTTAGTGTTTTGAGTACAGGCTTTGCTAAATTTTGAGCCCAGATTGAAGGAAATCTGCCCCAGGAATTAAATAATTTTAAAGAATGAGGCTTGCTACCAAGAGTAGAGACAAAAACACTCTGGAATGATAATTATTGCTTTAGGTTTCTTTTTGTTTGCTTTTTTTATATTAGGTTTTATAGCATCTTTAAGATGTGAGGTTTCTGGATCACATTTGAAAAACTGCTAATTCTGGTCTTTCACCTAAGAGAGCCTGTTTTTTTTTTTATTTACAAAATTTTTTAATTTAAAAATTGCGGTGAATTACATTGTTATGGACTCAGTTGTTTCTCCAAATATCCTGCACTGAAGCCCTAATTCCCGTTGTGACTGTATTTGGAGATAGGGCCTTTACAGTGGTAAATATAGTAGGTTCTATGAGTTTATAAGGGAGGGACCCTATTTTGATGGGATTGGTTTCCTTTTACAAAGAGGAAGAGACCATAGGGAATGAGAACAGAGAAAAGACCATGTGCATACACAGTGAGAATGTGACCATCCTCAACTGAAGAAGAGAGGCCTCAGGAGACACCAACCCTAATGACACCTTGGTTTTGGACTTCCAGCCTTCAGAACTGTGAGAAAATAAGTATTTGCTGTTTAAGCCACCCAGTCTGTGGTATTTTGTTACGGCAGCCCTAGCACACTAATGTACACCCACATTTTAACCTTTTTTAAGATTATTTTATTTTATTACTTTTTTGAGACAAGGTCTTGCTCTGTTGCCCAGGCTGCAGTGTTGTAGTGTGATCACGGCTCGCTGCAGCCTTGACCTCCCCGACTCAAGTGGCTCTCCCACCTCAGCCCCCTGAGTAGCTGTGACTACAGGACCACGCCACCATGCCTGGCTAATTTTTGTTTGTTTGTTTTTTGTCAATATGGGGTTTTGATACATTGTCCAGGCAGGTCTTGCACTTCTGGCCTCAAGCAGTCTGCCTGACTAAGCCTGCCAGAGTGCTGGGATTGCCACTGCACCTAGCCAGATTTAATTTTTTTAATTGACGAATAATGTTTGTACATAGGGCACATAGTGATGTTTTGATGTAATGTATGGCGTATGTATGGTGTAATGTATGTAGTGTATGGTGTAATGTATATTATGTATGGTGATCAGATCAGTGTAATTGGCATGTCCATCATCTGAAACATTTATCATTTCTTTGTGTTGGGGACATTCAGTGTCTTCCTTGTAGCTATTTGAAACTGTATAATATATTATTGTTAAATGTAGTCGTCCTACAGCGGTATCTAACCCTAGAACTTATTCCTCCTATGGAGCTGTAATTTTTTGTCATTTAACCAATGTCTCCCTATCCCTCCCTTCCCCCTACCCTTCCCAGCCTGTCATATCCTCTGTTCTACTTTTTGCTTCTATGAGATCAAATTTTTTTAGCTTCCACATAGGAGTGAGAACATGCAGAGTTTATAACTTTCTGTTCCTGGCTTATTTCACTTAACATAATGTCCTCCAGTTCCATCTATATTGCCAAAAATGATAGGATTTCATTCTTTTTAATGGCTGAATAGTATTTCATTGTGTATGTATATATACCATGTTTTCCTTATCCGTTCTTCTGCTGTTGGACACCTAGGTTGACTGCATATCTTGGCTGTTGTGAACAGCATGGCAGTAAACATAGGAGTACAGGCATTTCTATGATACACTGGTTCCCTTTTGTTTGGATAAAAGCATTTTTCAGTGTACAGTTAAACATTAAGTACACTGACATTATTGCACAGCTATCACCACTATCCATCTCTTGAACTGTTTTCTTCTTGCAAAATGGAAACTGTGTATCCTTTAAACAGTAACTCTCTGTTTTTTTCCTTCAGCCCACCCTTTGCATCTACCATTCTGCTTTCTGTGTCTATGATTTTGACAATTGTAGGAACCTTATGTAAGTGCAGTCTTATAGTATTTGTCCTTTTATTCCTGACTGATTTCACATAGCATAATATCCTCAAGGTTAAGCTTTGTTGTAGAGAGTGGTAGTCTTTCCTTCCTTTTTAAGGCTGAATAATATTACACCGTGTGTAAATACCACATTTTCTTTATTCATCCATCTGTGGTTACTTGGTTTGCTTCCACCTTTTGGCCAATGCGAATGATGCTGCCTCCCCATCCGTCGATGCCACGTGTCCCCCTCACCCCTGCCCTGCTGTGCATCACCCTGAGTGTGGGGACCTCTCCATATACCTGATGCCACATGCCACTCCCACCCCTGCTGTGTGTCACCGTGTGTGGAGGGGCCTCCCTGTGCTCCTGACGCCCTTTACCTCCCACCCTCCGTGTGCTGTGGCCCTGGGCACAGTTACTTTGCCACCTGCCCTGATCCTGTCAATTCTCTCGTGGCTGCCTCTGACAAGCCCGCTGTCAGTCTGGACTAACACCTTACACTAAGATTTGTAACATGAAGCCTTGGCGCTGTGAAAATACTTCACTTCTCTTGGCTTTGATCCATCAAGATGAGCAGTTGGAGAGTCTTCATGTGGGGAGATGATTCACTCAACTCTGAGTGTGTTTGTGCTGGGTTCTTACACCTTGAGGCATGATTTTCCTGTCTCACAGACGAAGATGTTGAGGCTCCAAGAGGTTACGTGCCTTTCAGGAACCCATATTAAGTGGTAACAATGAGATTTTTGAACTCATGTTTTTCTGATTATAGTACTCATGTGCTTTACTTCTCCAAAGTGGGTAAGATCGTCAGATTTATCTTGTAAAATGATCAACCTTGTGATGTGTTGATTTTGACATTCTCTCTAGTTATACGTGAGGGGAAGCAACCTGAGAGTAACTAGATCAGGAAATTGCTGCCTGAGTGTATGAAATATGATTTTTATTTAAGTTGGTTTTTTTTTTCTTTTTGTTTTTTTTGAGATAGGGTCTCACTCTGTCACCCAGGCTGGAGTGCAGTAGTATGATTATAGCTCCCTATAGCCTTAAACTCTTGAGCTCACCTGAGTTTGTAAGCTCACAGGCATGAGCCACCACACCCACTTTAAGTTGATTTCAAATATGATGATATCATTGAAGATGCAGTAAGTTGAAAAAAATCCTTGGGAAACTATGAATAGTTTTGAATCTTACAGTTGTAGATTTTACTTAGGGTAATTTCTTCTAAACTTTCATCAATAGTAACAAGTTACTATAGTTGAGTGGATTGTCTTTTATGACTTTATGACCTGTTTCTTACACACATATGTGCAACACACATACTACATTTTCCATGAAGCTATCATGTATTTCTAAAGTAACATCTTAAAATTTGCTGTTTATTTTTTATTTTTATTTCTATTGAATTTTTAAAACTATCAATGGAAAAGGAATTACTTGGATAAAGGAGAGATAAAGTAAGGAAAAGCAATAGGGCAGGAAGAAGAGGATTACTGCTTCCACCTACACTGGTGGTGTTCCATGATCACGAACACAAGCTTTCTATATATTTGCTGTTCCCTCAGGATAGTTTGGGCATTTTAGAGCCACAAGTAGCATGAGGAGACAAACTGAGTTTCATTCTGGAAGCCAGATAGAACACCTCTGAATAGATTACACAACAAGGAAAGGGACATGGCCCACATTCTAACCACAAGACAGAACAGCACAGTCTCTCTTAGCAGCTGTTGCAGGGTCAGCAGGGATGAGCTTGGCACCACTGTAGGTGCTGAGGACACAGTTAAAAATGAGAAAGACCAGATTCCTGTTCTCTAGTGAGATTAAATTCTAATACTAGGGAAATAGCACATAAACAGGTAAGCAAATGATTGAAGAGGTAATTTCACTTAATCAAACTGTAATAAATGACATGGTGCTGGAGGTGACACTGCTTTTATTGCATTGTCAAGAACGACCTCAGTGAGGCTCCAGCCTTTGAGAGGGACCTGCAGGATGCAAAGGTGCCAGCACTGCACAGAGAGGTGTAGGTGGATAGGCTGGGAAGCATACTTGAGCCTGTGGAGTTCCAGGCACAGAAAGCAGACTTCTGTGGTGGACACACAGCGCGAGGGGGACAGGAAGGTGCTGAGAGGGAGGTAAGCAAGGCTCAGGTCCTGTTGCCCTTGGCACGGGACTTAAGGGCCTTATGTTGTATCTTCAGTTGAATAGGAAACAGAGGTTTAAGATCTTGTTTATCGTTTGAAAGTTCACTCTGGCTGACTCGGGCCAGGTGGTGGTGGTGGAGACAGAGCCGTGGTGATGACTTAGGAATCTTAGGATGGCAGTAGGTGGATGGTGGCTCCATTGACCAAGATGGCAAGGCTGGGGGAAAAGCAAGTTTGGGGACTGTGAGGTAGGATCTCATATTCCTTTTTGAACACTTAGTACTGAGAAGCCTTTTAGACACCAGAGTGGAGATAGCAAAGGATTGTGTAGCTGCATATGTACATCTTGAGTTTACATGGATCAGAACTTTTAATTTTCTGATTTTTCTGAAAATAGTCTAACTTTGCATAGAATTAAATCCTGAAGTTGTTTGAAAAATCTAACCTTTATCAAACTTTGCTGTATATACTTTTCTCTCATTTGTTCAGTAGCAGTAAAACAAAATCACCGATTAACCCTTATGTGGCGCAGATGAATGTCTTTAAGCCAGCTTGCAAATTTAGATCACTGCATCCTGCTCACAATATGGATAAAATTTTCACAGCTGATTTAGAAACTATTCTCTATTTTTGTTCAGTTTAGGGGAAAAAATTGGCCCCATAGGGCCTTCTTGCAGCATGACCCAATTCCTTTACTTCTTAGCTACTTTATGTCTAGAAAAATGGGATGATCTGGGTATGAAGAAATCTCTAATTCGTCTTTTATTTTGGTACTTGGCCACTCTCCTTAGAACCTGGTGGGACAATTTAGTATAGACATCTTTGAGAGTCTCTGTCAGAGCTTTGCTGTCTAGCCTTTCTTCTATCAGCATTTCTAATGATCTAGAAATAACTCCAGACTGGATGAACAGGGCCCCCTTCAGAAGGTCTTTCTTTGTCTTGCCAGGAGGATATGATTCATATTTCCATAGAACAAATCATACATGGAAACTTCTGGATGAAGCCAGTCAGATATATTTGATGACCTCTACACCCACCAGAAAGTGGCAATCCTTCCTTCCCGCAGGCTGAGCACTAGTGCAGGGATGGGCAGTTCGCAGACACAGGGAAAACAGTGCCCCACTTTTTTCAGACACGAGGAATAGTGAAAGTGGGTTGATTAGCTTGCTGGGCTAACCACAGGCTGCCTTTACACTGTTAGATGCCTTCCAGAGTTCATAGTTCACCAGTATGACTTTGGCTTTGAGTGATCTTTGGATCAAACATGACTTTCTGCTGCTTTTCTTTCTTTCGTGATTTTTGTTTTCCTTTTTGCTTCTTAGATTTCTGACAGTACCCTTGTACAGAGTTGAGGATGATAACCTTTGAAGATGCAGATAGATAGGAGGCAAATTCCCCCTTCTGTTGACCACATCAGCCTCGAAGAGCTTCCCTAGGAAAGCTGTCATTCCACATTCCAGGGTCCTGTGATAGGCAGGTTAGGCCACTTTCCAGCTCATAGTCTTTTTCCTGACCTGGGAGACAGCAACCAGAACAAACCCTGGTTGTCTCAAACCCACGCTTATAGCTCTGCATCAAGGCGGACATCTGACCACACCATCGGAGTGTGGGAGACTCACATACCAGGTCCAATAGTTTAAACTGATTTTCCTTCGTGCCACTTTCTCTCTCACTATTGGAAGGGAAGACGGTTCAGTTCACTGAGCGTTGCTTGAGCCACTTGCACAGAAGGCCCAGTGGTCAGTGTTGCACAAGGTGTGAAGTTGTGAATTGGTCCCCGCCTCTGAGGGTGTGCAGTTGAGATGGATGTGTAATGTGTGGCTGCTATAATAGAATATAAACTGTGCCCATGGTGGCAAGATAGGGGAGATTTTGCTACATAAGAACACACTGAAGCTTTTAAGTCTAGGATTTTATTTGTTAGAGATAAAGAAGTAAACTTGTGGTAGAAGGAAAATTTTGAGTGTGTGAGTTTGTGTCTTGGACAGAGGGGGGTGTGTGTGTGTGTGTGTGTGTGTGTGTGTGTGTGTGTAAATGGAGAGGGAAAATGTGTCCAGGGTTGACTGTAGGTATATTTTCAGGCAAGAAGAGAAATCTGTAAATTTGCTCAACCAATATTTAATTTATCTGGTGCTAAGAACAGTGCTAGCCCCATTAGGAAATAAAATTGTAAATATGAAACTGAGGGAGAGTCTGCCTTCAGGAAGCTGACATTCTAGGAGACAAGTGAGATCAGCTCACAGGTACGGGTATGCTGGTTGGTGCAAGCAAGGACCAGTAGCACCTGCTGCAGTTTAGTTACAGCTGAATGTATCGCAGGCTAGTGAAGGAAACGGTGGAGAAGGGCTCCTTTGGGATAAGGGACCCTTATGGAAAAAAAAAAAAAAAAGAGGCAGGAAATTAGGGCACAATTAGATGTGTGCTTCTAGAAGCTTCGTGGGACCCAGTATTATGTAAGGAGTTAAGAAGTTTTAAATGAAGGACAAAAAATAGGTTAAAAACTTAAAGAAAATATTTAGTCATGCACGTTTTTTCAGAGAATTTGAGCATAAAACTTCAGGAGCCTGTAACTCAAAGCCCCTTGGCCACTCCTCAGCATCTCACACTCTCAGTGATCCCTGCCTCTTATCCACCTTTCTGCCCTCTCCCCTTTCCTCCGTGGAGCACTTATAACAGTTACCTTTATTTACATGTTTAAAATCCCCCTACCTTCTGTATTGGTGTTAGGGATGGGCTCTACCACTGTTTGCCCAAGCCTTGCCTTTTACTATTCCTTTGTTTGCAGGGAGCTGCTGTGTGTGTATTTGGGGAATGCCTGCCTGCTGCCCTTCCCGAGTGAGCCCTGCTCCCCCAGCACACAGCATGCTGCTTATTTCCTTTTTCTGGCACTGGTCCAGATCTGGCCTGGGCTTTGCCCTGCAGCTTCCCTGTGCCCAGTGTAACTGACTCAGAAGGAGGGTCGATGCCTCCGTTTCTAACCTTCCTCATTTTTTACAGATCTCTTTAGGTGTTTGATGGATAAACCGTCTGAGTTATAGTAAAGGTAACTATCATTGCTTCAGAGTGTGCCAAGGCCAGGCTGACTTCATCAGAGGCTTTGTGGAATGCTTTATTTCATTTAATCCTAACAACACGACTGTGAGTTAGATATCATTGTCATCATGTGCTTCCTAGAGGTGAAGTCACTGTGGCTTGACCAGGCTGAGTAACTTGCTCAGAGCCACAGAGCTAGTAGGCGGTTCCTCTGCATGGATCACCCACCGACCCCACTTGCCCTGGGGAAGCTTTTATTTGGGATCGAAGATCAGTGATGAGGCCCTTTACCAACCTGACTCAAGTGGAAATGTGCTACTGCAGAAGGCTGTCCCACATTAGATTCTGAATTTCCTTCCAGAAGAGGTCATTTTCCTGAGGATAAATAGTGGGACAAAAGACAATTAAAGATTCTTATTTCCAGATATCCTCAACCTGTCCTGGGAGAATAAAACCTACTATTAAATGTGTTGAAAGTGTATTTACACATGACTGTCTGATAAATGGTCACTACAGGGAAGTTTGCAGGAATTTTACTTTTCAAATGGGTTTATTCTTTTCTGAAAGAAAATAGTATATCCCCCTTTTGTTCGCTTTACTACTTTTCAAGACCAGATAACATGTTGATGATCATGGTATAAACCTACTAGTATATTTTCATTCTAAAGAATGGAACAATATAGAAAGAGTCACATACAAATTACTTGGAGAAAGATCATTCAGTGAGGCTTACATTAAAAAAAAAATCCAATACTAGATGTGAAATAATAATGCCTGTTAGTACTGGTAATATACTGATATCTTGTTATTGTTACATTAAAGCAAGATGAAATATCAACCACTTCTAATATTATTCATCAGGATGCTAAGAGTAACATGCGCTCATTGAACATTTTTAATTTTTCTTAATACTAGAAATTCTAATGCCTATCTTTGCTGAAGGGCTTTTTTTTTTCTTTTATGGAGTTTTAATTTTTCTTTTGTATGTAACCTTTTCTTTTTTGAGACAGGATCTCACTGTGTCACCCAGGCTGGAGTGTAGCTGCCTAATCTCGTTCACTGCAGCCACCACATCCTGGGCTCAAGCAGTCCTCCCACCTCAGCCTTCTGAGTAGCTGAGACTTACAGGTATCCACCATCACACCCAGCTAATTTTTGTATTTTTTGTAGGGATGAAATTTCACCATGTTACCCAGTTTGATCTTGAACTCCTGAGCTCAAGCGACCTGCCCATCTTGGCCTTCCAAAGTGTTGGGATTACAGGCGTGACCCACTGCGTCTGGAGCATTTGTGTAACTTTAAAAATACACAAAACTAGTCCAGGTCTCCCTTTACTGTTCACTACATTTTTTCAACATTATTACTTACAGATATTATGTATTCTTTCTTCAATTGATTACTCATATTGGCAGTTACTTTCGTATTTGTTGTATTTCTACCCCTGTTGTTTCTAAATACTTTAACAGGTATATTCCAGCTCTTGTTTTCCTCTCTACCCACTCCTTAAAATACATGTTTCCATTTCTATGCTTTTCCATCTGCCGTCCCAAGAATATATTTTTAGATAGGTGCTTAGGGAGACTCTATTAAAGAATGCATCTTCCAATATGAAGCTGTGATTCTTACAGTTATATACTGGGACCTGAGGACCTCATGCCACTGAATGTCCTTCCTGTACCAAGTTCAGTATACAATTAGAATGCGTCCTGTGTTCCTCCGCTGATACTTGATGTCGGTGCCTGTGAAGCTTTTACTCTGCCCCACTCCTTACAGGATGGTTTGGTTTTATGCCACTGTGGTCTTTTTCTTTTCTTCATTTCCCCCTCTCTTTTCATATCTACATTCTAATCTAGACAACTGTGTTGACAGTTCTTTCTAGGAAGATTTACAGCAGAATTATTTTCACTTTTATGGTAAGCTACTCAAAGTTTTTTTTTAATGTGTGTATGTACTTTATTAAAAGTTCTCTTTGCATTGCTTTGTTTTGGCTATTTTAATTCACAATAATTGGCAGTGACCTCTAATATATAAAGCATAGTTTTTTCCACAGTACACTATAGTTGTTGGAATTCCTTACTCAGTGAACCAAATGAGTATATGTTGGGCTATTTGAGTTAAACCAGATTGATTGCTTCAGATTCTTTTGTCTCATTTAAAATGGAGATCTTTTAGATGCTTTTATGTATAATTTCAAACTGTTTTGCAGCCATCAATC